>NT_187562.1:741046-1111570 GCF_000001405.40 Homo sapiens
CATTAAAATTCAATGAGAGTTTAGTATCCATAACATTCCCCGAGAGAAAAATCTAGAGACCACTGCAGTTTGAAAAGCATGAAAAGGGAGAGGAATATGTTTGCTGTTTTTTGTTTTTTGTTTTCCAAACAAAGAGAATACTGATGAAGAAGCAAAGATTTGGAATTTAGTAAAGAATAGGGATCATTTGTTAATTTTCAGAAGCTTTTAGGATAAATAAAATGAAAAAGATGCTGGGTTATTTTGGCATAGAGTTTGATACACTTGACTAAAAGATTTAAAAATATACCTACATGTCAAGAAAAACTGAAGTATTCTATACCTTTTACTACTTCTACTTAGCAGAGTTTATCTTGAGCCACTGTCCGTGGCATGTCCAATAAGTTGTAAAGGCTTCACACACACTCCTCATATGAACAAGTTGCTGAAATATTGTTAAAGTGTCACATTTTGTCCATTATAAGGTAAATTGTTTTTCACAATTCTATTTTCTTTGAAATACGGGTAAGTCCTATAATCAATCTTCACCTTTAATGTGGTAGTACTAAACACCACCCAAAAGTAACAATTAGATATTTAATAGAACATCTTATAATAGAGAGAATCTCAGAATCAAATAAATAAGATGGGTTAGTTTTTGCAAGGCTGTCTTTCTGGAGTTTCCTAGTATTCTTTAGAGTGTTAGGCCTATCATTCTCAGTTACCCACCAGACTGTACTTTACTAAGGCACAGGCAACTGCAAGAGTCAGACAATACTTGATAGTGTTGATATTGACACTTGAGATTTGTGATCGCATAGGCATTGATTTGAGTCCTGACTCTGTTACTTACTCTTGGATTATATGAACTTGGATAGGTTATTTAAGGTCTCTAGGTCTTATCTGTAAAATTTCCTAATCCGTAAAAATAGTGTGATGATAATAAATAGCCTAGCCAAAAAAATAGACTTAAATAAATGTATGAAAAGTAGAGTAAGTGCTCAAAAACTTAGCTCTGCTTTTATGCAAAAATGAACTATTTTAAGCAGTTACATGATACGAGAAATCAGCTTGATAATGGAAAAAGATCATACCATTGTGGTCAAGTTTTACACAAACATGATCTGTTTCGTGGCCTAGACTGAGTTGAATTAGAATAGAAGAAACCATATTACAAGTATTCAGGAATTAAGCAAAGACAAAAAAAAAATAGTTATGACTGTGATAACTGAAACAAGGGAAGAGATATAAGAGACAATGCATTTAATTTGTGAATTGACAAATAAGGTAGGTGAGGAAAAAAGAGGCTTATGGAATTCTTGAACCTAACATGCAAGAAGAGCAGGGATGCCATTTGTTGGGAGAGGGGAATTGAGGAATAAGAGCCCGTTTATTGGTGTGTGTACGTGTTGGGGGAGGAAGGAGTTCAGTTTGGGACAACCATGAAGACCCAGCAGGCAGCTGAAATACTGTAATGAAGTTCCCTTATATTCTAACATATTACTTTTAGTTCTTTGAAGTCAATTCTGCACCCCACTTTTTGCTCTACACCCAGACAGTAGCACAGATTGGTGTTCAGTAATGACAGATGGAAAAGTGATGGGAGAATGGTGGTGAGTGGCTGGTGCATGCTGTGAGACTTGTGCATGAAGACTCATCCTGAGTGAAGAGCCACACGGTTCCACCAGGGGGAAGACTGATTTTTGCATATCATGCAGAAACTCAACCACCTGTTAGAGGAGGGAAACAGAGTGGGAAGGAACTACGCTGTAGGAAGGAAAGATGAACTTGAGTTTCACTTCTTAGTGCCTTTTCTCAGGGGAGAGGCCATCACTTGAAGATGCTGAGTCTTCTGCTCCTTCTCCTGGGACTAGGTATGAGCCTTGTCTTTTGAGGAGTCTGGGGTTAATGTTAACACTGGGTGGAAAGGTGGAAAGACTTTCTCTCCAGAGAGTCTGAAGCCACCAGACAGAAGATGAAGGGGATATGTTAGATTAAAGAACCATAACAGAGTAATTGTTGGCACAATAAAAAGGAGGCAGTTCCCTGGGGTCCTTTGGGAGCTGAGGTGGTATTGGAGAGATAAAGCAGAGACCTTCCTGCCTGGGGAGATGTCTGACCCCAAGCTTGTCGGTCCTCATGAATATCTCTCTGGAACTAGGCTCTGTGTTCAGTGCTGTCATCTCTCAAAAGCCAAGCAGGGATATCTGTCAACGTGGAACCTCCCTGACGATCCAGTGTCAAGTCGATAGCCAAGTCACCATGATGTTCTGGTACCGTCAGCAACCTGGACAGAGCCTGACACTGATCGCAACTGCAAATCAGGGCTCTGAGGCCACATATGAGAGTGGATTTGTCATTGACAAGTTTCCCATCAGCCGCCCAAACCTAACATTCTCAACTCTGACTGTGAGCAACATGAGCCCTGAAGACAGCAGCATATATCTCTGCAGCGTTGAAGACACAGTGCGGGGCACAGATCAAAGATCTGAGCAAGAACCTCAGCTCTCTCCTACCCAGCTCCTCTCACACGAGCCTGAAGGCCCTGCCAAGGTGGGACAGAAGGAGGAAACCACAGCTTTTGGGCAGACACAGCTGTTTCTGTGTTTGTGGGTGGGCATGGGTATGAATGGATAGACTGGGGATGAGGAGAGCATCTGTAGGACTAGCTGGAGCGTTCTATCCACAGGCAGGAAGAGTGGCTCCTGGAAAGCTGAGGGTAAAATTTCTTCTAGAAGGGTGCTCAGAAATACCCAATAAAAACAATCAGATACAGTTTCCTTCAAGTGGCGGGGTCAGTAATAGCCTTTAACTGTTTTATCTCAAGGCTCTTTTTAGCTGGTTTTCTATCATAATATATTTTGGAAGAACTTTAGTCATCTTGAAACAAAGCTGGTACATTATATTAATGACATCTGGTTGTTCTCAGTGAATAGGAATGATAAAGCCCTCTAGATGCTTCAATATGACAATATGACACATGCATCCCAGGCCAATATAAAATCTGCAAAGTTCAGGAACCTTCTATACTGGTGAGTTTTGGAGTGGTCCAGATGTAAGAAGTAAGCTGCTGCACCTTAGATCATGTACCACGGAGAAAGAGGTGCAATGCTTAGTCTTTGGACTTTGAATTAAACTTTGGATATACTGCATTTGATTGTGCTACTCTATCCCATTTACTATGTAATCTGTAAAGCTGGGGCCAGTGCAAGAGAGGGTTCTGTGGCAGAAGAAGCCCATGATGAAAGCTTCCTGCTGCTTGGGCCATGGACTAAGCAGACCCAGTTGTTCTTGAAGAGCCTATGGTAGATACTGATGCCCTGTGGAGCTCCTGACATTCCCCAATACGAGAATCACAAGGCAGTGTGGAACAGGTTTGCTGTGCCCTGATTTGCACTTCAGACCATTGCATCTTGGGCTATACTTTTGTTGCTTTCCAGATCCCAGAGAGAAAGAATGCTCACACACACAAATTACATGAGGAGTGTTTATTACTTACATACAGGCAGCAAGGGAAAACAGAGGCCTAAGATTCAGGGAAAGCCAGTCCCACTAGGCTCAGGAAAGCTGCCCAGGGTGGATGAAATCTTGTCTGTGCCTTCCCTACTTGCACTGCCACTGAGGGACCTCAGAGAGCAGCCACCCTGGGTTTTATATCTTAGAGCAACTTGACATGCTTGGCAAAGCATTGAAGGACATTCTATTTCTAGAAGGGACTGGAACAGAGCCCTGGCTGTTCTGGCCAGTTCCTCCTTATCTCAGGATGTTACAGTCCCAGAACATTGTACAGTTATTTTTGAGAACTACAAGCAAGAAATAGGGGAGTACTGAGTTTGTCCAAGGCCACCTGGAGAATTGCCCTGCAGACAGGTGCAGAGTTTTGGTGTAAAGCCATACTCTTACCGGCCAACGATCCCCTTTCTTTTGAAAAGTTGCTCCTGGCTCTATAATGGATGCCTCATAATGGCATTCAGAACAAGGTATTATCTGATCTGCAAAACTGTAAATTTGGCTGTGCCCAGAGCATTCTGTTATTAAATGGAAAATACATAATCAAGACCATACTTAAGCACAGCTGGAAAAAGGCACGATTCAATTTCAAGAGCACATCTCAGAGTCTCATGCTACCCACTCATACTTTTCTCCTCTTACCTTCAAACCACACCCAAGTTTCATGGAAATTCCATATTTCCAGTTGAGAAACATGAGCTTATTTTTTTGATGGGTCTTCACATTATTCTGGAAGGATCATTACAGTCTAACCAAGTATGGTTCTGAAAGGTAGTGGTGAAGGGAAATCTTCTCGGGGCCAAAACTTAAATTGGTATACCTGATTGTTGTCCACATTTTATTGAAGAAGAGATGGCCAGAAGTATAGCTATATCTTATGTTCAATTTTCTTTCATACTATCATCTAGTCTCCTTACCTATTCAGTCATATTTTTCTTCTTTTTGCTTCTCTATGCTACAATCTGGGTAATTTCTTTAAAACTACTGTTTAGTTTACTAATTCACACCTCAGCTCCAGTAAGCCTCTAATTTAATCTTTCAACTGACTTTGTTCATCTAAATTATATTAATTTTTATTTCTAGAAAATCCACTTGGGTCATTTACAAATATGAGTGGACATTTTTGAAAGCATCTTGTTCCTTGTGTATTTTAAAATTATTTTCTTTTTATAAGTATATTAAGCATCTACTGGGAATTATTATCTGACAATGCCAGCATTTGATGCCTTTTTGCATCTGGCTTTCAGTGGTCTGCTGGCTCTCACTCAGGGTAGCCTATTTCCTTGTACATTATGTAAGTTAATGTGAATTCATCTTTCAGAATTCTTTAAATACTGGAGTAAAAGTGGGTTTTCTAGGAAAATTCATGTTTGCCTCTGTCAAGAAATTGGGGCGCTACAGACCTAATATCATTTATTTTATAATTCTCAGTATATATCTTCTTGGTCATAGAATGTCTATCTCAAACCCCAATGGGCTGACTGTTCAGTGACCATGAATATTCAGAGGAAATTTTTTAAAATCCTTCACCCAAAGCCAAGACCAAGACAAATAATATTCTTTGTTAATTGCTTCTAGGATTAGTTTTCTAGCTCATCCTTTCACTAACTGTGTATCTCTTTGTGTACCTCACTTTAAAAAGCAGTGATTCCTGTCTAGTTTCTGGTCCATGTAAGGTCTCATGGGCCTTCTCCAGTTTCCATGTGTACTAATTCTCCAGGTCACAGGAATGCACATGTATACCTGTTTTATCTCATGGGCTCAGTGCTAGCTTACCTTCCTGGCCCATGCTCCCACTACCATAGGAAGTTGACAAATTTACCTACAGTGAAGCCTTGGATTATGAAGCACCTTCCTATATTACAAAATTGCCTCTTTAAAAGCAGTAAAGCACTGTGGTTAGGAACTTGAACTTTGTCAAGTGACAGACCTAAGTTTAAAACTTGGTTCTTCTGCTTTAACACTAGGTGTAACCTTAACAAGTTACACAATTTCTCCATGCCTTAATTTCTCCATAGAAAATAAGAATAATAGTGAGTTTTTAAATGTAGGTTTTTTAAAATAAGAAAGTGATACAATTATCTGTATAAAAAGCACATAGAGACAAAATATGCAATTAGTGTAGTTGCTACCTAAACGTATTTCTCACTATAAAAACATATTTTACCACTGGCAATTCCTTCCTCAAGAATAAGTATGGCCCTCTCTCAGAAAATTTTATCATTACAATTGTTTCTCTTTTAGCTATTTTAATTAAATAAAAAATTTGTGGTATTATAAAATATGCATATTATCAAAATAAAAAAGTCAAAATCACTCAGTTTAATAAAATTAGATCATACAATATGTAGTTTTAGAATTTATTCCCTTAACCCAACAATATTTCATGAATATCATTTCATGTCAAAAATATTTTACATTAACTTTAATAAGAATAGTTCGATATACTGATGACCATCCTTCATACAATCAAAACCCATGACAAGGTATATATCCATAGGCTAGATGACAGGGTTATTTAATTTTAAATAGCAATTGTTTGTGTGCGTTGAATTATTTCTGTTGCAGACTCAGAAGGAAATCATGAAAGCCCTAAGTCTACCTGCAGATGGCTGGTTCTTTTTTATTCAGGTGTTAACTTAAATGCCACCTCCCCAAAGAGACCTTTCCTGACCACTCTACGTAACAGCACTTCAGCAGTCATGCCATATTATATTATCACTTTATCCTATTTTAGTAATATGTACTCATCATTTACTGAAAGTGATGTATGTGCATCCCATTTCTATACCTCCTCATATGTGCATAAATGCATGCACATGCACACATGAATGCACTGAAAACAAGAACCTTTTCTGTCTTCTTCGTTGCTGCTTCCAAATAGCCTAGAAGAACTCTTGGAATATCACTCCAGGAATTCAATAAATATTTGTGAGTAAATAAATACATTTCAAAGATAAGAGGAAAATTTATACAGCTGCAGTGGATTTCCCTGGTGGAAAACTCTACAAAGGCATTTGAGTTTAGATAATCTAAGCCCATAAGAAAATTAACTAGATTATTCTAACAGGAAAGGAATAAGCACTTCAAACTTTATATTTTTTATTCTTGTTTTAAATTTATGTTTTAGTTGCGGGGAGGATACAAAAAGATTAAAGGACACAAAATTACAGCTAGATAGGAGGAATAAGTTCCAGTGTTTTACAGAACTGTAGGAGGACTACAGATAACAAGCATTGTATTTGAATAGAAAGGTCCATATGTCATGTGCCAACCCCGTTCTGCTGCCTTACCCAAGACTGGGAAATGGAACAGATGATATGGGTTCTATAGAGAGGCAAAGTGCAGAACCTGCTCAAACACAGTGGCCCTGGGGTGGAAAGTTCTCAATTGGAATTGTGTTGGTGCCTGTGTGGATGGAGCATTCAATTCTGAGCCTTAGGAGCCTTTTGAAGGCCCTCCTGGCCAAGATGATCTTGAGGAAATGACTGACCCATTGGCTGCCTTCCAAATGGATGACACAGTCTAGACTTTTATAAACTACATGAGTAGAAGGAACCCAGTTGACTGGATTTATCACCAAACCTAGCTTGTGAGCCTCAGTCTAGAGCTAGCATAATTTAGAAAAATAAATGCATACATCATATATTAAACTCTGAGTATCATGAAACAGATCCTAGATGTTACAATAATAAGAACCTACATGGGTGTTTCTCCTGCACTCTGTCCTGGCTTTCTTCTGCTTCTTGTCTAAGGGAGCCTGGACTCACTTAAGCAGCTCTAATAGGCCAAACAAGAGAGTGGTCAAGGAGTGGCTGAAATGTGAACAGAAAGACTCACCATTATATTAGAGCAATCAATCTATCCTTAAAATACTGTGGGTTTAGTGTCAAGTGCTAGAGGCTTCCCCATTTACCCATACATGGAAGCCTGAAGAATAAACAGAACTATAAACTTCCCTCTGGGCATAAAACTTGCATGTCTTCCATGGCTTCAAGGTGGGGAGCAGCTGGGCAGGCAGAAGGAGGGGCAAGAGGCAGTCAAGAGGAGGGGCGGGAGGCAGGCGGGGAGGAATGGGCTACTCCGTTTAGCTGATCAGCCTTGACCAGTTCATGCTCTGGGACTCCATCTTACAAGTCAGACTTTTCCGAGTCACACAGAGCACTCCCTTCACTCTCCAGATTCAATGATTCCTGGGATGATATAGTAACGAAAATAATTCCTTATTGGATAAAGAGAAATTGTGCTGTGCGGGAGATAAGTAGCTTAGAAAAAAAAATGGATGAGGAGAGGAGCTGGGAGTTTGGGGGTAAGACAGCCTAAAATCTGACAGTCTGGTTGGGGAACGATAAAAGATACTGGAACCCAAGGAGGAGATCAGTAAGAATGTAGGAGAAAGATCTGGTGGGATTTGGAGAAGAAAGTGTTAAAAAATAAAATTGGAATATGACAGTTTGCAGACTACTAGGTCTGAAAGACGCAACTCTGTAGCAACATGAAGGGGAACAAACTTTGTCTGAATAGGGAAGTTTCTAGTATGATCTCTGCTTTCCTTAGACAAGTAACCCTGGAGAAGACACTTGACCTCTGAGTTTTAGATTGTTCATCTGTAAAAAGGAGAGAACAATATCTGCTGCCTACCACCTCAGTGAGGCTGCACTAAGGATCAGCTCAGAGGAGGCAAAGCAGAATGCCCTATTGCACAGCATGGAGGCCCTAGAGTCGGACCACCATACTTACATCCCATCTTTAAAACCTCCTGGCTGTGTGGCCTTGAGCAAGCCACTTCACCTCCAGAAAGTTCATTTGATCATCTGTAAAATGGGCAAGCCCATAGGTGGTTGTGATGATAAAATGAAAAAAACATTTTTAACTTACATGAGTTACATGCTGTAGAGTAAGTTATGTGGTATATAGTAAGCACACAGAAAAGACTCACTGTTATCAAAATTAAAGGAAAGTGGTTTAGTGTGCTAAGCACTAAATACAAGCCAGAGAGATGTCTTGAGAAGTAGACAAAGAAATCTACAATTCAGAATGAACAGTAACAAGAATGACATGTCCTCCAAATTGAGCTTTGGCAGCTGGATCTGAACCTATCCTACACATCTGAGTCTACAGTATGAGGTAACAGCCTCCACCTATAGCTATCTTCTCTGCCTGTAAGGTCATTCCTTTCTGAAGAAAGCTGACCTCAGACTATTTTGCGATCATTTAAGGAAGAGCGCAAAATACTGGAGAAGGCTAGTCTTCAAGCTCTAGATACAGAAAATCCTCAAATTCTTGGGTGTTCCCTTTCAGACTGAGAGTCAGAGCCACAAGCACTGATCCAAAAATCCCCTTTTCCAAAAAAATTTTCCATCTTCTACCAAGGTTCACCTCCCTGTTTAGTGCACACTAGTATCTACAGTTGTTAGAGCAGGAGTCTCTCCTTATCCTCTAAGGCAGGTGTTCTGTGAAGACCCCATGACAAGGGACAAAATGAAACAACATGTTCAGGGACAACAAAGGAAAAGCCCATTTTATCAATGCTCCAAAACCTGGCTACCTCAGGCTTGGCAAGTTATTCGTGAGCAGAGAAGTTTGTCATCTACATGGCAGTCATGGCCTGGATGGGTCTCGAACTGTGGCAAGGTAATGCTCTGAGACTAGGTGCCAGGAGAAAGATAAATTCAATCATCTATTTCTACCAGGAAGAAAAGCACCAGGAAGGAATCAGATGTACAGTTTGTCCTCTGGGGACCTCTGCCTTGATCCTCAATAAATCTCCTTTTAGATACCTCCTCTTAGATGAAATTCCCACACTTCACAATGCTCTCCATGGCTTCTGTTGGCCTTATGGTCAGCTCTGCCAAGATCTGTATTCTTGGGCAAGACAGAATCCTTCTGAATCTCAGTCTCTTGCTCTATAAATGGAAACAATTTTGCTCTGCACAAATTACAATTAGCATGTTTGTGGGAAGTTAAAGTGTGAAACTCAGCATAAATGAAAAGTAATGTACCACTGTTGCTTACATGAAAACTCTTGTAAAGTTGTCAGGCACTGTGCACCATCTAAGCATAGCAGTGTTAGGTATGGGCCCATTAGTGATTAGAGGGGGTGCGAGGCGGAGAGGGGGTCTCCAAGCAGTGGGTCTCCTGGCTGTGGGGAAGCTGGCTCAGCAGCCATACCAGGAGCTGAAACCGAAGGTACTCTGTGTGTCCTCTCAACACCATGGGCCCCACTTTGGCATTATTTCCAATTCCCTCTGGTTTCCATTTGCTTCCTCCCTCTAGCCCCCTGGCCAGGTCCGATTTCAACACCAAGTTTCTGAGCTTTTCCCATTTTGTCCACCGTCTCTAGAACATTTCTGCTTCTTTTACCTTTCAAAGAATCCAAACTTGAACTCTACTTACTCCTGCCCATCACCAGCCTGAGCTCAGAGTTGCTGAGAAGGGAAAGCACCCTCATAAGGAAGCTCCTCCTTTCCCTACATCATTAGACTTGAGCACAGACAGCATCTCCATTTCCACACTGCTCTGGCCAGGTTGTGCCTCAGTCAATTACACAACTGTGTCTTAGTAGCCTTGGTAGGGCCCAAATCAGGATATTCTCTAGGAAGATTCACTTTGTACTGAGCCAAGCATAATCTCACTGCATCGAAAATAGAAAATGATCATCTGATCATTCTGGTTCAGACTGTCAGCCCTGAGCAGGTGGGTCAGTTTGCATCACCTGAGTGCAGATTGCAAGGACAACAGTGAGGCTGCATAAAAAGAACCTATGACAGGATGCACATGAGAGAGACAAATGTCTTCACATTGAAGAAGGGGAGGAGTGCGCCATTGGTTTTCCATCCTCCAGAGGCACTGAGAAAGCTCCTACAGAAACTGTGCCCCCTCCTTCTTTGAAACACTTCCCATCCTTAAGCCTTGGTAGGAAGGAGAGAAATCTGGAAGCCCAGAATCCTATGGAATGCTGAGTCTCCCTTCTCCTTACCCCTTAGTGTTGGAATTTTCATTCCCCAAAATCTTGCATTTGACCTTCCTGCACACTGACTGGAGAGAAGCATCTTCATATTCACAGGAATGAGCCTTAGATAAGACTTTGCTCCTCTCATGTGGGCCCCAGGAAACTGAAATCCAAGCTTTTTACCAATGCTTGCCCTTCCTTAAGTACATTAAATACATTCCCAATAGGTGGAAAGATTTGTAAACAGCTAGGCCATTCTCCCTCCTTCTAACCCTCATCTCCAGGGCCTAAGAAAGCCCAGCTCTGTTATCTGGGGCTTGACTTTCCCTGTCTTCCCCATCCCAGTATCCTTGCAGGAAACAGCCGGTCTCGCTCTCTGCTCTCAGAAGGAAAGTTTCCTTATCACCTGTGAATCACAAACCCAGAGAGTGGCCAAACATAGCCAGGCTGATGCAAGACCCTGGGAAGAGGAAAGCTGCAGGTGTGTTTGTGCTGGGAGGAGTGGTGACCCTCACCTCACAGTCACCTCCTCTCTGGATCCTCGTGAGGTATAAAGACGAGTCCTCCACCACCAGTCAGGCACACTCTACCACCATGAATCCACTCCTGATCCTTACCTTTGTGGCAGCTGCTCGTGAGTATCATGCCCTGCCTCAGGCCCCAACCACCCCCCCGTTCCTGGCCGACAAATGCCCTTCCATTCTTACCACCTCTCCTCTTTTGACTGTGCTCTGATATTCCGTTTCCTCCATCTGGCATATCTCCTTCCCATCCTCCTTGGGCTCTTTTTAAGTCTCACCTGTTCACCTTCTCCTTGACTTCACTCCCACCACTGTCATTCATCCATATCCGAGTTGTGGTTGGAGAAGCTGGGAAGGGGGCCAGGTGGGGCTGTCCCACGAAATGAAGCAGCAGGCTTCAGGCTTGGCTCCGACAGCAACAGAATAGCACCACTATAGCTGCTCCTAACCTCGAATGCACCTGGGGAGGTTGAAAAATTACTCATGCCAGAGACTCAGCTCTAGAAATTCTAACTTCAATTGTCTGGGGTAGAGCTTGTGTTCTGGGCTTTTAAGCTTCCCAGGTGATTTTTAATATTTCCAGCCATGCAGCCAAGGTTAAGAATTGCTGTCCTATTGGCCAATAACAAAGTCTACCTTTGTTCTGCCAAAGTGAGCCTGGGGGCTGCCCTCAACTCTGCCCTGACTGCACAGATCTGAGCTATGGGGGAAGGTGGTCATGGCCAGGTCTATGCAGACAGGGGGTTTTCCTAGCTTGGCAAAAGAATCCTGACAATCCAGGGCCCAAATAGCCAGGGGAAGTACACAGGTGATGAATAAAAGAGAGAAGCACTCAGTGGGAGAGACAACCACATCCCAACTCCTATCCCACTGGAAGCATTGTGAGGACATTCCTTGCGACTTCAGCCTGGTGACCCCAGGAGAGCTCGGATCCTCCGCAGGGTACCTAGCTATGTGCCCTGCAGGCACAGAGACTTGGGAGCCACAGGCAGTGATGATCACCAGGGGTGGCAGAGCTCCCTCCCTTGCCTAGCCTCACTGTGCTTGTTAAGGATTTCTAATTAGCAGAAAGCAATCACAGGCTGGGAGCGCCACCCCTAACATGCTATTGACTTGCCTTCTCCCTTCCCATCTCCACTCCAGTTGCTGCCCCCTTTGATGATGATGACAAGATCGTTGGGGGCTACAACTGTGAGGAGAATTCTGTCCCCTACCAGGTGTCCCTGAATTCTGGCTACCACTTCTGTGGTGGCTCCCTCATCAACGAACAGTGGGTGGTATCAGCAGGCCACTGCTACAAGTCGTAAGTGTGGGGCCCCCGACTGCAAAGCTCCCGGCCAGTCTGCCTGGGAGAGCTTGGCTTCAGCCCAGGGAACTACTGAGGTTGGGTAAGATGGATGGGAGAGGTGGTGGAGAAGAAAACTTGTTGGCAGCTGCGGACTCTCCAGAGCAGAGAGTGAACACAAGACAGGAACCTCTCACACCCAGGCAAATCCATGAAACAGCAAGGGTTGTGGTCATAAAAGCAGGCAGGGATGATCTTGGGGTGGTGAGAGCTAGTGAGAAAAGCAGGCAAGTATCTTTTGCTGGTTAGCTACACATTAAAGCCAACTAAGAAAGACTTTTTAAAAATACAGATGCCTTTGTCCTATCCCAGGGCAATTAAGTCAAAATTTTCAGGAAGAGGGTGTGAATATCAGTGAGAATTTTACACTCTACCTCTGCTAACTGTAGAGTGTATAGACAGAGCTGAGAACTGCTGCCTACACCAAGAACTCTCAAACCTGAGTATGCATCAGAACGCCCTGCAGGCTTGTTAAGGCACAAATCACTGGGCCCCTTCCCCAAGGTTCTGATCAGTAGGTGGGGGTAAGGACCAAGAATTCACATTTCTAACAAGTTCCCAGGAGATGCTAATGCTATGGCTACGCTTGGATTAGATTACACAGAAGGGTGGTTCTCACCAGGCCAAGAATGGAGGGAGGAACAGGCACTGTGCACAGTTGGCAAAGGCCTGGGGTGAAGAACGCTGGGAAAACTTCAAGGAGCTCCTTGTGCCCACAGTGCTAGTGACTGTGGAGATTGTGGGAAAGAGTCTGGGGAGGCAGGTTGAGGAGCAGCCTCTGGTGGGATCCCTTTGACTCTTCCCCACCCCACTACCACCAACCTCTGGAGCAGATAGGTCCTGGGTCTCATACCTTCACTGACCCACATCCCTCTGCTGCCCATGCGATATGGCCACACACCCCACCCCATGCCTCCAGAGCTGTCCATGAGCAGAGAGCTTGAGGAACCTGGGGAAGGTGGGATAGGTGCCCTGGCTGTGGGAGAAGGTCTTCACCATGCCTGCCCTGCCCATCAGCCGCATCCAGGTGAGACTGGGAGAGCACAACATCGAAGTCCTGGAGGGGAATGAGCAGTTCATCAATGCAGCCAAGATCATCCGCCACCCCCAATACGACAGGAAGACTCTGAACAATGACATCATGTTAATCAAGCTCTCCTCACGTGCAGTAATCAACGCCCGCGTGTCCACCATCTCTCTGCCCACCGCCCCTCCAGCCACTGGCACGAAGTGCCTCATCTCTGGCTGGGGCAACACTGCGAGCTCTGGCGGTGAGTGGGACCCTTAGTCCTTCTACTTCCCTCCATCCTCACAATTTCCAGAACAAACCATGCCCCTTAACTTGAATCCTCTCACCTCCAGGCTTAAGACACATTTCGAGTGCCCATTACACACAGACTCTGCACTGGGCACCAGAGAGATGCAAACTATCAAGGACTTGGCTCCTAAAATCAAGAGACAGGACAAATGGAGAACTTGATATGATCACATCTTGGGAGGGGTTCAACAATGATCATTCTGGGAACTAAAAGCCAGAGTCTCTTGCCAGGACTTATGTTCTGGAGTCCTCTCCAGGGGCTGTGTTCCTCTTCAGTTTTCCATCCAAGATTATTGTCTCCTTCTCTGGCCTGACCCACATTTCTACTTCCTTTGTTCTCTTCCTGATCCTCACAGCCGACTACCCAGACGAGCTGCAGTGCCTGGATGCTCCTGTGCTGAGCCAGGCTAAGTGTGAAGCCTCCTACCCTGGAAAGATTACCAGCAACATGTTCTGTGTGGGCTTCCTTGAGGGAGGCAAGGATTCATGTCAGGTGATTTGACCAACCCTTCCCATGCTGAGGCTCCCACTGATACCTAGGCCCCACCAGGGAAAAGGATTTGAACTCAAAAGGTGGTGGGGCTGAGGAGGCTCCCTGCAGTGCCCACATGGAGAAGTGAGGAAGACTCCCTTGGGCTGCATCTTGTCTGCTTAGGAAGAACAGAGAATGGGCCACCATGAGAAGGACATGGAGCCACAGAGCTGGCTGGAAAGGGGTCTTTTAAGGTTCAGAGTAAATGTAGCTATATTCCTCCTCCATCTCTCCATACAACTTGTCCCTTCTTCCCCCCAGGGTGATTCTGGTGGCCCTGTGGTCTGCAATGGACAGCTCCAAGGAGTTGTCTCCTGGGGTGATGGCTGTGCCCAGAAGAACAAGCCTGGAGTCTACACCAAGGTCTACAACTATGTGAAATGGATTAAGAACACCATAGCTGCCAATAGCTAAAGCCCCCAGTATCTCTTCAGTCTCTATACCAATAAAGTGACCCTGTTCTCACTGTCTGTGTCTGTGCCTGCTCCCTCTCACTCCTTCACACTGGAAAGCATCCTCCAATTTCAGGTTAGACACGACTGTCCCCTTTAAAGGTAAGCAGAGCCCCCATCTCCCAAAATGTGTTCCATGGTACACTAGATTAGCACATACAAACAGATGGAATCCAAAAATAAGAAGAAGCTTGGGAGAAAGGGGAGTACTGTTTTCTAGAGATACCTGTTTCAGAAAGGTGGTCTTTGGGGTGGGGGGGTGGGTATTGATTTTTATTTGGGCTTCTCACAGTAGTTAGAGCTACTCTGCCTTCAGAACAATTACAGCACAGAAAATGTGTCAGCATCTTCGAGGTGGCCCAAAAAACTTGACCAGCTGAATCTTCTTGCTAAAATACAATAATAATGACAAATCCTGTTGGTGATGACGTGCCTCTCCCAGGAATGTGTCGGCACCAAACCCTCGACCAAGCCCTCCCTTCTCATTCACCTGGAAAATCAGATGCAAATAAATCTCCCTGGCCGCCTAACTCTTCCCTCAGTTCCCTAGTTCCATCTCTGTGAGCAGGCTAGAGAGATGTTCCACCTACCATAGCAGGAGCCAGACTGCGACTTGGGAATCAAGCCCAGATCTACACGCTGGGCTTGATTTTCGTCTTCTTTGCCTTTGGGGTAGGATGCCACAGTGAATCCCACAGCTAACACCAGCTCCTCACTCTGACCAGGGAAAGAAACTAGAGAGGGTCAGGATTCACCTATTTGATCAATTAGCTGAGGAAGGATTCATTTTCATAAAACTTGCTTGACTTTGAGACACTTCAAGTGAGTTATTTGGGATTCTTTAAAAGGGGTGGAAGGAAAGATCTGAGGACTGTGACACCACCAGCCACTCTGACCACACGTTGGCTGGCTTGAACCCACTGGATGCAGCAGAGGGAGGCAGGCCCTGTGGCACCTCTGGCACCTGCCAAAGCCTCCTCCTGGCAATTCTGAGAGGGCCCATGTTGGGGCTGTAGCTCATCCAAGCTTGGCACCGAAGATCCAAGGAAGCTTCTCTTTGAAATTCCACCTTCACCTCTGTCCCAAGTGGTTGTGGACACCCCTGGGAGCTGGCACTAAGGGCCAGGAGCAGCCAAGGAAGACAGACAAGTTCAGAGCACATTTCCAGTTACAGGGAACAGAGCACAGGCCTCCAAGTGTCCACAGAGCAGCGTGCAAATTGCAGGGATGAGTAGAGGAAAACCTCTACATGGAGCACAGCGTTCCTGGCAAACACAGGGGACTGCAGTCCACATGCTGTGGAATACACCCAAGTATGCATCAGACACTTGTTTGGTAAACAGTAAATGTGTAAGATCAATTACCTTGAGAGGGCCATCTGGGCTCCAGATGTGTGACTTGTGTGAGGAGACGGCTACCACTCACTATCTCCAGAGGAAAACAGGGCTCAGGGCTCGCACACAATGGATAGATACACACGGGTCACCCAGAACATCAATACATACAAACATCACTTTGTTCAACATGGATTTTGTTTTTATGGAGTCCAAACGCAGACCGTAGTTCACCTTACAGCCTTGGGTTTGTCTGCTTTTGGAGATATATATCCAGTAGATAGATAGACAGACAAGACAGATAATTTTTTCCCTTTCTTACTATAATGTCAATGCCTTATCTGAATATCATCATCACTCAAGAGTCAAGGGAAGAACCAAACGCTTCATATAAACAGGGCTGGGCTGGGCAGGGAGTGTTAGTTTCCACTGTTTTCTGTCTCCATTCAGATCATCCCTATCAAAGCCCAGCTGGTCACCTCAAGCCAAGACACAGACATAAGGATCCCAATGGCCTTCCAGATGGCTGCTTCCACCTCCCACCTGGGCCACTAAGACTCTTTACACAGGAAAGTGAGTCACCCCAGTGAGAAGGGTTGCCAGAAGAAACAGGGCATGAAAATCACAGATAACCATGGGATTTCTTCCAAGTGGTCAGTATAAAATATACCAACACTACCATCACCAAAAACACAAAACAAGCAAAAACATGCTTATTCAAAATCCTAGACAAAATACTGTGTGAGAGCCAGGCCACGGGGTTGCCTTTTCACAGGCCACACAGCTTTCCCAGTCCATGTACTCACGTGGAACCGTGAGATGTGAAAGTCTGCAGGGCGTGTGCTCAGGATCGAGGCTGGTACTGTTCACCTATGGGTCCAGACCAAAGGGCAATAAGGCAGAAAGCTGATATCTGTCCACCGCCACGGCTTAGGGCCTCCTTCTCACAGAGGCTCCTAAGAGCCCCCACCTCAGCCTTCACACAAAACATCTCCTTCTGGCTGAACTACAGCCAGGCTGGAGTGCCGTGGCATGATCTCTGCTCACTACAGTCTCCACCTCCCGGGTTCAAGTGATTCAGCCTCCCAAGTACCTGGGATTACAGGCACTCGCCACCATGCCCAGCTGATTTTGTTTGTTTGTTTGTTTGTATTTTTAGTGGAGACAGGGTTTCACCATGTTGGCCAGGCTCATTTTGAACTCCTGACCTCAAGTGATCCAAGGTACTGGGATTACAGGCATGAGCCACCACTTCTGGCCCAGGACCCATTTTTTAAAAAAATTTTCAACTTTTATTTTAGATTCAGGGCATACGTGTGCAGGTTTGTTACATGGGTATATTGCGTGATGCTGAGGTTTGGGGCACAAATGTTCTTACCACTCAGGCAGTGAGAATAGTGCCCAATAGGTAGTTATTCAGCCCTTTCCACCCTCCTTCTCTCTTCCCTCTAGCAGTTACAGTGTCTACTGTTCCCATCTTTATATCCATGTGTACCAAATGCTCAGCTCCCACTTATACAGAAGAACGTGATATTTGGTTTTACATACCTGTGTTAATTTGCTTAGAATTATGGTCTCCATCTCCATCCACGTTGCTGCAAAGACATGATTTCATTTTTTCATAGCTGCATAGTATTCCATGGTGTATATGTACCACATTTCCTTTATCCAATCTACCGTTGATGGCCACCTAGATTGATTCCATGGCTTTGTTATTGTGAATAGTGCTGTGACGGACATGCAAGAGCATGTGTCTTTTTGGCAGACCAATTATTTTCCTTTGGGTATATGCCCAGTAAAGGAATTGCTGGGTGGAAAGGTAGTTCTGTTTTTAATTATTTCAGAAATCTCCAAACTGCCTTCTGCATTAATTTTTCCATAAACTAATCGACAGTCAGGCCAAGAGTGTATAAGCATTCCCTTTCCTCTGCAGCCTTGACAGCATCTTCTATTTTTTTTTTTTTTTGACGTTTTAATAATAGCCACTCTGCAGCCAAGCTCTTTCAAGGCCAATGTGGGGTAGAGCCACAAACATCCCTTTTCCGGAAGAGAATTCTTGCCTGCCCACTGGTAGAATTCTTGTTTTCATCTGTCTTTTATTATTTGTTTTTCAAAGAAAAACTGGCCTGTAATCCCAGCACTATACGTGGCCGAGGCGGGCGGATCACGAAGTCAGGAGATAGAGACCATCCTGGCTAACACAGTGAAATCCCGTGTCTACTAAAAACATAAAAAATTAGCCGGGTGTGGTGGCAGGTGCCTGTAGTCCCAGCTACTCGGGAGGCTGAGGCGGGAGAATGGCGTGAACCTGGGAGGCAAAGCTTGCAGTGACCTGAGATCATGCTACTGCACTCCAGCCTGGACAACAGAGCCAGACTCTGTCTCAAAAAAAAAAAAAGAAAGAAAAGAAAAGAAAAAAAAGAAAAACCAAAGGTAAAGTGGTAAGATCTTCCACACCTGAACCAGTTTGTAGCCACCAGAGCCTGCTGCGAAGGGGCCCCTCAAGCATGCATTCATCTTGTCACCTGGAATTTGAGAGATCAAGAAGCCCCATAGCAATCTACCATGCAACTGCCCATCAGTGCTGATCCTTTCAAGGGATTATCTCAATTCTGACTCTGCAGACAATGGCAGCCACAGGTGACAAACCCTGTGTATCTGTGGGCTTTCCTCATCACCCAGGGCCACAATGGGGTGCCTGCCCTAGGCAGAGACACAGCAACATTCTCTTAAACTGAAATTAAGCATAAATCCACTTCACCAATAATCATCTGAGGGCTCAGTCCCTGTCTCCTTCCTCGGGGATTTTAAAACACACATTTCTCTGACCAAACAGGTAGGTGAGATCTGACTTTAAAGGGGGGAAATTGGGTTGAATTGAGGTATCAGGAATGGATCACAAGTGTTTTTGTGTGGGGACAGGCATCCACATCCCGAACTGTACCTGGAGATGGAGAAAAATGCAGGAGAGGAGAAGAGAAAAAAAGGAGGAAAAAGTGGCTGAAAGTATTTGAAAGCTTCTCTCATGGTTCTTTCTGGCTCTGGTTGCTTTTCCAAGGTCTTGAGTGCAGGCAGGGCCAGCTCTGGCTGGGAGCTGCTGCTCTGGGACATGGAAGAGTCACTTCACCTCCAGAAAGTTCATTCGATCATCTGTAAAATGGGCAAGCCCATAGGTGGTTGTGATGATAAAATGAAAAAAAAACATTCTTAACTTACATGAGTTACATGCTGTATAGTAAGTTATGTGCTATATAGGAAGCACACAGAAATGATTCACTGTTATCATAATAGAAGGACAGTGGCTTGGTGTGCTAAGCACTAAATACAAGCCAGAAAAAATGTCTTAGAGAAGTAGACAAAGAAATCTATAGTTCAGAACCAACAGTACCAAGAATGACATGTCCTCCAAATTGAGCTTGGGCAGGTAGATCTGAACCTATCCTACACATCTGAGTCTATGATATGAGGTAATAGTCTCCACCTATAGCTATCTTCTCTGCCTGTGAGGTCATTCCTTTTTGAAGAAAGCTGACCTCAGACTATACTGTGATCATTTAAGGAAGAGCACAAAATACTGGAGAAGGCTAGTCTTCAAGCTCTAGATACAGAAAATCCTCATATTCTTGGGTGTTCCCTTTCAGACAGAGAATCAGAGCCACAAGCACTAATCCAGAAACCCCCTTTCCCAAAAACGTTTTCCATCTCCTACCAAGGTTCACATCCCTATTGAGTGCTCACTAGTGTCTATAGTTGCTAGAGCAAGAGTCTCTCCTTATTCTCTAAGGCAGGAGTTCTGTGAAGGCCCCATGACAAGGGGACAAAATGAAACAACATGTTTAGGGACAACACAGGAAAAACCCATATTATCAAAGCTCCAAAACCTGGCTACCTCAGGCTTGGCCAGTTATTCATGAGCAGAGAGGTTTCTCATCTACATGGCAGTCATGGCCTGGATGGGTCTGGAACTGTGGCAAGATAAGGCTCTGAGACAAGGTGCCAGGAGAAAGATGAATTCAATCATCCATTTCTGCCAGGAAGAAAAGCACCAGGAAGGAATCAGATGTACAGTTTGTCCTCTGGGGACCTCTGCCTTGATCCGCAATAAATCTCCTTTTAGATGCCACGTGCAGCAATTCCCACACTTTACAATGCTCTCCATGGCTTCTGTTGGCCTTATGGTCAGCTCTGCCAAGATCTGTATTCTTGGGCAAGACAGAATCCTTCTGAATCTCAGTCTCTTCCTCTATAAATGGAAACAATTTGGCTCTACACAAATCACAATTAGCATGTTTGTGGGAAGTTAAACCGTGAAACTCAGCATCAATGAAAAGCAATGTACCACTGTTGCTTATGAAAACTCTTGTAAAGTTGTCAGGCACCATGCACCATCTAAGTACAGCAGTGTTAGGTATAAGCCCATCAGTGATTAGAGGGGGTATGGGGTGGAGAGGGGGTCTCTGAGCAGTGGGTCTCCGGGCTCTGGGGAAGCTGGCTGGGTGGCCATACTAGGAGCTGAACCCGAAGGTACTCTGTGTGTCCTCTCAACTCCACGGGCCCCACTTTGGCATTTTCTCCAATTCCCTCTCGTTTCCATTTGCTTCCTCCCTCTAGCCCCCTGGCTGTGTCCAATTTCAACACCAAGTTTCTGAGCTTTTCTCATTTTGTTCACTGTCTCCAGAACATCCCTGCTTCTTTTACCTTTCAAAGAATTCAAACTTGAACTCTGCTCACTCCTGCCCATCACCAACCTGAGCTCAGAGTTCCTGAGAAGGGAAAGCACCCTCATAAGGAAACTCCTCCTTTTCTTACATCATTAGACTTGAGCACAGACAGCATTTCCATCTCCACACTGCTCTGGCCAGGTTGTGCCTCAGTCAATTACACAACTGTGTCTCAGTAGCCTTGGTAGGGCCCAAATCAGGATATTCTTTGGGAAGTTTCACTTTGTACTGAGCCAAGCATAATCTCCCAGGATCTAAAATAGAAAATTCTAGACCCACCCCTCCACATCTTCGTTATTGAACCCAATATGTCACCCATTTACCATGTGCTCAAATCTCTACCTACTGCTGATTCTCAGATCAAATCGTAACCCAGATTTACCATGGTCCAGACTCTGACATCTGATTGGGGCCATGTCATCCTGGTTCAGGCTGTCAGCCCCAAGCAGGTGGGTCAGTTTGCCTCACCCTGAGTGCAGGTTGCCAGGGCAACCATGAGGCTACATAAAAAGAACCTATGACAGGATGCATATGAGAGAGACAAATGTCTTCACATTGAAGAAGGGGAGGAGTGCACCATTGGTTTTCCATCCTCCAGATGCACTAAGCTCCTACCTAAACTGTGCCCCCTCCTTCTTTGAAACACATCCCATCCTTAAGCCTTGGTAGGAAGGAGAGCCATCTGGAAGCCCTGAATCCTATGGAATGCTGAGTCTCCCTTCTCCTTACCCCTTAGTGTTGGAATTCTCATTCCCCAAAGTCTTGGATTTGACCTTGCCCGACACTGACTGGAGAGAAGCATCTTCATATTCACAGGAATGAGCCTTAGATCAGACTTTGCTCCTCTCCTGGGAGCTCCAGGACACTGAAAAGCCAAGCTTGTTACCAATACTTGCCCTTCCTTAAGTACATTAAATACATCCCAAATAGTTAAACAGATTCCTAAACAGCCAGGCCATTCTCCCTCCTTCTAACCCTCATCTCCTCGGCCTACGAAAGCCCAGATGTGTGATCCAGGGCTTGGCTTCCCCTGTCTTCCCCATCCCAGCATCCTTGCGGGAAAGGGCTGCTCTCTCTCTCTCTGCTTTCAGAAGGCAAATTTCCTTATCACCTATGAGTCACAAACCCAGAGAGTGGCCAAACATAGCCAAGCTGATGCAAGACCCTGGGAAGGGGAAAGCTGCAGGTGTGTTTGTGCTGGGAGGAGTGCTGACCCTCACCTCACAGACACCTCCTCTCCAGATCCTCAGGAGGTATAAAGACAGGTCCTCCACCACCAGTCAGGCACACTCTACCACCATGAATCCACTCCTGATCCTTGCCTTTGTGGGAGCTGCTGGCGAGTTTCATGCCATGCCTCAGGCCCCAACCACCCCCTTTCCTGGCAGACACTTGCCCTGCCATTCTTGCCACCTTTCCCATTTTGACTGTGTTCTGATATTCTATTTCCTCCATCTCTCCTTCCCATCCTCCTTCGGCTCTCTTTAAGCCTCACCTGTTTCAGCTTCTCCATGATTTCACTCCCACCACTGTCATTCATCCATATCTGAGCTGTGGCTGGAGAAGCTGGGAAGGGAGACCAGGTGGGGCGGGCCCACAAAATGAAGCAGCAGCCTTCAGGCTTGGCTCCATAGCACCAGTATAGCACCATTATATCTGCTCTTAACCTCAAATGCACCTGGGGAGGTTGAAAAATTACTCATATCAGAGACTCAGCTTTAGAAGTTCTAACTTCATTCTCTGGGGTGCAACCTGTGTACTGGGCTTTTAACATTCCCGGGTGATTTTTAACATTTCCATGCATGCAGCCAAGGTTAAGAATTGCTGTTCTATTGGCCAATAACAATGTCTACCTTTGTTCTGCCAAAGTGAGCCTGGGGGCTGCCCTCAACTCTGCCCTGACTACACAAATCTGAGCTATGGGGGAAGCTGGTCATGGCCAGGTCTACGCAGCCAGGGGGTTTTCCTAGCTTGGCCAAAGTATACTGACAATCCAGGGCTCAAATCGCCAGGGGAAGTACACAGGTGATGAATAAAAGAGAGAAGCACTCAGTGGGTGAGACAACCACATCCCAATTCCTATCCCACTGGAAGCATTGTGAGGACATTCCTTGAATCCTCAGCCTGGTGACCCCGGGGAGAACTGAGCCCCTGCAGGGTACCTAGCTACATGCCCTGCAGACACAGAGACTTGGGAGCCACATGCAGTGATGCTTACCAGGGGTGGCAGCGCTCCCTCCCTTACCTAGCCTCACTGTGCTCGTTAAGGATTTCTAATTAGCAGGAAGCAACCGAAGGCTGGGAGCGCTACCCCTAACATGCTACTGACTTGCCTTCTCCTTTCCCATCTCCACTCCAGTTGCTTCCCCTTTCGACGACGATGACAACATCATTTAGTGGTATACCTGTGAGGAGAATTCTGTCCCCTACCAGGTGTCCCTGAATTCTGGGTACCACTTCTGCAGTGGCTCCCTCCTCAGCGAACAGTGGGTGGTGTCAGCAGCTCACTGCTACAAGTAGTAAGTGTGGGGCCCCTGACTGCAAAGCTCCCAGCCAGGCTGCCTGGGAGAGCTTGGCTTCAGCCCAGGGAACTACTGAGGTTGGATAAGATGGATGGGAGAGGTGGTGGAGAAGAAAACTTGTTGGCAGCAGCGGACTCTCCAGAGCAGAGAGCGAACACAAGACAGGAAGCTCTCACACCCAGGCAAATCCATGAAACAGCAAGGGTTGTGGTCATAAAAGCAGGCAGGGATGATCTTGGTGTTTGGCAGAGCTAGTAAGAACAGCAGGCAAGTACCCTTTGCTGGTTAGCTACACATCAAAGTCACTTAAGAAAGAGTTTTTAAAAGTACTGATGCCTGTGTCCTATCCCAGGGCAATTATCAGGAATTTTCAGGAAGAGGGTGTGAATATCAGTGAGTATTAAACATTCTACCTCTGGTAACTGTAGATTGTATAGACAGAGCTGAGAACTGCTCCCTACACCAAGAACTCTCAAACCTGAGTTTGCCTCAGAACCACCTGCAGGGTTGTTAAAGCACAAATCACTGGGACCCATCCCCAAGGTTCTGAGCAGTAGGTGGGGGTAAGGACCAAGAATTTACATTTCTAACAAGTTCCCAGGAGATGCTAATGCTATGGCTACCCTTAGGTTAGATTACACAGAAGGGTGGTGCTCACCAGGCCAAGAAAGGAGGGAGGAACAGGCACTGTGCACAGTTAGCAAAGGCCTGGGGTGAAGAATGCTGGGAAAACTTCAAAGAGCTCCTTGTGCCCACAGTGCTAGTGACTGTGGAGATTGTGGGAAAGAGGCTGGGAAGGAGGGTTAAGGAGCATCCTCCGGTGGAATCCTTTTGACTCTTCCCAACCCCATTACCACCAACCTCTGAAACAGAAAGGTCCTGGGTCTCACAACTTCACTGACCCCCATCCCTCTCCTGCCCATGTGATATGGCCACACACCCCACCCGATGCCTCCAGAGCTGCCCATGAGCAGGGAGCTTGAGGACCCTGGGGAAAGTAAGATGGGTGTCCCAGCTGTGGGAGAAGGTCTTCACCATGCCTGCCCTGCCCATCAGCCGCATCCAGGTGAGACTGGGAGAGCACAACATCGAAGTTCTGGAGGGGAATGAGCAGTTCATCAATGCAGCCAAGATCATCCGCCACCCCAAATACAACAGTTGGACTCTGGACAATGACATCCTGCTGATCAAGCTCTCCATGCCTGCTGTCATCAATGCCCACATGTCCACCATCTCTCTACCCACCGCCCCTCCAGCTGCTGGCACCAAGTTCCTCATCTCTGGCTAGGGCAACACTCTGAGCTCTGGTGGTGAGTGGGACCCTTTGTCCTTCTCCTTCCCTCCATCCTCACAATTTCCAGAACAAACCATGCCCCTTAACTTGAATCCTCTCACCTCCAGGCTTAAGACACATTTCTAGTGCCCATTACACACAGGCTGTACAGTGGATGGACATCAGAGAGATGCAAAGTCTCAAGGACTTGGCTCCTAAAATCAAAAGACAGGACATATAGAGAACTTGCTTTGATCACGTCTTGGAAGGGGTTCAAAAATGATCATTCTGGGAACTAAAAGCCAGAGTCCCTTGCCAGGACTTAGGTTTCGGAGTCCTCTCCAGGGACAGTGTTCCTCTTCAATGTTCCATCCTAGATTATTGTCTCCTTCTCTGGCCTGATCTACACTTCTACTTTCTTTGTTCTCTTGCTGATCCTCACAGCCAACTATCCAGATGAGCTGCAGTGCCTGGACACTCATGTGCTGACCCAGGCTGACTGTGAAGCCTCCTACCCTGGAGAGATTACCAACAACATGTTCTGTGTGGGTTTCCTTGAGGGAGGCAAGGATTCCTGCCAGGTGGTTTGACCCCTTCCCATGCTGAGGTTCCCACTGATACCCAGGCCCCACCCAGGAAAAAGATTTGAACTCCCAAGGTGGCGGGGCTCAGGAGGCTCCCTGCACTGCCCCCATGGAGAAGTGAGGAAGACTCCCTTGGGCTGCATCCTGTCTGCTTAGGAAGAACAGAGAATGGGCCACTGTGCGAAGGACGTGGAGCCAAAGAGCTGGCTGGAAAGGAGTCTTTTAAGGTTCAGAGCAAATGTAGCTATATTCTTCCTCTTTCTCTCTCTTCATACAGCTTGTCCCTTCTTCTCCCCAGGGTGACTCTGGTGGCCCTGTGGTCTGCAACGGACAGCTCCAAGGAGTTGTCTCCTGGGGCTATGGCTGTGCCCAGAAGAACAGGCCTGGAGTCTACACCAAGGTCTACAACTATGTGGACTGGATTAAGGACACCATAGCTGCCAACAGCTAAAGCCTCTGGTACCTCTGCAGTCTCTATACCAATAAAGTGACCTTGCTTTCACTGTCTGTGTCTGTGCCTGCTCCCTCACACTGCTTCACACTGGAAAGCATCCTCCAATCTCAGGTCAGCCACGACTCCCCCCCTTAAAGGTAAGCTGAACCCTCATCTCCCAAAATGTGTTGCATGGTACACTAGATTAGCACATACAAATAGATGGAATCCAAAAATTATAAGAAACTTGGGAGAAAGGGGGGCACTGTTTTCTAGAGAAATGTGTGTTTCAGAAAGTTGGTCTTTGGTGGGGGGGTACTGATTTTTATTTGGGCTTCTCACAGTGGGTAGAGCTACTCTGCCTTCAGAACAATCACAGCACAGAAAATGTTGTCAGCATCTTCGAGGCAGCCCAAAAAATCCGACCAGCTGAATCTTCTTGCTAAAATACATCAAAAAAGACAAATGCTGTTGGTGATGACGTGCCTCTCACAGGAATATGTCAGCACCAAACCCTCAACCAAGCCCTCCCTCCTCATTCACCTGGAAAATTAGACTCAAGCAAAGCTCCCTGGCCTCCTACCTCTTCCCTCAGTTCCCTAGTTCCATCTCTGTGAGCAGGCTAGAGAGATGTTCCACCTACCATAGCGGGAGCTAGACTGCGACTTGGGAATCAAGCCAGGTCTGCACGCTGCATTTTCATCTTCTTTGCCTTTGGGGTAGGACGCCATATGAATCCCACAGTTAACACCAGCTCCCCACTCTGACCAGGGAAAGAAACTAGAGAGGGTCAAGATTCACCCATTTGATCAATTAACTGAGGTAGGTTTCATTTTCATATAACTTGCTTGCCTTTGAGATACTTCAAGTGACTTACGTGGGACTCCTTAAAAAAAAGTGGAGGGAAAGACATCTGAGCAGCCACTCTGGCCACATGTTGGCTGGCTTGCACCCACTGGATGCAGCAGAGGGAGGCAGGCCCCCTGGCACCTCTGGCACCTGCCAAAGCCTCTTCCAGGCAATTCTGAGAGGGACCATGTTGGGGCTGTAGCTCATCCAAGCTTGTCACCGAAGATCCAAGCAAGCTTCTCTTTGAAATTCCACCTTCATCTTCTGTCCCAAGTGGTTGTGGACACCCCTGGGAGCTGGTAACAAGGGCCAGGAGCAGCCAAGGAAGACAGACAAGTTCAGAACACATTTCCAGTTACAGGGAACAGAGCACAGGCCTCCAAGTGTCCACAGAGCAGTGTGCAAATTGCAGTGTTGAGTAGAGGAAAACCTCTACATGGAGCACAGCATTCCTGGCAAACACAAGGGACCGCAGTCCACATGCTGTGGAATAAACCCAAGTATGCATCGGACACTTGTTTGGTAAACAGTAAATGTGTAAGATCAATTACCTTGAGAGGGCCATCTGGGCTCCAGATATGTAGTTCATGTGAGGAGACGGCTACCACTCACTATCTTCAGAGGAAAACAGGGCTCAGGGCTTGCACACAATGGAGATACACACAGGTCACCCAGAACGTCAATACATACAAACATCACTTTGTTCAACATGGATTTTGTTTTTATGGAGTCCAAACGCAGACCGTAGTTCACCTTACAGCCTTGGGTTTGTCTGCTTTTGGAGACATATATCCAGTAGATAGATAGACAAGACAGATACATTTTTTTCCCTTTCTTACTATAACGTCAGTGCCTCGTCTGAATATCATCATCACTCAAGAATCAAGGGAAGAACAAAATGCTTCATATAAACAGGGCTGGGCAAGGAGTCTTAGTTTCCCCTGTTTTCTGTCTCCATTCAGATCATTCCTATCAAAGCCCAGCTGGTTACCTCAAGCCAAGAGACAGACATAAGGATCCCAATGGCCTTCTAGATGGCTGCTTCCACCTCCTACCTGGGCCACATAGAGTCTTTACACAGAAATCTGAGTTAGCCCTGTGAGAAGGGTTGACAGCACAAACAGTGCATGAAAATCACAGATAACCATGGTATATCTCGCAAGTGGTCAGTGTAAAATAAACCACCACCACCACCACAAAAAACACAAAACAAGCAGAAAAATGCTTATTCAAAAATCTAAGACAAAATACTGTGTGAGAAACAGGACACGGGGTTGCCTTTTCTCAGGCCACACAGCTTTCCCATTCCATGTGCTCACATGGACCGTGAGATGTGAAAGTCTGCAGGGCGTGTGCTCGGGATCGAGGCTGGTACTGTTCACCTGTGGGTCCAGACCAAATGGCAAAGAGGCAGAAAGCTATAACTCTGTCCACCGCCACGGCTTAGGGCCTCCTTCTCACAGAGGCTCCAAAGAGCCCCCACCTCAGCCTTCACACAAAACATCTCCTTCTGGCTGAACAACAGCCAGGCTGGAGTGCCGTGGCATGATCTCTGCTCACTACAACCTCCACCTCCCGGGTTCAAGTGATTCAGTCTCCCAAGTACACGGGATTACAGGTGCATGCCACCATGCCAAGCTAATTTTTTTTTCTTTTTTGTATTTTTATTAGAGACAGGGATTTACGATGTTGGCCAGTGTGGTTTTGAACTCCTGACCTCAAGTGATCCAGAGTGCTAGGATTACAGGTGTGAGCCACAGCTTCTGGCCCAGGCCCCATTTTTTAAAAAATAATTTCAAATTTTATTTTAGATTCATGGGGTACATGTGCAGGTTTGTTACATGGGTATACTGTGTGATGCTGAGGTTTGGGGCACAAATGATCTCCTCACTCAGGAACTGAGCATAGTACCCAATAGGTATTTTTTCAGCCCTTTCCACACTCCTTCTCTCTTCCCTCTAGTAGTTGCAGTGTCTACTCTTCCCATCTTTACATCCATTTTTACCCAATGCTCAGCTCCGACTTATACATGAGAACGTGATATTTGGTTTTCTGTTCCCATGTTAATTTGCTTAGGATTATGGTCTCCAGCTCCATCCATGTTGCTGCAAAGGACATGATTTCATTCTTTTCATGGCTGCATAGTATTCCATGGTGTATATGTACCACATTTTCTTTATCCAGTCTACCGCTGATGGCCACCTAGGTTGATTCCATGGCTTTGCTACTGTGAATAGTGCTGTGATGGACATGCAAGAGCATGAGTCTTTTTGGCAGAACAATTACTTTCCTTTAGGTAAATGCCCAATAAAGTAAGTGCTGGGTGGAAAGGTAGTTCTGTTTTAAATTGTTTCAGAAATCTCCAAACGGTTTTCTACATTAATTTTTCCATGAACTGATTTACACTCTGGCCAACAGTGTACAAGCATTCCCTTTCCACTGCAGCCTCATGAGCATCTTCTATTCTGTGGACATTTTAATAATAACCACACTGCAGCCAAGCTCTTTCAAGCCCAATGTGGGGAACAGCCACAAACATCCCTTTTCCCAACGAGAATTCTTGCCTGCCCATTGGTAGAATTCTTGTTTTCAGCTGTCTTTCATTGTTTGCTTTTCAAAGAAAAACCAAAGGTAAAGTGGTATGATCTTCCACACGTGAACCAGTCTGTAGCCACCAGAGCCTGCTGGGAAGGGGCCCCTCACGCATGCATTGATCTTGTCACGTGGAATTTGAGAGATCTAGAAGACCCATAGCAACCTACCATACAACTGCCTATCAGCGCTCATCCTTTCACAGGATTAGCTCAATTCTGGCTCTGCAGACACTGGCAGCCACAGGTGACAAACCCTGGGCCTCTGTGGGCTTCCTTCATCACCCAGGGCCACAGTGGGCTGCCTGTCCTAGGCAGAGACACAGCAACATTCTCTTAAGCTGAAATTAAGCATAAACCCACTTCACCAATAATCATCTGAGGGCACAGTCCCTGCCTCCTTCCTTGGGGATTTTAAAACACACATCTCTCTGACCAAACAGGTAGGTGAGATCTGACTTTAAAGGGGGGAAATTGGGATGAATTGGGGTATCAGGAATGAATCCCAAGTGTTTTTGTGTGGCGAATGGCATCCACATCCCAAAATATACTTGGAGATGGGGAAAAAAGCAGGAGAGGAGAAGGGTAAAAAAGGAGGACAAAGTGTCTGAAAGTCATTGAAAGCTTCTCTCATGGTTCTTTCTGGCTCTGGTTGCTTTGCCAAGGTCTTGAGTGCAGGCAGGGCTGGCTCTGGCTGGGAGCTGCTGCTCTGGAACATGGAAGAGTCACTTCACCTCCAGAAAGCTCATTTGATCATCTGTAAAATGGGCAAGCCCATAGGTGGTTGTGATGACAAAATGAAAAAAACTTTCTTAACTTATATGAGTGACATGCTGTATAGTAAGTTACATGCTATATAGTAAGCACACAGAAATAACTCACTGTTATCATAAATGAAACACAGTGGATTAGTGAGCTAAGCACTAAATGGAAGCCAGAAAGATGTCTAGAGAAGTAGACAAAGAAATCTATAGTTCAGAATGAACAGTATCAAGAATGACATGTCCTCCAAATTGAGCTTGGGCAGCTGGATCTGAACCTATCCTACACATCTGAGTCTACAGTATGAGGTAACAGCCTCCACCTATAGCTATCTTCTCTGCCGGTAAGGTCATTCCCTTTTGAAGAAAGCTGACCTCAGACTATACTGTGATTGTTTAAGGAAGAGCGCAAAATACTGGAGAAGGCTAGTCTTCAAGCTCTAGATACAGAAAATCCTTATATTCTTGGGTGTTCCCTTTCAGACAGAGTCAGAGCCACAACCGCTAATCCAAAAATCCCATTTTCCAAAAAAATTTTCCATCTTCCACCAAGGTTCCCCTCCCTGTTTAGTGCACACTGGTGTCTACAGTTGCTAGAGCAAGAGTCTCTCCTTATCCTCTAAGGCAGGAGTTCTGTGAAGAAACCATGCCAAGGGGACAAAACAAAACAACATATTTAGGGACAACACAGGAAAAACCTATATTATCAAAACTCCAAAACCTGGCTACCTCAGGCTTGGCCAGTTATCTGTGAGCAGAGAGTTGTGTCATCTACATAGCTATCATGGCCCAGACGGTCTGGAAATGTGGCAAGGTAAGGCTCTGAGACAAGGTGCCAGGAGAAAGATGAATTCAATCATCCATTTCTGCCAGGAAGAAAAGCACCAGGATGGAATCAAATGTACAGTTTGTCCTCTGGGGATCTCTGCCTTGATCCTCAATAAGTCTCCTTTTAGATGCCACCTGCAGCAATTCCCACACTTCACATGCTCTCCATGGCTTCCATTGGCCTTATGGTCAGCTCTGCCAAGATCTGTATTCTTGGGCAAGACAGAATCCTTCTGAATCTCACTCTCTTGCTCTATAAATGGAAACAATTTTGCTCTGCACAAATCACAATTAGAATATTTGTGGGAAGTTAAAGTGTGAAACTCAGCATAAATGAAAAGCAATGTACCACTGCTGCTTACATGAAAACTCCTGTAAAGCTGTCAGGCACCATGAACCATCTAAATATAGCAGTGTTAGGTATAAGCCCATCAGTGATTAGAGGGGGTACGGGGTGGAGAGGGGGTCTCCTAGCAGTGGGCCTCCTCGCTGTGGGGAAGCTGGCTCGGTCACCATGCCAAGAGCTGAACCCGAAGGTACTCTGTGTGTCCTCTCAACTCCACGGGCCCCACTTTGGCATTTTCTCCAATTCCCTCTGGTTTCCATTTGCTTCCTCCCTCTAGCCCCCTGGCCATGTCCAATTTCAACACCAAATTTCTGAGCTTTTCTCATGTTGTTCACTGTCTCCAGAACATCCCTGCTTCTTGTACCTTTCAAAGAATTCACACTTGAACTCTGCTCACTCCTGCCCATCACCAACCTGAGCTCAGAGTTCCTGAGAAGGGAAAGCACCCTCATAAGGAAACTCCTCCTTTTCTTACATCATTAGACTTGAGCGCAGACAGCATCTCCATCTCCACACTGCTCTGGCCAGGTTGTGCCTCAGTCAATTACACAACTGTGTCTTAGTAGCCTTGGTAGGGCCCAAATCAGGATATTCTCTGGGAAGATTCACTTTGTACTGAGCCAAGCATAATCTCACTGCATCAAAAATAGAAAATTCTAGACCCACCCCTCCACATCTTCGTTATTCAACCCAATATGTGACCCATTTACCATGTGCTCAAATCCCTACCTACTGCTGATTCTCAGATCAAATCGTAACCCAGATTTACCATGGTCCAAACTCTGACATCTGATTGGGGCCATGTCATTCTGGTTCAGGCTGTCAGCCCCAAGCAGGAGGGTCAGTTTGCATCACCCCGAGTGCAGGTTTCAAGGACAACCCTGAGGCTGCATGAAAAGAACCTACGACAGGTTGCATATGAGAGAGACAAATGTCTTCACATTGAAGAAGGGAAGGAGTGGGCCATTGGTTTTACATCCTCCAGATGCACTGAGTAAGCTCCTACCTAACCTGTGCCCCCTCCTTCTTTGAAACACATCCCCATCCTTAAGCCTTGGTAGGAAGGAGAGCCATCTGGAAGCCCTGAATCCTATGGAATGCTGAGTCTCTCTTCTCCTTACCCCTTAGTGTTGGAATTCTTGTTCCCCTAAGACTTGGATTTGACCTTCCCGCTGAGTGACTGGAGAGAAGCATCTTCATATTCACAGGAATGAGCCTTAGATAAAACTTTGCACATCTCATGGGGGCTGCAGAACACTGAAAAGCCAAGCTTGTTACCAATACCTGCCCTTCCTTAAGTATATTAAATACAATCCCAATAGTTAAACAGATTCCTAAACAGCCAGGCCATTCTCCCTCCTTCTAACCCTCATCTCCTGGGCCTAAGAAAGCCCAGCTGTGTGATCCGGGGCTTGGCTTCCCCTGTCTTCCCCATCCTAGCATCCTTGCAGGAAAGGGCCGCTCTCCCTCTCTGCTCTCAGAAGGCAAGTTTCCTTATCACCTGTGAATCACAAACCCAGAGAGTGGCCAAACATAGCCGAGCTGATGCAAGAACATGGGAAGCAGAAAGCTGCAGGTGTGTTTGTGCTGGGAGGAATGGTGATCCTCACCTCACAGACACTCCTCTCTGGATCCTCCAGAGCTATAAAGACGGGCCTTCCACCACCAGACAGGCGCACTCTACCACCATGAATCCACTCCTGATCCTTGCCTTTGTGGGAGCTGCTGGTGAGTTTCATGCCCTGTCTCAGGCCCCAACCACCCCCCGTTACTGGCAGACATATGCCCTGCCGTTCTTGCCACCTCTCCTCTTTTGACTGTTCTCTGATATTCTATTTCCTCCATCTGGCATATCTCCTTCCCATCCTCCTTGGGCTCTCTTTAAGCCTCACCTCTTTTACCTTCTCCCTGATTTCATTCCCACCACTGTCATTCACCCATATTTGAGCTGTGGCTGGAGAAGCTGGAAATGGAGACCAGGTGGGGCAGGTCCACAAAATAAAGCAGCAGGCTTCAGGCTTGGCTCCAACAGCACCAGAATAGCACCACTATAGCTGCTCTTAACCTTGGATGCACCTGGGGAGGTTGAAAAATTTCTCATGCGAGAGACTCAGCTCTAGAAATTCTAACTTCATTTTTCTGGGATGCAGCCTGTGTACTGGGTTTTTAAGCTTCTCAGGTGATTTGTAACATTTCCAGGCATGCAGCCAAGATTAAGAATTGCTGTCCTATTGGCTAATAACAATGTCTACCATTCTCTGCTGAAGTGAGCCTAGGGGCTGCCCTCAACTCTGCCCTGACTACACAAATCTGAGCTATGGGGGAAGCTGGTCATGACGAGGTCTATGCAACTAGGGGGTTTTCCTAGCTTGGCCAAAGTATCCTGATAATCCAGGGCTCAAATAGGCAGAAGAAGTACACAGGTGATGAATAAAAAAGAGAAGCATTCAGTAGGTGAGAAAACCACATCCCAACTCCTATCCTACAGGAAGCATTTTGAGGACATTCCTTATGACCTCAGCCTGGCGACCCCAGGAGAGATCTGAAACCCCATGGGGTACCTAGCTACGTGCCCTGGAGACACAAAGACGTGGGAGTCACATCCAGTGATGCTCACAGGGGTGGCAGAGCTCCCTCCCTTGCCTAGCCTCACTGTGCTTGTTAAGGATTTCTAACTAGCAGGAAGCAAACGCAGGCTGGGAGTGCCACCCCTAACATGCTACTGACTTGCCTTCTCCCTTCCCATCTCCACTCCAGTTGCTGTCCCCTTTGATGATGATGACAAGATCGTTGGGGGCTACACCTGTGAGGAGAATTCTGTCCCCTACCAGGTGTCCTTGAATTCTGGCTCCCACTTCTGCGGTGGCTCCCTCATCAGCGAACAGTGGGTGGTGTCAGCAGGTCACTGCTACAAGCCGTAAGTGTGGTGCCACTGACTGCAAAGCTCCCAGCCAGGCTGCCTGGGAGAGCTTGGCTTCAGCCCAGAGAACTACTGAGGTTGGGTAAGATGGATGGGAGAGGTGGTGGAGAAAAAACTTGTTTTCAGCAGCTGACTCTCCAGAGCAGAGAGTGAACACAAGACAGGAAGCTCTCACACCCAGACAAATCCATGAAACAGCAAGGGTTGTGGTCATAAAAGCAGGCAGGGATGATCTTGGGGTGGTGAGAGCTAGTGAGAAAAGCAGGAAAGTACCTTTAGCTAGTTAGCTACACCTTAAAGCCACCTAAGAAAGAGTTTTTAAAAATACTGATGCCTGTGTCCTATCCCAGGGCAATTATCAGGAATTTTCAGGAAGAGGGTGTGAATATCAATGAGTATTTCACACTCTACCTTGGTAACTGTAGAGTGTATTGACAGAGCTGATAACCACTGCCTACATGAAGAACTCTCATACCTGAGTATGCACCACCAGAAAAAACTGCAGGCTTGTTAAGGACAAATCACTGGGTCCCATCCCCAAGGTTCTGAGCAGTAGGTGGGGGTAAAGACCAAGAATTTACATTTCTAACAAGTTCCCAGGAGATGCTAATGCTATGGCTACCCTTGGATTAGATTACACAGAAGGGTGGTGCTCACCAGGCCAAGAATGCAGGGAGGAGCAGGCACTGTGCACAGTTAGCAAAGGCCTGGGGTGAAGAATGCTGGGAAAACTTCAAGGAGCTCCTTGTGCCCACAGGACTAGTGACTGTAAAGATTGTGTGAAAGAGGTTGGGAAGGTGGGTTGAGGAGCAGCCTCCAGTGGGATCCCTTTGACTGTTCCCCACCCCATTACCACCAACCTCTGAAACAGAAAGGTCCTGGTTCTCACACCTGCACTGACCCCCATCCCTATCCTGCCCATGTGATATGACCACATACCCAACCCCATGCCTCCAGAGCTGCCCATGAGCAGGAAGCTTGAGGACCCTCGGGAAGGTGGGATGGGTGCCCCAGCTGTGAAAGAAGGGCTTCACCATGCCTGCCTTGCCCATCAGCCACATCCAGGTGAGACTGGGAGAGCACAATATCGAAGTCCTGGAGGGGAATGAGCAGTTCATCAATGCAGCCAAGATCATCCGCCACCCCAAATACAACAGGATTATTCTGAACAATGACATCATGCTGATCAAGCTCTCCACACCTGCCGTCATCAATGCCCATGTGTCCACCATCTCTCTGCCCACTGCCCCTCCAGCTGCTGGCACCGAGTGCCTTATCTCCGGCTGGGGCAATACCCTGAGCTCTGGGGGTGAGTGGCACCCTTTGTCCTTCTACTTCCCTCCATCCTCACAATTTCCACAATGAAGCATGCTCCTTAACTTAAATCCTCTCACCTCCAGGACACATTTCTAGTGCCCATTACACACAGGTTCTGCACTGGGCACCAGAGAGATGCAAAGTCTCAAGGACTTGGCTCCTAAAATCAAGAGACAGGACAAATGGAGAACTTGGTGCCATCACTTCTTGGGAGGGGTTCAACAATGATCATTCTAGGAACTAAAAGCCAGATTCCCTTGCCAGGACTTGTTTTGGAGTCCTCTCCAGGGGCAGTGTTCCTCTTCAATGTTCCATCCTAGATTACTGTCTCCTTCTCTGGCCTGACCCACATTTCTACTTTCTTTATTCTCTTCCTGATCCTCACAGCCGACTACCCAGATGAGCTGCAGTGCCTGGACGCTCCTGTGCTGACCCAGGCTAAGTGTAAAGCCTCCTACCCTTTAAAGATTACCAGCAACATGTTCTGTGTGGGCTTCCTTGAGGGAGGCAAGGATTCCTGCCAGGTGATTAGACCAACCCTTCCCATGCTGATGTTCCCACTGATACCCAGGACCCACCAGGGAAAAAGATTTGAACTCCCAAGGTGGGGGGCTGAGGAGGCTCCCTGCAGTGCCCACATGGAGAAGTGAGGAAGGCTCCCTTGGGCTGCATCCTGTCTGCTTAGGAAGAACAGAGAATGGGCCACCGTGAGAAGAACATGGAGCCACAGAGCTGGCTGGAAAGGGGTCTTTTAAGGTTCAGAGTAACTGTAGCTATATTCCTCCTCCATCTCTCAATAAAACTTGTCCCTTCTTCATGCCAGGGTGACTCTGGTGGCCCTGTGGTCTGCAATGGACAGCTTCAAGGAATTGTCTCCTGGGGCTATGGCTGTGCCCAGAAGAGAAGGCCTGGAGTCTACACCAAGGTCTACAACTATGTGGACTGGATTAAGGACACCATAGCTGCCAACAGCTAAAGCCCCTGGTCACTCTGCAGTCTCTATACCAATAAAATAACCCTGTTCTCACTGTCTGTGTCTGTGCCTGCTCTCTCACACTCCTTCACACTGGAAAGCATCCTCCAATCTCAGTTCAGATATGACTCTCCCCCTTAAAGGTAAGCAGAGCCCCCAGCTCACAAAATGTGTTCCATTGTACACTAGATTAGTGCATACAAACAGATGGAATCCAAAAATAAGAAGAAGCTTCAGAGAAAGGCAGGGCACTGTTTCTAGAGAAACGTGTGTTTCAGAAAGGTAGTCTTTGGGGGAGGGTATTGATTTTTATTTGGGTTTCTCACAGTGGTTATAGCTACTCTGCCTTCAGAACAATCACAGCATAGAAAATATGTCAGCATCGTCCAGGTGGCCCAAAAAATCTGACCAGCGGAATCTTATTGCTAAAACACAATAATGACAAATGCTGTTGGTGATGTCATGCCTCTCCCCGGAATGTGTCAGCACCAAACCCTCAACCAAGCCCTCCCTTCTCATTCACCTGGAAAATCAGATTCAAGTAAATCTCCCTGGCACCCTGACTCTTCCCTCAATTCCTTAGTTCCATCTCTGTGAGCCGGCTAGAGAGATGTTCCACCTACCATAGCGGGAGCCAGACTGTGACTTGGGAATCAAGCCCAGCTCCGCACGCTGCACTTTCATCTTCTTTGCCTTTGGGGTAGGACACCACAGTGAATCCCACAATTAACACCAGCTCCCCAGTCTGACCAGGGAAAGAAATTAGAGAGGGTCAGGATTCACCCATTTGATCAATTAACTGAGGAAGGATTCATTTTCATAAATTTTGCTTGCCTTTAAGACACTTCAAGTGAGTTATTTGGGACTCATTAAAAAGGGTGGAAGGAAAGACATCTGAGGGCTGTGACACCATGCAGCCACTCTAGCCACATGTTGGCTGGCTTGCACACACTGGACACAGCAGAGGGAGGCAGGCCCCGTGGTACTTGTGGCACCTGCCAAAGCCTCCTCCTGGAAATTTGGAGAGGGCCCAGCTTGGTGCAGTAACTCATCCAAGCCTGTCACCGAAGATCCAAGCAAGCTTCTCTTTGAAATTCCACTTTCACCTTCTGTCCCAAGTGGTTGTGGACACCCCTGGGAGCTGGTACTAACGGCCAGGAGCAGCCAAGGAAGACAGACAAGTTCAGAGCACATTTCCAGTTACGGGGAACAGAGCACAGGCCTCCAAGTGTCCATGGAGCAGCATGCAAATTGCAGTGATGAGTAGAGTAAAACCTCTACACGGAGCACAGCATTCCTGGCAAACACAGGGGACCGCTGTCCACATGTTGTGGAATACACCCAAGTATGCATCAGACACTTGTTTGGTAAACAGTAAATGTGTAAGATCAATTGCCTTGAGAGGGCCATCCGGGCTCCAGAAGTGTGATTCGTGTGAGGAAACAGCTACCACTCACTATCTTCAGAGGAAAACAGGGCTCAGGGCTCACACACAATGGACAGATACAAACAGGTCACCCAGAACGTCACTGCATATAAACAGCACTTTGTTCAACATGGATTTTGTTTTTATGGAGTCCAAACGCAGACCCTAGTTCACCTTACAGCCTTGGGTTTGTCTGCTTTGGGAGATACATATCCAGTTGATAGACAAGACAGATACATTTTTTTCCCTTTCTTGCCATAATGTCAATGCCTCGTCTGAATATCATCATCACTCAAGAGTCAAGGGAAGAGCCAAACACTTCATATAAACAGGGCTGGGCTGGGTGGGGAGTGTTAGTTTCCAGTGTTTTCTGTCTCCATTCAGATCATTCCTATCAAAGCCCAGCTGATTACCTCAAGCCAAGACACAGACATAAGGATCCCAATGGCCTTCCAGACAGCTGCTTCCACCTCCTACCTGGGCCACATAGAGTCTTTACACAGGAAAGTGAGTCACCCCACTGAGAAGGGTTGCCAGCAGAAACAGGGCATGAAAATCACAGATAAGCATGGGAATTCTTCCAAGTGGTCAGTGTAAAATAGATCACCACCACCACCACCAAAAATGCAAAAGAAGCAAAAAAAATGCTTATTCAAAATCCAAGACAAAATACTGTGTGAGAGTCAGGCCACGGGGTTGCCTTTTCTCAGGCCACACAGCTTTCCCAGTCCATTTGCTCACATGGAACCATGAGATGTGAAAGTCTGCAGAGCGTATGCTCAGGATCGAGGCTTGTACTGTTCACCTATGGGTCCAGACCAAAGGGCAAAGAGGCAGAAAGCTGATATCTGTCCACCGCCAAGGCTTAGGGCCTCCTTCTCACAGAGGCTCTGAAGAGAACCCACCTCAGCCTTCACACAAAACATCTTCTGGCTCAACTACAGCCAGGCTGGAGTGCCATGGCATGATCTCTGCTCACTACAGTCTCTGCCTCCCAGGTCAAGGGATTCAGCCTCCCAAGTACTTGGGATTACAGGTGCATGCCACCATACCCAGCTATTTTTTTTTTTTTTTTTTTTTGTATTTTTATTAGAGACAGGGATTCACCGTTTTGGCCAGACTGGTTTTGAACACCTGACCTCAAGTGATCCAAAGTACTGGGATTACAGGCGTGAACCACCTCTTCTGTCCGAGGCCACATTTTTTAAAAAATAATTTCAAATTTTATTTTAGATTCAGGGGGGACATGTGCAGGTTTGTTACACTGGTATATTGTGTGATGCTGAGGTTTGGGGCACAAATGATCTCATCACTCAGGCAGTGACCATAGTACCCAATAGGTAGTTTTTCAGCACTTTCCACACTCCTTCTCTCTTCCCTCTAACAATTGCAGTGTCTACTGTTCCCATCTTTATATCCATGTGTACCCAATGCTCAGCTGCCAGTATACATGAGAATGTGATATTTGGTTTTCTGTTCCTATGTTAATTCACTTAGGATTGTGGTCTCCAACTCCATCCATGTTGCTGTAAAGGACATGATTTCATTCTTTTCATGGCTACATAGTATTCGATGGTGTATATGTACCACATTTCCTTTATCCAGTCTACCGCTGATGGCCACCTATGTTGATTCCATGGCTTTGCTAGTGTGAATCAGTGCTGTGATGGACATGCAAAAGCATGTGTCTTTTTGGCAGAACAATTATTTTCCTTTGGGTAAATGCCCAGTAAAGTAAGTGCTGGGTGGAAAGGTATTTCTGTTTTAAATTATTTCAAAAATCTCCAAAATGCTTCCTGCATTAATTTTTCCATGAACTCATTTACACTCTGGCCAACAGTGTATAAGCGTTCCCTTTCCTCTGCAGCCTCACCAGCATCTTCCATTTTTTGGACATTTTAATAGCCACTATGCAGCCAAGCTCTTTCAAGGCCAATGTGGGGAAGAGCCACAAAAATCCCTTTTCCCAAAGAGAATTATTGCCTGCTCCCTGGTAGAATTCTTGTTTTCAACTGTCTTTCATTGTTTGTTTTTCAAAGAAAAACCAAAGGTAAAGTGGTATGATCTTCCAAACCTGAACCAGTTTGTAGCCACCAGAGCCTGCTGGGAAGGGGCTCCTCAAGCATGCATTGATCTTGTCACCTGCAATTTGAGAGATCAAGAAGCCCCATAGCAACCTACAACTGCCCATCAATGCTCATCCTTTCAGGGGATTAGCTCAATTCTCGCTCAGTAGACACTGGCATCCACAGGTGATAAAAGCCCGAGCCTCTGTGGGCTTCTCTCATCATCCAGGGCCACAATGGGCTGCCTGTCCTAGGCAGAGACACAGCAACTTTCCCTTAAACTGAAATTAAGCATAAACCCACTTCACCAATAATCATCTGAGGGCATAGTCCCTGTTTCCTTCCTCAGGGATTTAAAACACACATCTCTCTGACCAAACAGGTAGGTGAGATCTGACTCTAAAGGGGGGAAAATCAGCATGAATTGGGGTATCAGGAATGAATCCCAAGTGTTTTTGTGTGGGGACAGGCATCCACATCCCGAACTGTACCTGGAGATGGAAAAAAATGCAGGAGAGGAGAAGAGAAAGAAAGGGGGAAAAAGTGGCTGAAAGTCATTGCAAGCTTCTCTTGTGGTTCTTTCTGGCTCTGGTTGCTTTGCCAAGGTCTTGAGTGCAGGCAGGGCTGGCTCTGGCTGGGAGCTGCTGCTCTGGGAGATGGAAGAGTCACTTCACCTCCAGATAGCTCATTCGATCATCTGTAAATTGGGCAAGCCCATAGTTGGTTGTGATGATAAAATGGAAAAAAAAATGCTTAGCTTATATGAGTTACATGCTGTATGGTAAGTTACATGCTATATAGTAAGCACACAGAAATGATTCACTGTTATCATAATTGAAGGATAGTGGTTCAGTGTGCTAAGCACTAAACACAAGCCAGAAAGATGTCTGAGAGAAGTAGACAAAGAAACCTATAGTTCAGAATGAACAGTACCAAGAATGGCATGTCCTCCAAATTGAGCTTGGGCAGCTAGATCTGCACCTATCCTACACATCTGAGTCTACAGTATGAGGTAACAGTCTCCACCTATAGCTATCTTCTCTGCCTGTAAGGTCATTCCTTTAGAAGAAAGCTGACCTCAGACTATACTGTGATCATTTAAGGAAGAGCGCAAAATACTGGAGAAGGCTAGTCTTCAAGCTCTAGATACAGAAAATCCTTATATTCTTGGGTGTTCCCTCTCAGACAGAGAGTCAGAGCCACAAGCACTGACCCAAAAATCCCTTTTTTCAAAAAAATTTTCCACTTCTACCAAGTTTCACCTCGCTGTTTAGTGCACACTGGTGTCTACAGTTGCTAGAGCAAGAGGCTCTCATCCTCTAAGGTCTGTGAAGACCCCATGACAAGGGGACAAAATGAAACAACATGTTCAGCGGCAACACAGGAAAAACCCATATTATCAATGCTCAAAAACCTGGCCACCTCAGGCTTAGCCAGTTATTCGTGAGCAGAGAGGTGTGTCATCTACATGGCAGTCACGGCCTGGATGGGTCTGGAACTGTGGCAAGGTAAGGCTCTGAGACAAGATGCCAGGAGAAAGATGAATTCAATCATCTATTTCTGCCAGGAAGAAAAGCACCAGGAAGGAATCAGATGTACAGTTTGTCCTCTGGGGACCTCTGCCTTGATCCTCAATAAATCTCCTTTTAGATGCCACATGCAGCAATTCCCACATTTCACAATGCTCTCCATGGCTTCCATTGGCCTTATGGTCAGCTCTGCCAAGATCTGTATTCTTGGGCAAGACAGAATCCTTCTGAAACTCAGTCTCTTCCTCTACAAATGGAAATAATTTTGCTCTACACAAATCACAATTAGCATGTTTGTGGGAATTTAAACTGTGAAACTCAACATAAATGAAAAGCAATATACCACTGTTGCTTACGTGAAAACTCTTGTAAAGCTGTCAGGCACCATGCACCATATGAGTACAGCAATGTTAGGTATAAGCCCATCAGTGATTAGATGGGATACAGGGTGGAGAGGGGGTCTCTGAGCAGTGCGTCTCCTGGCTGTGGGGAAGCTGGCTCAGCGGCTATGCCAGGAGCTGAACCTGAAGGTAATCTGTGTGTCTTCTCAACTCCACGGGTCCCACTTTGGTATTTTTTCCAATTCACTCTAGTTTCCATTTGCTTCCTCCCTCTAGCCCCCTGCACATGTCCAATTTCACCATTTCTCATTTTGTTCACTGTCTCCAAGGTCGGTCAGTTTCAATCACCCTGAGTGCAGGTTGCAAGGGCAACCGTGAGGCTGCATAAAAAGAACCTATGACAGAATGCACATGAGAGAGACAAATATCTTCACATTGAAGAAGGGGAGGAGTGCACCATTGGTTTTCCATCCTCCAGATGCACTGAGTAAGTTCCTACCTAACCAGTGCCCCCTCCTTCTTTGAAACACTTCCCATCCTCAAGCCTTGGTAGGAAGGAGAGCCATCTGGAAGCCCAGAATCCTATGGGATGCTGAGTCTCCCTTCTCCTTACCCCTCAGTGTTGGAATTCTTGTTGTCCATAGGCTTGGATTTAACCTTCCGCACGGTGACTGGAGAGAAGCATCTTCATATTCACAAGAATGAGCCTTAGATAAGACCTTCCTCCTCTCATGGGGGCTGCAGGTCACTGAAAAGCCAAGCTTGTTACCAATGCTTGCCCTTCCTTAAGTACATTAAATGCATCCCCAATAGTAAAATATATTCCTAAACAGCCAGGCCATTCTCCCTCCTTCTAACCCTCTTCTCTTCGGCCTAAGAAAGCCCAGCTGTGTGATCTGCGGCTTGACTTCCCCTGTCTTTCCCATCCCAGAATCCTTCCAGGAAACAGCCGGTCTCCCTCTCTGCTCTCAGAAGGCAAGTTTCCTTATCACCTGTCTGCTCTCAGAAGGCAAGTTTCCTTATCACCTGTGAATCACAAACCCACAGAGTGGCCAAACATACTGATGCAAGACCATAGGAAGGGGAAAGCTGCAGGTGTGTTTGTGCTGGGAGGAGTGGTGACCCTCACCTCACAGACACCTCCTCTCCCGATCCTCGGGAGATAAAAAGACGGGTCCTCCACCACCAGTCAGGCACACTCTACCACCATGAATCCACTCCCGATCCTTGCCTCTGTGGGAGCTGCTGGTAGGAGTTTCATGCCCTGCCTCAGGCTCCAACCATACCCCGTTCCTGGCAGATGCATGCCCTGCCATTCTTGCCACCTCTCCTCTTTTGACTGTTCTCTGATATTCTATTTCCTCCATCTGGCATCTCTCCTTCCCACCCTCCTTGGGCTGTCTTTAAGCCTCACCTGTTTCAGCTTCTCCCTGATTTCACTCCCACCACTGTCATTCATCCCTATCCGAGCTGTGGTTGGAGAAGCTGGGAAAGGAGACCAGGTGGGGCAGGCCCACGAAATGAAGCAGCAGGCTTCAGGCTTGGCTCTGACAGCACCACAATAGCACCACTATAGCTGCTCTAAACCTCGAATGCACCTGAGGAGGCTGAAAAATTACTCATGCCAGAGACTCAACTCTAGAAATTCTCACTTCATTTGTCTGAGGTGCAGCCTCTGTTCTGGGCTTTTAAGCTTCCCAGGTGATTTTTAACATTTCTAGGCATGCAGCCAAGGTTAAAAATTGCTGTTGTTTTGGCCAATAATAATGTCTACCTTTGTTCTGCCGAAGTGAGCCTTGGGCTGCCCTCAACTCTGCTGTCACTGCAAAGATCTGAGCTAAGGGGGAAACTGGTCATGGCCAGGTTTTCCTAGCCAGACAGGGGGTTTTCCTAGCTTGGCCAAAGTATCCTGACAATCCAGGGCTCAAATCGCCAGGAGAAGTACACAGGTGATGAATAAAAGAGAGAAGCATTCAGTGGGTGAGACAGCCACATTCCAATTCCTATCCCACTGGAAGCATTTTGAGGACATTCCTTATGGCCTCAGCCTGGTGACCCCAGGAGAGATCTGAACCCCCACAGGGTACCTAGCTACGTGCCCTGCAGACACAGAGACTTGGGAGCCACATCCAGTGATGCTCACCAGGGGTGGCAGAGCTCCCCCACCTTGCCTAGCCTCACTGTGCTTGTTAAGTTTTCTAATTAGCAGGAAGCAACCGCAGGCTGGGAGAGCCACCCCTAACATGCTACTGACTTGCCTTCTCCCTTCCCATCTCCACTCCAGTTGGTGTCTCCTTTGATGATGATGACAAGATTGTTGGGGGCTACAACTGTGAGGAGAATTCTGTCCCCTACCAGGTGTCCCTGAATTCTGGCTACCACTTCTGTGTTGGCTCCCTCAACAGGGAATAGTGGGTGGTGTCAGCAGCTCACTGCTACAAGTCATAAGTGTGGGGCCCCTGACTGCAAAACTCCCAGCCAGGCTGCCGGGGAGAGCTTGGCTTCAGCCCAGGGAAGTACTGAGGTTGGGTAAGATGGATGGGAAAGGTGGTGGAGAAGAAATCTTGTTGGCAGCAGCTGACTCTCCAGAGCAGAGAATGAACACAAGACAGGAACCTCTCACACCCAGGCAAATCCATGAAACAGCAAGGGTTGTGGTCATAAAAGCAGGCAGGGATGATCTCGGGGTGGTGAGAGCTAGTGAGAAAAGCAGGAAAGTACATTTTGCTGGTTAGCTACACACTAAAGCCACGTAAGAAAGCGTTTTTAAAAGTACTGTTGCCTGTGTCCTATCCCAGGGCAATTATCAGGAATTTTCAGGAAGAGGGTGTGAATATCAGTGGGTATTTCACACTCTACCTCTGGTAACTGTAGAGTGTATAGACAGAGCTGAGAACCGCTGCCTACACCAAGAACTCTCAAACCTGAGTATGCATCAGAACTCCCTGCAGGCTTGTTAAGGCACAAATCACTGGGTCCTATCCCCAAGTTTCTGATCAGTAGGTTGGGGTAAGGACCAAGAATTCACATTTCTAACAAGTTCCCAGGAGATGCTAATGCTATGGCTACCCTTGGATTAGATTACACAGAAAGGTGGTTCTCACCAGGCCAAGAAGGGAGGGAGGAACAGGTGCTGTGCACAGTTAGCAAAGGCCTGGGGTGAAGAATGCTGGGAAAACTTCAAGGAGCTCCTTGTGCCCACAGTGCTAGTGAGTGTGGAGATTGTGGGAAAGAGGCTGGGAAGGCAGATTGAGGAGCAGCCTCTGGTGGGATCCCTTTGACTATTCCCCACCCCACTACCACCAACCTCGGAAGCAGAAAGGTTCTGGGTCTCACAAGTGCACTGACCCACATCCCTCTCCTGCCCATGGGATATGGCCACACACCCCACCCCATGCCTCAGGAGCTGTCCATGAGCAGGGAGGTGGAGAACCCTTGGGAATGTGGGATGGGTGTCCTGGCTGTGGGAGAAGGTCTTCACCATGCCTGCCCTGCCCATCAGCTGCATCCAGGTGAGACTGGGAGAGCACAACATCGAAGTCCTAGAGGGGAATGAACAGTTCATCTATGCGGTCAAGATCATCCGCCACCCCAAATACAACAGCTGGACTCTGGACAATGACATCCTGCTGATCAAGCTCTCCACACCTGCCATCATCAATGCCCATGTGTCCACCATCTCTCTGCCCACCACCCCTCCAGCTGCTGGCACTGAGTGCCTCATCTCTGGCTGGGGCAACACTCTGAGTTCTGGCGGTGAGTGGGACCCTTTGTCCTTCTACTTCCCTCCATCCTCACAATTTCCAGAACGAAGCACACCGCTTAATGTGAATCCTCTCACTTCTAGGCTTAAGACACATTTCTAGTGCCCATTACACACAGGCTCTGCACTGGGCACCAGAGAGATGCAAATTCTCAAGGACTTGGCTTCTAAAATCAAAAGACAGGACAAATGGAGAACTTGCTATGATCACATCTTGGGAGAGGTTCAACAATGATCATTCTGGGAACTAAAAGCCAGAGTCCCTTGCCAGGACTTATGTTTTGAAGTCCTCTCCAGGGGCAGTGTTCCTCTTCGGTGTTCTATCCTAGATTATTGTCTCTTTCTCTGGCCTAACCCACATTTCTTTCTTTGTTCTCTTCCTGATCCTCACAGCCGACTACCCAGACGAGCTGCAGTGCCTGGATGCTCCTGTGCTGAGCCAGGCTGAGTATGAAGCCTCCTACCCTGGAAAGATTACCAACAACGTGTTTTGTGTGGGTTTCCTTGAGGGAGGCAAGGATTCCTGCCAGGTGATTTGACCCCTTCCCATGCTGAGGCTTCCACTGATACCCAGGCTTCATCTGGGAAAAACATTTGAACTCCCAAGTTGGTGGGGCTGAGTCTCCCTGCATTGCCCCATGGAGAAGTGAGGAAGGCTCCCTTGGGCTGCAAGCTGTCTGCTTAGGAAGAACAGAGAATGGGCCACTGTGAGAAGGATGTGGAGCCACAGAGCTGGCTGGAAAGGGGTCTTTTAAGGTTCAGAGTAAATGTAGCTATATTCCTCCTCCATCTCTCTCTTCATACAACTTGTTCCTTCTTCTCCCCAGGGTGACTCTGGTGGCCCAGTGGTCTGCAATAGACAGCTCCAAGGAATTGTCTCCTGGGGCTATGGCTGGCCCAGAAAAACAGGCCTGGAGTCTACACCAAGGTCTACAACTATGTGGACTGGATTAAGGACACCATAGCTGCCAACAGCTAAAGTCCCCAGTCCCTCTGCAGTCTCTATACCAATAAAGTGACCCTGGTCTCACTGTCTGTGTCTGTGCCTGCTCCTTCACACTCCTTTACACTGGAAAGCATCCTCCAATCTCAGGTCAGACAGGGCTGTCCCCCTTAAGGGTCAGCAGAGCCCCCAGCTCCCAAAATGTGTCCCATGGTACACTAGATTAGCACATACAAACAGATGGAATCCAAAAATAAAAAGAAATATCGGAGAAAGGCGGGCACTGTTTTCTAGAGAAACGTGTGTTTCAGAAAGGTGGTCTTTGGCAGGGGATATTGATTTTTATTTGGGCTTCTCAGAGCAGTTAGAGCTACTCTACCTTCAGAACAATCACAGCACAGATATTGTGTCAGCATCTTTGAGGTAGCACAAAAAATCTGACCAGCTGAATCTTCTTGCTAAAATACAACAATGACAAGTGCTGTTGGTGATGTCATGACTCTCCCAGGAATGTGTCAGCACCAAACCCTCGAACAAGCCCTCCCTTCTCATTCACCTGGAAAATCAGACTCAAATAAATCTCCCTGGCCCCCAAACTCTTCCCTCAATTCCCTAGTTCCATCTCTGTGAGCAGGCTAGAGAGATGTTCCACCTACCATAGCGGGAGCCAGACTGTGACTTGGAAATCAAGCCCAGATTTGCACGCTGCATTTTCATCTTTTTTGCCTTTGGGGTAGGACACCACAGTGAATCCCACAGCTAACACCAGCCCCCAATCTGACCAGGGAAAGAAACTAGAGAGGATCAGGATTCACCCATTTGATCAATTAGCTGAGGAAGGATTCATTTTCATAAAACTTGCTTGCCTTTGAGACACTTCAAATGAGTTATTTGGGACACTTTAAAAAAGGTGGAAAGAAAGATCTGAGGGCTGTGACACCATGCAGCAACTCTGGCCACACATTGGCTGACTTGCACCCACTGGACACAGCAGAGAGAGGCAGGCTTCATGTCACCTGTGTCACCTGCCAAAGCCTCCTCCTGGCAATTCTGAGTGGGACCATGTTGGGGCCGTAGCTCATACAACTTTGTCACTGAAGATCCAAGAAATCTTCTCTTTGAAATTCCACCTTCACCTTCTGTCCCAAGTGGTTGTGGACATCCCTGACAGCCAGTAACAAGGGCCAGGAGCAGCCAAGGGAGACAGACAAGTTCAGAGCACATTTCCAGTTACACGGAACAGAGCACAGGCCTCCAAGTGTCCACAGAGCAGCGTGCAAATTGCAGGGATGAGTAGAGTAAAACCTCTACATGGAGCACAGCATTCCTGGAAAACACAGGGGACTGCGGTCCACATGCTGTGGAATACACCCAAGTATGCATCAGACACTTGTTTGGTAAACAGTAAATGTGTAAGATCAATTACCTTAAGAGGGCCATCTTTGCTCCAGATGTGTGGTTCGTGTGAAGAGACAGCTACCAATCACTATCTTCAGAGGAAAACAGGGCTCAGGGCTCACACACAATGGATAGATACACATGGGTCACCCAAAACTTCGCTGCATACAAACATCACTTTGTTCAACATGGATTTTGTTTTTATGGAGTCCAAACGCAGACCCTAGTTCACCTTACAGCCTTGGGTTTGTCTGCTTTTGGAGACATATATTCAATAGATAGATAGATAGACAAGACAGATACATTTTTTCCCTTTCTTACTATAATGTCAATGCCTTGTCTGATTATCATCATCACTCAAGAGTCAAGGGAAGAACAAAACACTTCATATAAACAGGGCTGGGCTGGGTGGGGAGTGTTAGTTTCCAGTGTTTTCTGTCTCCATTCAGATTATTCCTATCAAAGTGCAGCAGCTGGTTACCTCAAGCCAAGAGACAGACATAAGGATCCCTATGGCCTTGCAGACAGCTGCTTCCACCTCCTACCTGGGCCCCTTAGACTCTTTACACAGGAAAGTGAGTCACCCCACTGAGAAGCGTTGCCAGCAGAAACAGGGCATGAAAATCACAGATAACCATGGGATTACTTCCAAGTGGTCAGTATAAAATATACCAACACTACCACCACCAAAAACACAAAACAAGCAAAAAAAATGCTTATTCAAAAATCCAAGACAAAGTACTGTGTGAGAGCAGGCCATGGGGTTGCCTTTTCTCAGTCCACACAGCTTTCCCAGTCCATTTGCTCACATGGAACCATGAGATGTGAAAGTCTGCAGAGGGTGTGCTCAGGATGGAGGCTGGTACTGTTTATCTGTGGGTCCAGACCAAAGGGCAAAGAGGCAGAAAGCTACAACTCTGTCCACTGCTGCGGCTTAGGGCCTCCTTCTCACAGAGGCTCCGAAGAGCCCCCACCTCAGCCTTCACACAAAACATCACCTTCTGGCTGAACTACAGCCAGGCTGGAGTGCGGTGGCATGATCTCTGCTCACTACAACCTCCACCTCCTGGGTTCAAGTGATTCAGACTCCCAAGTACCTGGGATTACAGGCACCTGCCACCATGCCAAGCTAATTTTTTTTTTTTTTTTTTTGTATTTTTAGTAGAGACAGGCTTTCACCATGTTGGCCAGGCTGGTTTTGAACTCCTGATCTCAAGTGATCCAAAGTGTTGAGATTACAGGCATGAGCCACTACTCCTGGCCCAGGCTCCACTCTAAAAAAAAAAATAATTTCAAGTTTTATTTTAGATTCTTGGCTGCATAGTATTCCATGGTGTATATGTACCACATTTCCTTTATCCAGTCTACCGCTGATGGCCACCTAGGTTCATTCCATGGCTTTGCTACTGTGAATAGTGCTGTGACGGACATGCAAGAGCATGTGTCTTTTTGGCAGAACAGTTATTTTCCTTCAGGTAAATGCCCAATAAAGAATTGCTGGGTGGAAAGGTAGTTCTGTTTCAAATTATTTCAGAAATCTCCAAACTGCTTTCTGCATTAATTTTTCCATGAACTCATTTACACTCTGACCAACAGTGTATAAGCATTCCCTTTCCTCTGCAGCCTCACCAGCATCTTCTGCTTTTTGACATTTTAATAATAGCCACTCTGCAGCCAAGCTCTTTCAAGGCCAATGTGGGGAACAGCCACAAACATCCCTTTTCCCGAAGAGAGTTCTTGCCTGCCCACTGGTAGATTTCTTGTTTCCATCTGTCTTTCATTGTTTGTTTTTCAAAGAAAAACCAAAGGTAAAGTGGTATGATCTTCCACACCTGAACCAGTTTGTAGCCACCAGAGCCTGCTGGGAAGGGATCCCTCAAGGATGCATTGATCTTGTCACCTGGAATTTGAGAGATCAAGAAGCCCCATAGCAACCTACCATACAACTGCCCATCAGCGCTCATCCTTTCACAGGATTAGCTCAATTCTGACTCTGCAGACACTGGCAGCCACAGGTGACAAACCCTGGGCCTCTGTGGGCTTCCTTCATCACCCAGGGCCACAGTGGGCTGCCTGTCCTAGGCAGAGACACAGCAACATTCTCTTAAGCTGAAATTAAGCATAAACCCACTTCACCAATAATCATCTGAGGGCACAGTCCCTGCCTCCTTCCTTGGGGATTTTAAAACACACATCTCTCTGACCAAACAGGTAGGTGAGATCTGACTTTAAAGGGGGGAAATTGGGATGAATTGGGGTATCAGGAATGAATCCCAAGTGTTTTTGTGTGGCGAATGGCATCCACATCCCAAAATATACTTGGAGATGGGGAAAAAAGCAGGAGAGGAGAAGGGTAAAAAAGGAGGACAAAGTGTCTGAAAGTCATTGAAAGCTTCTCTCATGGTTCTTTCTGGCTCTGGTTGCTTTGCCAAGGTCTTGAGTGCAGGCAGGGCTGGCTCTGGCTGGGAGCTGCTGCTCTGGAACATGGAAGAGTCACTTCACCTTCAGAAAGCTCATTTGCTCATCTGTAAAGTGGGCAATTCCATAGGTGGTTGTGATGATAAAATGAAAAAAAAGTTCTTAACTTATATGAGTGACATGCTGTATAGTAAGTTACATGCTATATAGGAAGCACACAGAAATGATTCACTGTTATGATAATGGAAGGACAGTGGTTTGGCATGTTAAGCACTAAACAGAAGCCAGAAAGATATCTTAGAGAAGTAGACAAAGAAATCTATAGTTCAGAATGAACAGTACCAAGAATGACATGTCCCCCAAATTGAGCATGGGTAGCTGGATCTGAACCTATCCTACACATCTGAGTCTACAGTATGAGGTAACAGTCTTCACCTATAGCTATCTCCTCTGCCTGTAAGGTCATTCCTTTTTGAAGAAAGCTGACCTCAGACTATACTGTGATTGTTTAAGGAAGAGCACAAAATACTGGAGAAGGCTAGTCTTCAAGCTCTAGATACAGAAAATCCTCAATTCTTGGGTGTTACCTTTCAGAAAAAGAGTCAGAGCTACAAGCCCTGATCCAAAAATCCCTTTTTCCAAAAAAATTCTCCATCTTCTACCAAGGTTCACCTCCCTGTTTAGTGCACACTGGTGTCTATAGTTGCTAGAGCAAGAGTCTCTCCTTATCCTCTAAGGCAGGAGTTCTGTGAAGACCCCATGACAAGGGGACAAAATGAAATAACATGTTCAGGGACAACACAGCAAAACCCCATATTATCAATGCTCTAAAACCTAGCTACCTCAGGCTTGGCCAGTTATTCATGAGCAGAGAGGTGTGTCATCTACATGGCAGTCATGGCCTGGATGGGTCTGGAACTGTGGCAAGGTAAGGCTCTGAGAAAAGGTGCCAGGAGAAAGATGAATTCAATCATCTATTTCTGCCAGGAAGAAAAGCACCAGGAAGGAATCAGATGTACAGTTTGTCCTCTGGGGACCTCTGCCTTGATCCTCAATAAATCTCCTTTTAGATGCCACGTGCAGCAATTCCCACACTTCACAATGCTCTCCATGGCTTCTGTTGGCCTTATGGTCAGCTCTGCCAAGATCTGTATTCTTGGGCAAGACAGAATCCTTCTGAATCTCAGTCTCTTCCTCTATAAATGGAAATAATTTTGCTCCACACAAGTCACCATTAGCACGTTGGTGGGAAGTTAAACTGCGAAACTCAGCATAAACAAAGAGCAATGTACCACTGTTGCTTACGTGAAAACTCCCGTGAAGCAGTCAGGCACCATGCACTATCTAAGCATAGCAGCGTTAGGTATCAGCCTATTAGTGATTAGAGAGGGTACCGGGGAGAGAGGGGGCCTCAGAGCAGTGGGTCTCCTGGCTGTGGGGAAGCTGCCTCAGTGGCCATGCCAGGAGCTGAACCTGAAGGTACTCTGTGTGTCCTCTCAACACCATGGACCCTATTTTGGTATTTTTTTCCAGTTACCTCTGGTTTCCATTTGCTTCCTCCCTCTAGCCCCCTGGCCATGTCCGATTTCTCCAGCAAGTTTCTGAGCTTTTCTCATTTTGCTCACTGTCTCCAGAACATCCCTGCTTCTTTTACCTTTCAAAGAATTCAAACTTGAACTCTGCTCACTCCTGCCCATCACCAACATTAGCTCAGAGTTGATGAGAAGGGAAAGCACCCTCATAAGGAAGCCCCTCCTTTCCTTACATTATTAGACCTGAGCGCAGACAGCATCTCCATCTCCACACTGCTCTGGCCAGGTTATGCCTCAGTCAATTACACGACTGTATCTTAGTACCCTTGGTAGGGCTCAAATCAGGATATTCTCTAGAAAGATTCACTTAGTACTGAGCCAAGTATAATCTCACTACATCTAAAATAGAAAATTCTAGACCCACCCCTCCACATCTTTGTTATTGAACCCAATATGTCACCCATTTACCATGTGCTCAAATCCCTACCTACTGCTGATTCTCAGATCAAATCATAACCCAGATTTACCATGGTCCAAACTCTGACATGTGATCAGGGGCATGTCATTCTGGTTCAGGCTGTCAGCCCCAAGCAGGTGGGTCAGTTTCAATCACCCTGAGTGCAGGTTGCAAGGGCAACCATGAGGCTGCATAAAAAGAACCTATGACAGGATGCACATGAGAGACAAATGTCTTCACATTGAAGAAGGGGAGGAGTGCGCCATTGGTTTTCCATCCTTCAGATGCACTGAGTAAGCTCCTACCTAACCTGTGCCCCCTCCTTCTTCTCATCCCTATGCCGTGGTAGGAGGGAGAGCCATCTTCAAGCCCAGCATCCTATGGAATGCTGAGTCTCTCTTCTCCTTACCCCTTAATGTTGGAATTCTCATTCCCCAAAGCCTTGGATTTGACTTTCCCACTGAGTGACTGGAGAGAAGCATCTTCATATTCACAGGAACAAGCCTTAGTTAGATAAGACTTTGCTCCTCTCCTGGGAGCTCCAGGACACTAAAAAGCCAAGCTTGCTACCAACGCTTGCCCTTCCTTAAGTACATTAAATATAACCCCAATAGTAAAATATATTCCTAAACAGCCAGGCCATTCTCCCTCCTTCTAACCCTCATCTCCTCGGCCTAAGAAAGCCCAGCTGTGTGATCTGGGGCTTGGCTTCCCCTGTCTTTCCCATATCAGCATCCTTCCAGGAAACAGCCGGTCTCCCTCTCTGCTCTCAGAAGGCAAGTTTCCTTATCACCTGTGAATCACAAACCCACAGAGTGGCCAAACATACTGATGCAAGACCATAGGAAGGGGAAAGCTGCAGGTGTGTTTGTGCTGGGAGGAGCAGTGACCCTCACCTCACAGACACCTCCTCTCCCCATCCTCGGGAGGTATAAAGACGGGTTCTCCACCAGCAATCAGGCACACTCTACCACCATGAATCTACTTCTGATCCTTACCTTTGTTGCAGCTGCTGGTGAGTTTCACGCCCTGCCTCAGGCCTCAACCAACCCTTCCCTGGCAGACACATGCCCTGCCATTCTTGCCACCTCTCCTCTTTTGACTGTGCTGTGATATTCTATTTCCTCCATCTGGCATTTCTTCTTCCCATCCTCCTTGGGCTCTTTTTAAGCCTCACTTGTTCCACCTTCTCCTTGATTTCACTCCCACCGCTGTTATTCATCCATATCCGAGCTGTGGTTGGAGAAGCTGGGAAGGGAGACCAGGTGGGGCTGGCCCATGAAATGAAGCAGTAGGCTTCAGGCTTGGCTCTGACAGCACCACAATAGCACCACTATAGCTGCTCTTAACCTCGAATGCACCTGGGGAGGTTGAAATTACTCATGCAAGACACTCAACTCTAGAAATTCTCACTTCAATTGTCTGGTGTGCAGCCTGTGTTCTGGGCTTTTAAGCTTCCCAGGTGATTTTTAACATTTCTAGGCATGCAGCCAAGGTTAAGAATTGCTGTTGTTTTGACCAATAATAACGTATACCTTTGTTCTGCAAAAGTGAGCCTGGGGCTTCCCTCAACTCTGCCCTCACTGGGCAGATTTGAGCTGAGGGGGAAACTGGTCATGGCCAAGTCGATGTCGCCAGGGGGTTTTCCTAGCTTGGCCAAAGTAGCCAGACAATCCGGGGCTTAAATAACCAGGTGGAGTACACAGGTGGTGAATAAAAGAGAGAAGACTTCAGTGCTTGAGACAGCCACATCCCAAATCCTATCCCACTGGAAGTATTGTGAGGATATTCCTTGCGTCCTCAGCCTGGTGACCCCAGGAGAGATCTGAACCCCCACAGGGTACCTAGCTACGTGCCCTGCAGACACAGAGACTTGGGAGCCACATCCAGTGATGATCACCAGGGCTGGCAGCGCTCCCCCCCTTGCCTAGCCTCACTGAGCTTGTTAAGGTTTTCTAATTAGCAGGAAGCAGCCACAGGCTGGGAGCGCCACCCCTAACATGCTACTGACTTGCCTTCTCCCTTCCCATCTCCACTCCAGTTGCTGCCCCCTTTGATGATGATGACAAGATCGTTGGGGGCTACATCTGTGAGGAGAATTCTGTCCCCTACCAGGTGTCCTTGAATTCTGGCTACCACTTCTGCGGTGGCTCCCTCATCAGCGAACAGTGGGTGGTGTCAGCAGGTCACTGCTACAAGTCGTAAGTGTGGGGCCCCTGACTGCAAAACTCCCAGCCAGGCTGCCTGGGAGAGCTTGGATTCAGCCCAGGGAAGTACTGAGGTTGGGTAGGACGGACGAGAGAGATGGTGGAAAAGAAAACTTGTTGGCAGCAGCTGACTCTCCAGAGCAGAGAGTGAACACAAGACAGGAAGCCCTCACACCCAGGCAAATCCATGAAACAGCAAGGGTTGTGGTCATAAAAGCAGGCAGGGATGATCTTGGGGTGGTGAGAGCTAGTGAGAAGAGCAGGCTAGTACTTTTGCTGGTTAGCTACACATTAAAGCCACCTAAGAATGAGTACTTAAAAATACTGATCCCTGTGTTCTATCCCAGGGCAATTAACTCAAAATTATCAGGAAGAGGGTGTGAATATCAGTGAGTATTTCACACTCTACCTCTGGTAACTGTAGAGTGTATAGACAGAGCTGAGAACTGCTGCCTACACCAAGAACTCTTAAACCTGAGTATGCATCAGAACTCCCTGCAGGCTTGTTAAGGCACAAATCACTGGGACCCATCCCCAAGGTTCTGATCAGTAGGTGGGGGTAAGGACCAAGAACTTACATTTCTAACAAATTCCCAGGAGATGCTAATGCTATGGCTACCCTTGGATTAGATTACACAGAAGGGTGGTGCTCACCAGGCCAAGAATGGAGGGAGGAGCAGGCACTGTGCACAGTTAGCAAAGGCCTGGAGTGAAGAATGTTGGGAAAACTTCAAGGAGCTCCTTGTGCCCACAGTGCTAGTGACATGGAGATTATGGGAAAGAGTCTGGGAAGGCAGATTGAGGAGCAGCCTCTGGTGGGATCCCTTTGACTCTTCCCCACTCCACTACCACCAACCTCTGAAGCAGAAAGGTCCTGGGTTTCACACCTGCACTGACCCACATTGCTCTCCTGCCCATGCGATATGGCCACACACCCCACCCCATGCCTCCAGAGCTGTCCATGAGCAGGGAGCTTAAGGACCCATGGAAAGGTGGGAGGGGTGCCCTGGCTGTGGGAGAAGGTCTTCACCATGCCTGCCCTGCCCATCAGCCGCATCCAGGTGAGACTGGGAGAGCACAACATCGAAGTCCTGGAGGGGAATGAACAGTTCATCAATGCAGCCAAGATCATCCGCCACCCCAAATACAACAGCCGGACTCTGGACAATGACATCCTGCTGATCAAGCTCTCCTCACCTGCCGTCATCAATTCCCGCGTGTCCGCCATCTCTCTGCCCACTGCCCCTCCAGCTGCTGGCACCGAGTCCCTCATCTCCGGCTGGGGCAACACTCTGAGTTCTGGTGGTGAGTGGGACCCTTTGTCCTTCTACTTCCCTCCATCCCACAATTTCCAGAACAAACCATGCCCCTTAACTTAAATCCTCTCGCCTCCAGGCTTAAGACACATTTCTAGTGCCCATTACACACAGGCTCTGCACTGGGCACCAGAGAGATGCAAATTCTCAAGGATGTGGCTCCTAAAATCAAAAGACAGGACAAATGGAGAACTTGCTATGATCACTTCGTGGGAGAGGTTCAACAATGATCATTCTGGGAACTAAAAGCCAGAGTCCCTTGCCAGGACTTATGTTTCGGAGTCCTCTCCAGGGGCAGTGTTCCTCTTCAATGTTCCATCCTAGACTATTGTCTCTTTCTCTGGCCTAACCCACATTTCTTTCTTTGTTCTCTTCCTGATCCTCACAGCCGACTACCCAGACGAGCTGCAGTGCCTGGATGCTCCTGTGCTGAGCCAGGCTGAGTGTGAAGCCTCCTACCCTGGAAAGATTACCAACAACATGTTCTGTGTGGGCTTCCTCGAGGGAGGCAAGGATTCCTGCCAGGTGATTTGACCCCTTCCCATGCTGAGGCTCCCACTGATAACCAGGCCCCACCAGGGAAAATGATTTGAACTCCCAAGGTGGCGGGGCTGAGGAGGCTCCCTGCAGTGCCCCATGGAGAAGTGAGGAAGACTCCTTTGGGCTGCATCCTGTCTGCTTAGGAAGAACAGAGAATGGGCCACCGTGAGAAGGACGTGGAGCCACAGAGCTGGCTGGAAAGGGCTCTTTTAAGGTTCAGAGCAAATGTAGGTGTATTCCTCCTCCATCTCTCTCTTCATACAACTTGTCCCTTCTTCCCCCCAGGGTGATTCTGGTGGCCCTGTGGTCTCCAATGGAGAGCTCCAAGGAATTGTCTCCTGGGGCTATGGCTGTGCCCAGAAGAACAGGCCTGGAGTCTACACCAAGGTCTACAACTATGTGGACTGGATTAAGGACACCATAGCTGCCAACAGCTAAAGCCCCTGGTCCCTCTGCAGTCTCTATACCAATAAAGTGACCCTGCTCTCACTGTCTGTGTCTGTGCCTCCTCCTTCACACTCCTTCACATTGGAAAGCATCCTCCAACCTCAGGTCAGACAGGGCTCTCCCCCTTAAACATAAGCAGAGCCTCCAGCTCCCAAATGTGTTCCATGGTACACTAGATTAACACATACAAAGAGGTGGAATCCAAAAATAAGAAGCTTGGGAGAAAGGGGGGCACTGTTTTCTAGAGAAACGTGTGTTTCAGAAAGGTGGTCTTCGGCAGGGGCTATTGTTTTATTTGGGCTTCTCAGAGTGGTTAGAGCTACTCTGCCTTCAGAACAATCACAGTACAGAAAATGTGTCAGCATCTTCGAGGTGGCCCAAAATATTTGACCAGCTGAAACTTCTTGCTAAAATACAACAATAATTACAAATGCTGCTGGTGATGACGTGACTCTCCCAGGAATGTGTTGGCACCAAACCCTCGACCAAGCCCTCCCTTCTCATTCACCTGGAAAATCAGACTCAAATAAATCTTCCTGGCCCTCCGACTCTTCCCTTAATTCCCTAGTTCCATCTCTGTGAGCAGGCTAGAGAGATGTTCCACCTACCACAGCGGGAGCCAGACTGCGACTTGGGAATCAAGCCCAGCTCTTCATGCTGCATTTTTATCTTCTTTGCCTTTGGGGTAGGATGCCACAGTGAATCCCACAGCTAACACCAGCTCCTCACTCTGACCAGGGAAAGAAACTACAGAGGGTCAGGATTCACCCATTTGATCAATTAACTGAGGAAGGATTCATTTTCATAAAACTTGCTTGACTTTGAGACACTTCAAGTGAGTTATTTGGGATTCTTTAAAAAAGGTGGAAGGAAAGATCTGAGGACTGTGACACAACCAGCCACTCTGACCACACATTGACTGGCTTGCACCCACTGGACACAGCAGAGGGAGGCAGGCTTCATGGCACTTGCGGCACCTGCCAAAGCCTCCTTCTGGCAATTCTGAGAGGGCCTAAGTTGGGGCCGTAGCTCATCCAAGCTTGTCACCCAAGATCCAAGCAAGCTTCTCTTTGAAATTCCACCTTCACCTTCTGTCCCAAGTGGTTGTGGACATCCCTGGGAGCTGGCGCTAAGGGCCAGGAGCAGCCAAGGGAGACAGACAAGTTCAGAGCACATTTCCAGTTACAGGGAACAGAGCACAGGCCTCCAAGTGTCCATGGAGCAGCGTGCAAATTGCAGGGATGAGTAGAGTAAAACCTCTACATGCAGCACAGCATTCCTGGCAAACACAGGGGACCACAGTACACATGCTGTGGAATACACCCAAGTATGCATCAGACACTTGTTTGGTAAACAGTAAATGTGTAAGATCAATTACCTTGAGAGGGCCATCTGTGCTCCAGACATGTGGTTTGTGTGAGGAGACGGCTACCACTCACTATCTTCAGAGGAAAACAGGGCTCAGGGCTTGCACACAATGGACAGATACACATGGGTCACCCAAAATGTCACTGCATACAAACATCACTTTGTTCAACATGGATTTTGTTTTTATGGAGTCCAAATGCAGACCCTAGTTCACCTTACAGCCTTGGGTTTGTCTGCTTTGGGAGATATATATCCAGTTGATAGACAGACAAGACAGATACATTTTTTTCCCTTTCTTACCACAATGTCAATGCCTCATCTGAATATCATCATTACTCAAGAGTCAAGAGAAGAACCAAACGCTTCATATAAACAGGGCTGGGCTGGGCTAGATGGGGAGTGTTAGTTTCCAGTGTTTTCTGTCTCCATTCAGATCATTCCTATCAAAGCCCAGCTGGTCACCTCAAGCCAAGACACAGACATAAGGATCCCAATGGCCTTCCAGATGGCTGCTTCCACCTCCCATTTTGGCCACGTAGACTCTTTACACAGGAAAGTGAGTCACCCCAGTGAGAAGGGTTGCCAGCGGAAATAGGGCATGAAAATCACAGATAACCATGGGATTTCTTCCAAGTGGTCAGTGTAAAATAAACCACCACCACCACCACCGAAAACACAAAAGAAGCAAAAAAAGTGCTTATTCAAAATCCAAGACAAAATACTGTGTGAGAGTCAGGCCACGGGGTTGCCTTTTCTCAGGCCACACAGCTTTCCCAGTCCGTTTGCTCGCATGGAACCGTAAGATGTGAAGGCCTGCAGAGCGTGTGCTTGGGATGGAGGCTGGTACTGTTCACCTGTGGGTCCAGACCAAAGGGCAAAGAGGCAGAAAACTGCAACTCTGTCCACCGGCACAGCTTAGGCCCTTCTGCTCATAGAGGCTCTGAAGAACCCCCACCTCAGCCTTCACACATATCCTTCTGGCTGAACTACAGCCAGGCTGGAGTGCCATGGCATGATCTCTGCTCACTACAACCTCCGCCTCCAGGGTTCAAGTGATTCAGCCTCCCAAGTAGCTGGAATTACAGGCACCCACCACTGTGCCCAGCTAATTTATTTTTTATTTTATTTATTTATTTATTTATTGATTGATTGATTGATTGATTTTGTATTTTTAGCAGAGACAGGGTTTCACCATGTTGGCCAGACTGGTTTTGAACTCCTGACCTCAAGTGATCCAAAGTGCTGGGATTACAGGCGTGAGCTACCGCTCCTGGCTCAGACCCCATTTTTAAAAAATATTTTCAACATTTATTTTAGATTCATGGGGTACATGTGCAGATTTGTTACATGGGTATATTGTGTGATGCTGAGGTCTGGGGCACAAATGATCTCCTCACTCAGGCAGTGACCATAGTACCCAATAGGTATTTTTTTAGCTCTATCCACCCTCCTTCTCTCTTCCCTCTAGTAGTTGCAGTGTCTAGTCTTCCCATCTTTATATCCATGTGTACCCAATGCTCAGCTCCCACTTATACATGAGAACGTGATATTTGGTTTTCTGTTCTTATGTTAATTTGCTTATGATTATGGTCTCCAGCTCCATCCATGTTGCTGTAAAGGACATGATTTCATTCTTTTCATGGCTGCATAGTATTCCATGGTGTATATGTACCACATTTCCTTCATCCAGTCTACCGCTGATGGCCACCTAGGTTCATTCCATGGCTTTGCTACTGTGAATAGTGATGTGATGGACATGTGAGAGCATGTGTCTTTTTGGCAGAACAATTATTTTCCTTTGGGTAAATGCCCAGTAATGGAATTGCTGGGTGGAATCGTAGTTCTGTTTTAAATTATTTCAGAAATCTCCAAACTGCTTTCTGCATTAATTTTTCCATGAACTCATTTACACTCTGACCAACAGTGTATAGGTGTTCCATTTCCTCTGCAGCCTCACCAGCATCTTCTGTTTTTTGACATTTTAATAATAGCCACTCTGCAGCCAAGCTCTTTCAAGGCCAATGTGGAGAAGAGCCACAAACATTCCTTTTCCCGAAGAGAATTCTTGCCTGCCCACTGGTAGATTTCTTGGTTTCATCTGTCTTTCATTGTTTGTTTTTCAAAGAAAAACCAAAGGTAAAGTGATAATGATCTTCCACACCTGAACCAGTTTGTAGCCACCAGAGCCTGCTGGGAAGGGGCCCCTCAAGCATGCATTGATCTTGTGACCTGGAATTTGAGAGATCAATAAGCCCCGTAGCAACCTACCATACAACTGCCCATCAGCGCTGATCCTTTCATGGGATTAGCTCAATTCTGGCTCTGCAGACACTGGCAGCCACAGTTGACAAACCCTGGGCCTCTGTGGGCTTCCTTTGTCACCCAGGGCCACAGTGGGCTGCCTGTCCTAGGCAGAGACGCAGCAACATTCTCTTAAACTGAAATTAAGCATAAATCCACTTCACCAATAATCATCTGAGGGCTCAGTCCCTGCCTCCTTCCTCGGGGATTTTAAAACACACATTTCTCTGACCAAACAGGTAGGTGAGATCTGACTTTAAAAGGAGGGAAAATCGGGTTGAATTGGGGTATCAGGAATGAATCCCAAGCATTTTTGTGTGGCGAGAGGCATCCACATCCCAAGCTGTACCTGGAGATGGAGAAAAATGCAGGAGAGAAGAAGAGAAAACAAAGGAGGACAACGAGCCCTGGTTGCTTTGCCAAGGTCTTGGGCACAGACAGGGCCGGCTCTGGCTGGGAGCTGCTGCTCTAGGGGTTGGGAGAGTTCTGTTCATCCATGGTGCTCAGCAGCAGGGACTGGGGGCCGTGGTAGGTGCAGATGCCCAGACTCTCAAGCTTGCTCCTTGCATGGCTGGCAGGGGCATTGCTCCTTGTCACCAGGTGACTGCACAGGGCAGCTGTCATGGACATCCAGGGGGCCATCCAGAGCATCACTGATGAGCATGTTGAATGCTTTGGGGCCATCGTCATGTTGGCCCCAGTTGCACACATGGTATCTTCTCTTTGCTTGGGGCGAAGGGGGCGGGGAGGGGCGGGGATAGTCTGCCATGCTCAGAGTTGTAATCATTCAGCAGCTGCTCCATATATTCTAAATCCTTGCACAGGAAGGCTCCTCGGCCCAACTCCCCCAGGCTGGCCACACAGACACTGGGCTCCATTCCCAAGTCTTTGGTGGCTGCTGTGTCAGCTGGTGTCAGAGGCCCCAGGGTCAGCAATGAGTGGGGGTCTTGTGCTGCTTCTGCTAGGCCCAGCCAAGGGGCTGCCCTGTGCCTCCTGGGAGTCCCAGGGTCACTGCCACCTTAAGGGCCACATGCCATAGCTGGAAGTCACTATATGTTTGGGGAAGAGTTGGAGATCGGGAAACCATTCCCTCATAACAAGGTAGTAAATAGTTTGGCAAAAAACTGAAGATAAAGTGGCAGTGCTGAGTAATCATGGGCTTCCTACAGGTGATCGGGTTGATTTCTTGTTGCCACTGCCTGGCCTGAAGACAGTGCTTGGCTCAGCGGTGGCAGCAGACGAAGCAGCAGCTCAAGAGGATGATGATGGTGGCCCACACCAGCCAGAGCCACAGCAGTGTTTTTTGTCACAGGTGTAGCTTGGATTGTTGGTACCACACAGGCTTATCCCGTGGGGGTTCACCCTGGGTTGACAGGGGCTGGGCAGCACCTGGAGGACCAGGAACACCACCCACACCCCCACACACACACCACCCAGACCATCTCCTCTGCAAGCCCCTCCTGCTCCTGCTCCTCCATCACAGCACTGCCCTCCTTCTGCTTCCTCTCCTCCTCTGCCCTCCAGAACAGTGGTCTTAAAGAGGTTTCTTGGCCTTGGCACTTCTGTGGGCTCCCAATGTGCTGATGTGTGACACGCTGGCATGCTTGGCAAGACCTCACTGCTGCCTTTGACTACACAGGGTCCTCTCTGTACCCAGAGCAAACATATGCAAGGAAACCCCAGCACTGACCGAATCAGCTTCCTCGGAGGCCCCTCTCCACATGTGCTCCTGCTAACCCAGTCTGTACTTCCCACAAGCTGATGTCCTGCTTGGAGATGATCGTGCTGGCCCTCTTGCCCAACAACTGGCTCCTGTGTCTGGAGGGGAGAAGACAAATCCCTGGTCTCCATCCCTCATGTTCTTGAGAAGTCTGCCTTTTATTCCTCCACAGAATAATACCAACATGTTTACACTATTCCTATGTATAGACATTTTCCCATTTAGTTTTCTCTCCCCTCCGGAGTGGTTATTAATCCAGCGGTACAGATAAGAAAACAGGTTCAAAGAGGCTTATTAGTTTACCCACGTCCCAAGCCCAGCAGATGGTAGGTCTGGGGTTGACTCCTCATTTGCCTGGCTTCAAAGCCCACGCTCTCTGTGCCCCGCCTCACATCCCGCTATGACTGTGGTCTGAGGTGATGACAAGTCCGTCAGCGCTGACCTCTGATGTTTCTCCAGCCCCCTGTCACTATCACCCATTCCCTTCCTCCCTGCATCTCCTGAGGGGCACCTCCCAATTGTCCCATTCCATGCGGCAAGACGACTGCTCTCAGAGAGCTCCTGGTTATGGCATTGCTCCCTACCCTCCCACAGTGATCAAACTAGAATTCAAGCTCCCTGGGGAAATGTAGGGTTCTCCTGGCACCACCCTTGCCCCCACTCCCAGTCTCATGCCTCTTCACTGCTCTCCTCCCCTGTCCCCTCCCCTGCTCAGAAGCCCTGGTGGCCCATCCAACAAGCCATGCGCCTCCTGCCTCTGTCTCTGGACACTATGGCACTCTCAGACTGGAAGCCGTTCCTAACCTCCCCTTCACCCTTTTCAGAAAAGTCTTCCTGATTCTTCCTTGTCCCCACCTCCCTTGGGTCTGGCTCTGCTGGCCCTCCCTCGGGTCTGAGGCAGCCATCCTCCTCCTGTCTCCGCTTGCCTCTGTCCTAGTCCTGCTCAGGTGCTCAGGTGCAATAGATGCGTCCGTCCTGGCAATCAACTGTGTGCTCCTCAAGCGGGTACATCTTGTCTTACATATCCTGATATCTCCAGTGATTAAGCAAAGCCTGGGATGTAATAAGCACCCAGTGAGTGGAGGAATAAACATGGAGTGGAGGGAAATGTGCTGAGAAAAGAAAGACCCTTCCAGAAGAATGATTCTCAAAGAGTGGTCCCTAAGCCAGCAACACCAAAATCTCCTGGGAATTTAGGAGAAACACAAAAGCTAGGCCCTACCCCACACCCACCGAGTCAGATCTCCTGGGACAGGGCCCAACAAACAGCATATTTTTTTATTTGAGATAGGGTCTTGCTCTGTTGCCCAGGCTGAAGTGCAATGGCATGATCACTGCTCACTGCAGCCTTGACCTCCCAAGCTCAAGTGATCCTCCCACCTCAGCCTCCCAAGTAGCTAGGACCACAGGCGCACACCACAAACCCAGCTAATATTATTATTATTTGTAGAGATGGCAACCTCATATGTCGCTCAGGCTGGTCTCAAACTCCTAGGCTAAAGTGATCGCCTGCCCCTTTGCCTCCCAAGGTGCTGGGATTACAGGCGTGAGCCACCACACCCAGACAGCAACCTGCATTTTAACATATCTTCCAGGTCTTCTGATGCCCGCTGAAAACTTGAGATTGGATACGGTAATGACATCCTTAGGCCAGTATTGAAACCGCCATTGCAAAATTGTAACTGAGACAGTGAAACAGATCTGACCCAACCAACTCTATCTTGCGGTTTTTTTTGTTTTTGGTTTTGTTTTTTTTTTTTTTTTTTTGGAGCCGGAGTCTCAATCTGTTGCCAGGCTGGAGTGCAGTGGCTCGATCTTGGCTCACTGCTACCTCCACCTCCCAGGTTCAAGTGATTCCCCTGCCTCAGCCTCCCCAGTAGCTGGAACTACAGGTGCACACCACCATGCCTGGCTAATTTTTTGTATTTTAGTAGAGGCGGGGTTTCACCATGTTGGCCGGGCTGGTCTCAAACTCCTGACCTCATGATCCACCTGCCTCTGCCTACCAAAGTACTGGGATTATGGGCGTGAACAACCGCGCCTGGCCTCCATCTTGCTTTTAACCTCCAAGCTGTCCTTATTCCTTCCCCAGCATAGGCTGAACTAACTTTGGGAAGAACTTAGTTTCTAGTTTGAAACAAAGACGGTAACAGTCCTTTCCCAAAACAAACCTCCTTTTTGCCTGGAGACTAGACTGTCTTATAGGACTAACAAATTTGCCAAAAGATTAGAAATTATGGTTTAGGAGTCACGTAGCTGGAGTCTGCAAGATTCCAAACCTCCCCAAATTGCTCCTGGGGATAACGTCACTATTGTAAAACCTAAGATCAGTGCTTGAGATATTTTAAAGACCCTGCACTTGATGCATCAGCTGGCACAACGCAGATCGATAAACTAGTTCATCTGATCTTGTGGCCCCCACTCAGGAACCGACTCAGCACAAGAAAGCAGCTGGGGTTTCATCTCCAACCCAACGGATCAGCACTCCCGACTCACTGCTTTCCCCTCCGCCCACCAAATTATCCTCTAAAACTCGGATCCTCGAATTCCCGGGGAGACGGCAAGATTTGATTTGAGTAATAGTAAAACTCCAGTCTCCCACACAGTCTGCTCTGGGTGAATTACTCTTTCTCTATGTCAATTCCCCTGTCTTGATAAATCGGTTCTGTCTATACAGCAGGCAAGGTGAACCTATTGGGCAGTTACGATATCTCTCTGAAAACAAGTCACTATTTTTTGTTTGTTTTTGTTTTTGTTTTGTTTTTGAGACAGAGTCTCTCTCTGTCGCCAGGCTGGAGTGCAATGGTGCGATCTCGGCTCACTGCAACCTCCGCCTCCCGGGTTCAAGCTATTCTCCTGCCTCAGCCTCCCAAGTAGCTGGGATTACAGGCAAGCGCCACCACGCCCGGCTAATTTTTTGTATTTTTAGTAGAGACAGGGTTTCACCATGTTAGCCAGGCTGGTCTCGAACTCCTGACCTCAGGTGATCCACCCGCGTCCGCCTCCCAAAGTGCTGGGATTACAGACGTGAGCCACCGCGCCCGGCTTCAGTCACTAACATTTTTACTGACTCTTCTGGCACCATGATTAACCCCGACACGCACTATCGCATGCAATTCTCACAACCCCATGAGGTAGGTATTATTATTGCTCCTAGCTTACAGATAAAGAGACAGAGTTTAAGAGGTTTAGCCACGCTACGGGGCTGCTGGGAGCCCGGCAGTCTGGCCACAGGAGGTCGGTTTCACGGAAGGGCAGGATGTGGCGGCATCTCCTGAATTTAAGGAGTCTTGGGGGCGCGGTGCTTCTCTGTCATTGGGCAACTCATTTTAGCCTCTTGGGGTTTCAGTTCCTCAACTGAGAACAAGGAATTTAGGTTGAAATGAACATGCTGGAAAGCTTTCAAGAATTGCACACGTGAAATGCTCTTTGCGTGTCTCCCGGTCTCCCACCCGCCCCCGACACAGAGGCGCAGGAGTAACCCTGCTCCCTTCCGCGTCCTCGCCCCACCACGAGCTGCGCATTCTTCTCGCCCCCTCAAGTGGCCGAGCTCAGATTGCAGTTACTTAGGTCTAAAAAAATAAGGAAAGGCTGCCCCCTGCTGCCCACATGGATGCATGACCCCAACCTGATACCTGCCTAACTGGTCTTCCTAGCTTTTATGGAAAAAACGCTGCATATGAGCTTGGGCATACCGTCCAGAGAGGCAAAACTGGGACAAACTCCATCGGAATTCTAAAAAACCATGATGCCAAGACAGAGTGGCATTATTATTTATAAGGCCAGTAGGGATGAGGGCCCCCACTAGGTGATTAAAAGACACTAACTTAGAGGATGAATTATTGATAAGTAAACGAGGTGAGTAAGGCAGGAAAACATGCAGAAATAGATCAAAATAAACTGAATATTTCAATTAGGAAAGGTACTGGCAAGAGGCTTTGACACAATCCAATGGATGAAAGCAATCAACTTTTTTTTTTTTTTTTTTTTGACAGAGTCTCACTCTGTCGCCCAGGCTGGAGTGCAGTGACTCAATCTCGGCTCACTGCAACCTCCACCTCATGGGTTCAAGCGATTCTCCTCCCTCAGCCTCCCGAGTAGCTGGGACTACAGGCGCACACCACCATGCCCGGCTAATTTTTTTGTATTTTTAGTAGAGACAGGGTTTCACCGTGTTAGCCAGGATGGTCTCGAACTCCTGACCTCATGATTCGCCCTCCTCGGCCTCCCAAAGTGCTGAGATTACAGGCGTGAGCCACTGCACCTGGCTGCAATCAACTTTTTATGCAGGCATTTGGTAGCATGTTGCGAGGTCCATCACTATTAATGCCGTGAATATACCAAATCCTCTTTTTCTTTCTTCCCTAAGTTCTAAGGGCCATGCCCTGGCACCAAACTTATGGCAGTCCTAGACTGCCCTCTGATGTTCACCATGGCTTACCTCTGCCCTGTTCTAGTTGGGGACAAGCTGTGGGTCCCAAGCCTGGCATTGTAACAGAAACGCCCAGGGTAATTTTCTGTTTGTTTATTTAAATAAATAAATAAGTAAACTCAGTCTTGGAGATTTTAACTCAATAGGTCATGAAGACTACTCAGAAATCTACATTTTTCACAGTTGTCCAAGTGATTAAGTCCTCACTGAGCAAATTCAGGACAAGGAAACAACTTCTTACATAAATTCTACATAACTTCATACATAACTTCACACATAAACTTCTTTGGCAAAAAAAATGACTTTGTAAATTAAACAAGTAGGTTTTTAAAGTAGCATATTTTATTTAAAGCCAAATTTTCTTGATTTTTAAAATTAACTTAAGTTTGACTTTCAATAGACAATAGAGCTATATGACTCTAAAATGGAAACAACCCAGTAACGTTGACACTGGGAAATGTAACTTTTACTTCCGCTCTGTTTCTGTCTACTCCACCCATTCTTTCTTTTCTTTTTTTTTTTTTTGTTTTTTTTTTTTTGTTTTGATAGAGTCTCACCGTGTCGCCCAGGCTGGAGTACAGTGGCGTGATCTTGGCTCACTGGAACCTCCGCCTCCTGGGTTCAAGTGATTCTTCTACCTCAGCAGCCTCTCAAGTAGCTGGGATTATAGTCACCTGCCACCACGCCCAGCTAATTTTTTTTTTTTTTTTTTTGTACTTTCAGTGAAGATGGGGTTTTGCCGTGTTGGTCAGGCTGGTCTCGAACTCCTGGCCTCAGGTGATCCGCCTGCCTTGGCCTTCCAAAGTGCTGAGATTACAGGGGTGAGCCACCGCACGTGGCCTACTCCACTCATTCTTAATAGGTCATCACTCTTGTCAGTTTCTGTTGTATCTTTACAGTGTTTCTGTATACAAAATGTATACAAAATCAAGTAAATACAAAAGTATAATTCTTCTTTTCCCCCCTCTGTTAGACAAAGGTGTCATCTAGTTATGCTATTCTGAGACTTTCTCTTTTCTGGGTTAATAATGTATCTTAGAGAATTTTCCATAGCAATATAAAATATTTTGATTCTTTTTTTAGCATTGAATATTACTCCATTGTGTGAACATATCACAGTTTATCCAGTCCCTTACTGATGGGCATATAATTCAATTTTGTCAGTCAAATTAGTGAAAAGTGTATTTTGATGAAGTTTTTTTAATTTTATTTTTCTTATTGTGATTTTTTTTCCCTTATAGTTAGGTACCATTTGGATTTATTTTTCTCTGAACAATTTACTCTTCACCTATTTTTATTGGGCTGCTGGATTATTTTCCTATTGATTTTTAGGAGTTCACCACATGTTGAGGAGATTAGCCCTGATGGTGAGAACTAGGAATATTTTTCCCAGATTGTTATGTATATTTTGATTCTGTTTATATTTTACCATGCGAGTGTGTCATCATTATGTCGTTGTTTGTCTTTTTTTTTTTTTTTCTGGATTTTAAGTCATAGCTTAAAACCCTCCGAGTGACGCACAGCCTCGGGGCAGGGCCAGGGTAGTGATGGGGGCTGTGGCTTCTCTATAAGGACATGCCCCAACGTGACAACAGCTTGGAGAGGGGTGGGTACTGGAGAAGACCAGCCCCTTCGCCAAACAGCCTTACAAAGACATCCAGCTCTAAGGAGCTCAAAACATCCTGAGGACAGTGCCTGGAGGTGAGAAGGAAGCCCCCGGCCTGGTCCATACCCCACCACCAACTTGCATAATGGGGGGTGATGTCACCCACCCTCCACTCCCCTCAAAGGAGCAGCTGCTCTGGTGGTCTCTCCCAGGCTCTGGGGGCGGACCCATGGGAGGGGCTGTTTTTGTACAAAGCTGTAACATTGTGGGGACAGGGGGCCACAATGATTCAACTCTACGGGAAACCTTTACAAAAACCTCTCTGGCGGTCCCAACTCCCAGAGTCCTCTTCTTTCCTCCTGGGTCACAGGTCTTAATGCAATTTGGTTCAGAATGCCTCTGCCTCACTCCTGATCACATGTCAGACCAAGACTGTGGACAAGGACAGGCCCAGATGAGAACTAAAGCTTCCCAGGCAGAGAGAGGTCAGACATAAGAAGACTGCCTCAGGAACCTCACAAGTGGAGGACTCAGGGAGGGTCCCAATCCCCAAAAATTGAGACAAAGTCAGGTGGAAGGTTCATCGGAGGTGACCAGCTCTCCAGAGGACTCGGGAAGAAGTCAGGGGTATCTATAGATGGAGTCACAGGTTCTGGGCCCCTGCCATCCTCTGCAGGCCATGCACTTTCCCTTTCGATGGACCCTCACAGAGGGAGCATCTGAATGGGGCATCCTTTGAAAAAGGAACCTAGGACCCTGTGGATGGACTCTGTCATTCTCCATGGTCCTAAAAAGCAAAAGTCAAAGTGTTCTTCTGTGTAATACCCATAAAGCACAGGAGGAGATTTCTTAGCTCACTGTCCTCCATCCTAGCCAGGGCCCTCTCCCCTCTCTATGCCTTCAATGTGATTTTCACCTTGACCCCTGTCACTGTGTGAACACTGAAGCTTTCTTTGGACAAGGCACCAGACTCACAGTTGTAGGTAAGACATTTTTCAGGTTCTTTTGCAGATCCGTCACAGGGAAAAGTGGGTCCACAGTGTCCCTTTTAGAGTGGCTATATTCTTATGTGCTAACTATGGCTACACCTTCGGTTCGGGGACCAGGTTAACCGTTGTAGGTAAGGCTGGGGGTCTCTAGGAGGGGTGCGATGAGGGAGGACTCTGTCCTGGGAAATGTCAAAGAGAACAGAGATCCCAGCTCCCGGAGCCAGACTGAGGGAGACGTCATGTCATGTCCCGGGATTGAGTTCAGGGGAGGCTCCCTGTGAGGGCGAATCCACCCAGGCTTCCCAGAGGCTCTGAGCAGTCACAGCTGAGCCCAGGGTGATGGGGCAGAAGAGGGAAGGGGAGGGGGCCTCTCCTCATAGTTCCCTGAGATAGCCCAGAGAAAGCCCGGTGGGTAATGAATGAGCCACAACACCTCTCCATCTATCTGCTTCACTGACAGAGGTTCTCTGTAGATTCTTCGTATATTCCTGTGCTGGATTTTATAGGAGGCCACTCTGTGTCTCTTTTTGTCACCTGCCTGAGTCTTGGGCAAGCTCTGGAAGGGAACACAGAGTACTGGAAGCAGAGCTGCTGTCCCTGTGAGGGAAGAGTTCCCATGAACTCCCAACCTCTGCCTGAATCCCAGCTGTGCTCAGCAGAGACTGGGGGGTTTTGAAGTGGCCCTGGGAGGCTGTGCTCTGGAAACACCATATATTTTGGAGAGGGAAGTTGGCTCACTGTTGTAGGTGAGTAAGTCAAGGCTGGACAGCTGGGAACTTGCAAAAAGGGGCTGGAATCCAGACGGAGCCTTTGTCTCTAGTGCTTAGGTGAAAGTGTATTTTTGTCAGGAAGGCCTATGAGGCAGATGAGGAGGGGATAGCCTCCCTCTCCTCTCGACTATTTTGTAGACTGCCTGTGCCAAGTTAGGTTCCCCTACTGAGAGATGGGTAGACTCAGCTTGGAAGGGGTCACCTTGAACATCTCCTGTCTCCTTGAAGGGTGCCGGTCACGGCCATGACAGATAAAAGAGCCTCTGACCTTACCACCACGGTCCTACCGTTTCTCTCCCTCACACAGAAAGGAGAAGGTCACAGAAGAGGGAACTTGGGGGATCACACGGGGCCTAATTGGTCTGCTGACCACCGCATTTTGGGTTGTACCATTGTCTACCCCTCTACCCACCAGGGCTAAAATTCTACTAAGGAACAGGAGAGGACCTGGCAGGTGGACTTGGGGAGGCAGGAGTGGAAGGCAGCAGGTCGCGGTTTTCCTTCCAGTCTTTAATGTTGTGCAACTAATGAAAAACTGTTTTTTGGCAGTGGAACCCAGCTCTCTGTCTTGGGTATGTAAAAGACTTCTTTCGGGATAGTGTATCATAAGGTCGGAGTTCCAGGAGGACCCCTTGCGGGAGGGCAGAAACTGAGAACACAGCCAAGAAAAGCTCATAAAATGTGGGTCAGTGGAGTGTGTGGTGGGGCCCCAAGAGTTCTGTGTGTAAGCAGCTTCTGGAAGGAAGGGCCCACACCAGCTCCTCTGGGGTTTGCCACACTCATGATGCACTGTGTAGCAATCAGCCCCAGCATTTTGGTGATGGGACTCGACTCTCCATCCTAGGTAAGTTGCAGAATCAGGGTGGTATGGCCATTGTCCCTTGAAGGCAGAGTTCTCTGCTTCTCCTCCCGGTGCTGGTGAGGCAGATTGAGTAAAATCTCTTACCCCATGGGGTAAGAGCTGTGCCTGTGCCTGCGTTCCCTTTGGTGTGTCTTGGTTGACTCCTCTATTTCTCTTCTCTAAGTCTTCAGTCCATAATCTGCCTCCTCACTCCCTTCTTGGCTCATCCTCCCTCTTATGTGCATGGCTCTGCCTCTCCTAAGCCTCTTCCTCTTGCGCCTTATGCTGCACAGTATGCTTAGGCCTTTTTCCTAACAGAATCCCTTTGGTCCAGAGCCATGAATCCAGGCAGAGAAAGGCAGCCATCCTGCTGTCAGGGAGCTAAGACTTGCCCTCTGACTGGAGATCGCCGGGTGGGTTTTATCTAAGCCTCTGCAGCTGTGCTCCTATAATTCACCCCTCCACTTTGGGAACGGGACCAGGCTCACTGTGACAGGTATGGGGGCTCCACTCTTGACTCGGGGGTGCCTGGGTTTGACTGCAATGATCAGTTGCTGGGAAGGGAATTGAGTGTAAGAACGGAGGTCAGGGTCACCCCTTCTTACCTGGAGCACTGTGCCCTCTCCTCCCCTCCCTGGAGCTCTTCCAGCTTGTTGCTCTGCTGTGTTGCCTGCAGTTCCTCAGCTGTAGAGCTCCTTGCTTAGTCTTCAGGGCTGTGTGTTTCTTTGCTCTTCTTTTCATTGTTTTCTGGGACTCTTCTCATCTCTACTTTCTTAGTGGATGTATTGTTTTACTTTCCCTTTTTTAAATTGCATCTTCTCCATTTTTTCCTTCCCATTCTAACTCCACTTCTGCATTGTTGACTCCTTTTGGTGACTAGCTCTGTCTTCTATGTTAAGATTCTCCCCACTGCCAGCCTCCAGCACAGAACTCTGCTCATGTCTTCATCTCCCTCCTTCTTTCTTTCTCTACCAGTCTTAGAAGATGCATCTATGTCTTCCTGAGGTAGTTTGAAGGTTCATGAGCCAGGCATGACCAGGTTGGGGAGACAGGTGGTTTCAGGGTTGCTCTTGAGGCCTGAGGGCAGAAGTCCCTGTCACAGCATTGGGCGAGCTGCAGGGAGTCTCTGAGGTGCCTGTGTTTGGCAGGTGTTTGGGAGATAGGTCTGAAGAGAGTGTTACAACTGGAAACTGACATTATCTTAGCAACAGATAAGGTATAAAGAAGACAAAATGGGTAGGAGACTCTATTTTCTTTTTTTCTGAGACGGTGTCTAGCTCTATTGCCCAGGCTGGAGTGCAGTGGCACGATCTCGGCTCACTGCAACCTCCGCCTCCTGGGTTTGAGCGATTCTCCTCCCTTGGCCTCCCGAGTAGCTGGGATTACAGGTGCCTGCCACCAAACCCAGCTACTTTTTGCATTTTTAGTAGAGATAGGGTTTCACTGTGTTAGCCGGGCTGTTCTCAAACTCCTGACCTCGTGATCCGCCTGCCTTGGCCTCCCAAAGTGCTGGGATTACAAATGTGAGCCACTGCACCCAGCCAAGACTCCATTCTCTTAAGCCTCAGAATCTATGCTAGAACAATAGGGTAAAGGCCCCACCAGGAAGCCCTAGTACAACCTTCCCCATGCTGGGGAGGAAGCAGACAGGCGGTGGAGCGGGGTTGGGATGGGATGAGGTCTAGGATGGAGACATAGACAAGGGTGGAGGAATGGGACTCATAGGGTCTACCAAAGTTTAGGGGCTTGGGCAGACATTAGTGTAGGTGGGGACACACACCAAGACGTTGAGTGGAAAGTACAAATCACCAGATTCAAAGGCCTGGGTTCAAGGGGCTGTGGTGGGGGAGGTGTGCAATTTGAAAAGCAACTTAAGCTGCCTCCTCTCTAAGACATAGAAACAGAAGAGACTAACTTATATGAAAATCCTTTGTAAAGGATTTTGTAAAGGACTCAACTTGTGGTGACAATCCTTTTCATTCCTGTTGTTTATGATCACTAGGTCACAGGGTTTGCCTTTTTCCAAACCTGCATCTCAATTTTCCCATCAAAAACATTTCCCAAATTTGGATAAAGAACCCATATCTAGACTTGCCACATTTCTGCACCAAAAGCTCACTCTCATGGTTGGAACAGAGCCAAGCAAAGGGCACAGTAAATTGTGGTTTCTTCCACTCCTCATGTGTCTTCAGATGAAATCATTCTTTCCAATAATCCCAGAAATTCTTTCTCTCCTCTCTCAAGCATGTGAAAAGGTCCAGAGCTCTGCAGTGTGAGCTTTCTACTGAAATGGCCCTTGGACTTTGTGGTTCATTCATACTCAGTGGTCTAGCTTGTACTACTTTTGAGAATGCAAAGCTTAACTGTGGACGGATTCCAATCCTGGCCAGGCAGGGTTGCTGGACACTCTGAGAGAAGAAAGGGTTAATCCCATGACCATCAACTTCCATGGGATTTCAGCCATCCTGGACAAGCTACCACACCCTCCTGCCCCAGGGGAGGAGGAAATGTGGACCATCCCATCAGATATTGACCAGGTTTGGCTCTTTAAAGAGGGTTACATGCAAGAAAATAAAATTTTTTAAAAAGGTGCTGGGCAGGTGGGGGACTCAGATGTAATGGAAAAGTGTCTTTTCTAGAAAAGAAAAGCTAATTCTAATATGTGTCACTACCCCACGAGACAAATATATACATCTTGATTTAAAAAAGGAAAATTATAATTAGAAAAAGTCAATTTAGTTATTGTAATTATACCACTAATGAGAGTTTCCTACCTCGAGTTTCAGGATTACATAGCCATGCACCAAGCAAGGCTTTGAAAAATAAAGATACACAGATAAATTATTTGGATAGATGATCAGACAAGCCTCAGTAAAAACAGCCAAGACAATCAGGATATAATGTGACCATAGGAAGCTGGGGAGACAGTAGGCAATGTGCATCCATGGGACAGCATAGAAAGGAGGGGCAAAGTGGAGAGAGAGCAACAGACACTGGGATGGTGACCCCAAAACAATGAGGGCCTAGAATGACATAGTTGTGCTTCATTACGGCCCATTCCCAGGGCTCTCTCTCACACACACAGAGCCCCTACCAGAACCAGACAGCTCTCAGAGCAACCCTGGCTCCAACCCCTCTTCCCTTTCCAGAGGACCTGAACAAGGTGTTCCCACCCGAGGTCGCTGTGTTTGAGCCATCAGAAGCAGAGATCTCCCACACCCAAAAGGCCACACTGGTGTGCCTGGCCACAGGCTTCTTCCCCGACCACGTGGAGCTGAGCTGGTGGGTGAATGGGAAGGAGGTGCACAGTGGGGTCAGCACGGACCCGCAGCCCCTCAAGGAGCAGCCCGCCCTCAATGACTCCAGATACTGCCTGAGCAGCCGCCTGAGGGTCTCGGCCACCTTCTGGCAGAACCCCCGCAACCACTTCCGCTGTCAAGTCCAGTTCTACGGGCTCTCGGAGAATGACGAGTGGACCCAGGATAGGGCCAAACCCGTCACCCAGATCGTCAGCGCCGAGGCCTGGGGTAGAGCAGGTGAGTGGGGCCTGGGGAGATGCCTGGAGGAGATTAGGTGAGACCAGCTACCAGGGAAAATGGAAAGATCCAGGTAGCAGACAAGACTAGATCCAAAAAGAAAGGAACCAGCGCACACCATGAAGGAGAATTGGGCACCTGTGGTTCATTCTTCTCCCAGATTCTCAGCCCAACAGAGCCAAGCAGCTGGGTCCCCTTTCTATGTGGCCTGTGTAACTCTCATCTGGGTGGTGCCCCCCATCCCCCTCAGTGCTGCCACATGCCATGGATTGCAAGGACAATGTGGCTGACATCTGCATGGCAGAAGAAAGGAGGTGCTGGGCTGTCAGAGGAAGCTGGTCTGGGCCTGGGAGTCTGTGCCAACTGCAAATCTGACTTTACTTTTAATTGCCTATGAAAATAAGGTCTCTCATTTATTTTCCTCTCCCTGCTTTCTTTCAGACTGTGGCTTTACCTCGGGTAAGTAAGCCCTTCCTTTTCCTCTCCCTCTCTCATGGTTCTTGACCTAGAACCAAGGCATGAAGAACTCACAGACACTGGAGGGTGGAGGGTGGGAGAGACCAGAGCTACCTGTGCACAGGTACCCACCTGTCCTTCCTCCGTGCCAACAGTGTCCTACCAGCAAGGGGTCCTGTCTGCCACCATCCTCTATGAGATCCTGCTAGGGAAGGCCACCCTGTATGCTGTGCTGGTCAGCGCCCTTGTGTTGATGGCCATGGTAAGCAGGAGGGCAGGATGGGGCCAGCAGGCTGGAGGTGACACACTGACACCAAGCACCCAGAAGTATAGAGTCCCTGCCAGGATTGGAGCTGGGCAGTAGGGAGGGAAGAGATTTCATTCAGGTGCCTCAGAAGATAACTTGCACCTCTGTAGGATCACAGTGGAAGGGTCATGCTGGGAAGGAGAAGCTGGAGTCACCAGAAAACCCAATGGATGTTGTGATGAGCCTTACTATTTGTGTGGTCAATGGGCCCTACTACTTTCTCTCAATCCTCACAACTCCTGGCTCTTAATAACCCCCAAAACTTTCTCTTCTGCAGGTCAAGAGAAAGGATTTCTGAAGGCAGCCCTGGAAGTGGAGTTAGGAGCTTCTAACCCGTCATGGTTTCAATACACATTCTTCTTTTGCCAGCGCTTCTGAAGAGCTGCTCTCACCTCTCTGCATCCCAATAGATATCCCCCTATGTGCATGCACACCTGCACACTCACGGCTGAAATCTCCCTAACCCAGGGGGACCTTAGCATGCCTAAGTGACTAAACCAATAAAAATGTTCTGGTCTGGCCTGACTCTGACTTGTGAATGTCTGGATAGCTCCTTGGCTGTCTCTGAACTCCCTGTGACTCTCCCCATTCAGTCAGGATAGAAACAAGAGGTATTCAAGGAAAATGCAGACTCTTCACGTAAGAGGGATGAGGGGCCCACCTTGAGATCAATAGCAGAAGTTAATTCAGCGTGAAAGGCAGTGATGGGAGCTGAAGAGGTTACTTCTAGAACAGTCTAGGAAGACACAGATGTTGAGTATAGGAATTTTCTATATCCAACTATACTGTTCTGCCCAGGAAAGACGTGCTCAGAGGAAGAGCCAACCTATACAGGTGTGTTCACCCTCCAGCTGGCCATGTCCCCGTGACTAACAAAGCTGGATTCCATAAGCATCACCCACCTTCCTTGCAGCTTTCTTATTGAGCACTCCATTCATCTTCATTGGTTCACCAAGTTGATTTCCCAGCTCCAAAGAAGAGAGGCTCTGACTTGCAAACTTATTTTCAATGGAAGATGTGTCTTCCGGTTTAAGTTACCCATCTGTTTATAAATCTCTCTCTAGTGAATTAAACCAGAATGAAAATGTCCCCTAATCATTCCTGGAAGGTTAGAAAATAAAGGTATCTAAAACTGAGAATCAGCCCCATTCCTACTTCTAGAATTCCTTCAAAAGCTCCTTCTGTTGTCTCACTGTCACCATGGTGATGGAGTCCCAAATCCCAAAGGTGGCACAGAAGACCGGATGATTATCCTTGTCTCCTTCCACACTCTCCTCACTTCTCTCATCCCTGAAGCCCCTGAGCTGCTTCTTTCAGGCCGCTTTGCACATGCTCTTCCTCCTGGGGTGACAAAGTACTCTTCTCCCCATGATAACTCCTGCTTAGACTTAAAGATTTAGCTCCAATGTCTTCCCCTCCAAAAAGCTTTCTCTGGCCCTTTCTTGCCTCTTCCTTACCTCTTCCTCCCTTGAGGCTGGATTAAATACACCTTTATTTTGCTATCACAGTGCCTTGTGCATAACCTTCTTTGTGATACATCACACTTGCTGGAAACTACCTCTTTATTTGTCTGACACCCCCAGGGACTATGAACTCCTTGTTAACAAGGATACATTTTAAGATAGTATCCCAGGGCTATAGTATAGTAACCTCAGTTTAGTGTAGACACCACATAGGTATGTATGAATAAATAAATGAATAAATGAGTGAACCCAAACTGACCCAATCCAGGAGCAATCATCACCGTAAGTCCTGCCTGAAATAGCCATTACCCTTCCATTTATAGGACTACACCACACAGTCTTCCCTCTTTATTGCAACACATACATGCATTCAAAGATGCGTGTGTGCATGTATGCACACGCGTGTATATGTTTATATTTACACACATGTACACACATCCACTCATTAAACACATATCCCTGTGATGTGTTGTTATCAACTTCCAAGAAAATTAAGATACCCAAATTACAGTCCCCAAGAAGCGTATCTGTTCACAGAGCAACTCAATCATGAACAGAAAGAGCCAAACGCAAGTCCATGCTTTGAAAGAGCAACATGAACTGCTTACTAAAATGCAGTCAGAGAGTGGCCCTCAATTTCTCACTGGGATAATCAGTAAAGAGTCTGAGAAGGTGGCAATCTCTTCAAAGGAAGAATTGGTCTCAGTTGTTCACTCTAGAGAATGGCCATGCTGGTCAGAGGCATGAACAAAAGCCCTAATGACATGGCTAGGTACCTCTGGGTAGGCCCGTTTAGCTGGTTGCAAGGTTCAGAAATGGGAGTGCTCAAAATTAGCGCTGGAAAGGCAGGTTGGTGCATGCCACTCTGGGAATAAACTTACCTCCATGCAACCAGCATGGAGCCTGCACATGGTGGATGTTCACTAAACACCTGTGGAGTAAATGAAGAATATGGAGTTCAGACATCGTTCAGGAAGCAACTGAACAAAGGGAAATTATAGAGGTTTCTGGATTGTTTGTCCTCCTGTCATAAGGTGCCATCAACTGCTCTGTGGATTTTCCTATGAGCTGCCTGCCACCCCTCGCTCCTCCCACCCACTTCACTATAAATGCCAGTCTGAGCAGGTGGGCACAGTGAGCCCCACCAGGGAGACCCAGTGACATAGATGGTCTGCTCAGGGTGATGCATGTTCCAAGGAGGGACCTCTCTGCCCCCCACCATTACCATCACTGTGACTTTCCCCAAGCCCTTCCCATTTTAATTCACTGCCTTTGTCTTTTCCAAGCCCCACACAGTCAGACTAACCTCTGCCACCTGCGCTTCCTGCCGCTGCCCAGTGGTTGGGGGAGGGGGACTAGCAGGGAGGAAACATTTTTGTATCATGGTGTAACATTGTGGGGACTAGCGGGGGGGCACGATGATTCAGGTAGAGGAGGTGCTTTTACAAAAAACCCTGATGCAGTAAGCATCCCCACCCAGCTCAGGGAATGCAGCTACCAGGTGGGAAGAGTTCTCTGGGGCTGGTCCCAGCTGTGGTCTTGCAGGGTCCCCCAACCCAGCGAGCACCTGTCCATCTCCCTGTCCAGACTCGGCTTCCAAGGAATAAGAAGGCCAAGACAGCAAAGTGGGATTATCACTCAGCACTTTTAATAAAACTTGTTCTTGACAAAGTACTTGCACATGCATTATTTATTAAGAACTGATGAAAACCCTGAGGGAAAGATATTGTCCCATCTTTCCAATGAGGAAACTGAGATCAGAGGTTACAGGTCATATAACTAGGAAACGGCAAGGTCTAGCCTGCAATATCGCCCAGCTCCAGCCGTTCCAGTACCACCAATGCCCCTTCAGATTTCAAATCCACTGTGTTGTCCCCCAGCCAAGTGGATTCTCCTCTGCAAATTGGTGGTGGCCTCATGCAAGATCCAGGTTACCGTGTCCAGCTAACTCGAGACAGGAAAAGATAGGCTCAGGAAAGAGAGGAAGGGTGTGCCCTCTGTCTGTGCTAAGGGAGGTGGGGAAGGAGAAGGAATTCTGGGCAGCCCCTTCCCACTGTGCTCCTACAATGAGCAGTTCTTCGGGCCAGGGACACGGCTCACCGTGCTAGGTAAGAAGGGGGCTCCAGGTGGGAGAGAGGGTGAGCAGCCCAGCCTGCACGACCCCAGAACCCTGTTCTTAGGGGAGTGGACACTGGGCAATCCAGGGCCCTCCTCGAGGGAAGCGGGGTTTGCGCCAGGGTCCCCAGGGCTGTGCGAACACCGGGGAGCTGTTTTTTGGAGAAGGCTCTAGGCTGACCGTACTGGGTAAGGAGGCGGCTGGGGCTCCGGAGAGCTCCGAGAGGGCGGGATGGGCAGAGGTAAGCAGCTGCCCCACTCTGAGAGGGGCTGTGCTGAGAGGCGCTGCTGGGCGTCTGGGCGGAGGACTCCTGGTTCTGGGTGCTGGGAGAGCGATGGGGCTCTCAGCGGTGGGAAGGACCCGAGCTGAGTCTGGGACAGCAGAGCGGGCAGCACCGGTTTTTGTCCTGGGCCTCCAGGCTGTGAGCACAGATACGCAGTATTTTGGCCCAGGCACCCGGCTGACAGTGCTCGGTAAGCGGGGGCTCCCGCTGAAGCCCGGGAACTGGGGAGGGGGCGCCCCGGGACGCCGGGGGCGTCGCAGGGCCAGTTTCTGTGCCGCGTCTCGGGGCTGTGAGCCAAAAACATTCAGTACTTCGGCGCCGGGACCCGGCTCTCAGTGCTGGGTAAGCTGGGGCCGCCGGGGGACCGGGGACGAGACTGCGCTCGGGTTTTTGTGCGGGGCTCGGGGGCCGTGACCAAGAGACCCAGTACTTCGGGCCAGGCACGCGGCTCCTGGTGCTCGGTGAGCGCGGGCTGCTGGGGCGCGGGCGCGGGCGGCTTGGGTCTGGTTTTTGCGGGGAGTCCCCGGGCTGTGCTCTGGGGCCAACGTCCTGACTTTCGGGGCCGGCAGCAGGCTGACCGTGCTGGGTGAGTTTTCGCGGGACCACCCGGGCGGCGGGATTCAGGTGGAAGGCGGCGGCTGCTTCGCGGCACCCGGTCCGGCCCTGTGCTGGGAGACCTGGGCTGGGTCCCCAGGGTGGGCAGGAGCTCGGGGAGCCTTAGAGGTTTGCATGCGGGGATGCACCTCCGTGCTCCTACGAGCAGTACGTCGGGCCGGGCACCAGGCTCACGGTCACAGGTGAGATTCGGGCGTCTCCCCACCTTCCAGCCCCTCGGTCCCCGGAGTCGGGGGGTGGACCGGAGCTGGAGGAGCTGGGTGTCCGGGGTCAGCTCTGCAAGGTCACCTCCCCGCTCCTGGGAAAAGACTGGGGAAGAGGGAGGGGGTGGGGAGGTGCTCAGAGTCCGGAAAGCTGAGCAGAGGGCGAGGCCACTTTTAATCTTTTTTCTGGGGTGTTTAGAGAGAAGGTGAACGATGGAGGAGAGGATTTGTTAGGACTCTGGGAGAGGCGAGACTGGAGAGGACGAAGGGAAATCCTGGTTTGGGGAATGGGTAGGAGTGGGGGTAACTGCTATTCGTAGGCAAAAAGAGCTGAGCAGGCTGGGAACAGCGCGGGTGGGCAAGGGTCAGCACTGCGGGCAGGCGGGTGGGTGTTAGGGGGCAGAAATCCTGCAGCCGAGGGTGCAGTAGAACACAGAAGAAAAAGCCTGCCAAACAAAAGTGGAACAGAGAAGCCAAAAAGGGAGATGAACATGAGTCAGTGAAGAAAAGAATGAAAGTTTACTGTTTAGCAGTGTGGATCTCTAATCCGACTTAAAACTCCTTGTTCCCGATTCCTATTCCTCCTAAGCCAGAGATCCCTGGGTCCAGGGTGAGGGCACGGCATTCATGCTTACCCACGGGCTGGTCAACAAAGAGGTGCTGACCTGAGAGTAGGGCACATAACCTCAGCCACTGGGGTACACTTACCACCCCCGCCCCCGTGTAGCTCCCTCCCCTATCCTGAAATCTCCCTTAGCACACTAAGTATTCTAGGTTAAACAGCCCAGATGTTCAGGGAGTTCATTCGCCACAAACACACACTAAAATGCAGACAATTTGCCTGTGAGATGAGGAAAATTCTCTGGAAGATTTAGGCCCTGAGAGCTGAAAAGGGACCCTAAACATTACCTGGTGACAACTGCCCTGAGGCCAGAGAAGAGAACTCACAATATTGGTATATTAACCGGTACCATTTGTAGTTAGGCTGTCATTAATCTGGGTGTAATGGGGCTCAGCTACAGAGAAGCGTATCCAGAGGAAATGTGGGGTTCCTGCAGTCAGCTGGGGCACCGAAAAGACCCAGACTTTAGAACCAGATAAAGGCTGAGTTCGAACCTCTGGTTCTTTTGTGATGTGGTGACCTTGGGCAAATTAATGTGTGAACCTCAGTTTCCTCAACTATAAAATGTAATGAACAATACCTACCACTTACTATTGCTGTGAGGAAGAAAAGAGAGTCAACATGTACCGTGTACAGATTATTGATGTAATTCAATGGTTCTTTTCCCCATCCTCCTAGGAGGTCACTGGGGAGACAGGGGGCAGGGTCAGCCCAGTGCCAAAGGATGGGCAGGATCTGAAGTGTGGAAATGGAGTAAGGCTGTGTCTGTGTCAGAGGTGGGTTGGGAAGATGCGAGACAAACATCACAATTTTGCCTAAGGTGAATCCAACCCACAAGTAGAGCACAGGCCAACAGCAGCTCACTAGTACACATACTTACACCAGCAGCTCACTAGTACACACACTTACACCAGACGCTCACTGGTACACACTCACACCAGAAGCTCATTAGAACACACACACCGTCAGCTTGCTAGTACACACACTTACACCAGAAGCTCACTAGTATACACTTACACCAGAAGCTCACTAGTACACACACTTACTCCAGAAGCTCACTAGTACACACACTTACACCCACAGAGACAAGCCCCACACCACACGGACTCACAAATGCAGAAGCAGAGTTGACCCTGCCCTCATGTACAGATAGTATGCTGGTGTGTAGTGAGAGGCGGCTAGTGTTCGCCACGCCTGTTGCATCAATAACTATTCCACAGAACAGCATACATGGTCAAGGAATATTTTTAATTTTTACAATGAGGACTGAGTGTTTGCTAAATGAAGAAATCAAAGGAGTACATTCTGGAGGGCTGGTAGACTCCCAGAGCCAGGGTTTTTGAGATGAGAGTGAAAATAAGCAGGCTGAGAGCAGAAAGAAAGAAAGTTCTGCAGATAGAAGTTAGGATATTACCACTTCGGCCCCAGCCCAGCCAGTAAATGTTTAGAAGCATAGTAGTAATTAGCAGGTAGGAGTTGTGGGGAGGAAAGGAAACTGACATGATGGGAAGCAGGACCAGCTACAAAATCTTCAGGACCAGCTCAGAATGAAAATGCCGGGGCTCGTGTTAAATCTTAGGATTTCAACATGGTGACAGCAGAGCACTAAACCAAGCAGGGGGCCCTTCTAGCAGGAGGCCCCATGGGGACCTAGGAAGGAGGTCACATCCATACAAATGTAAAGAAATGTCAGAGTAAATTTCCTCCATTGTCCAGGAGATTCGGAATAGGTTCTCCTAAGACTGATATTTCTTCATTTTAATAGAGTTGCTCAGAAATGAAAAACAATCAATGGGAAGAAAAAGAAAAAAAAAAAAGATAAGATGAGTAGGAGGGCAGGTCCAAAAGAAGTGATTCAGCAAAATGAAAGGGGTCCTCAGGGATTAAAGGGGATGAATTTACCTGTCATCCCTAAGAATCTACAAAGGAGATGCTCAGGACAGAAACTGTATCAACACAACTAGTAGCAAGAAGTTACTCTGATGATATCAGATGTTTATTTGGGAAACTTGCTAGTAGAGAAAGCTACATATAATATTTGGATGCAAAGGGACACAGAAGGTTGAAGAGTCCCTAATTTTGAAATAAGGGAAGATGACTAACTGTCTGAGCTGAGAAAACTCAGGGGTACCTGGAGGCAGAGGAATGGATAAGATGACTTCATGCACCACAAAAAGAAAAAACCTCACATTCTCATGAACGCACTGTAAAACCAAAGGATGTCCTCATATGAATGCAAAAAATAGGCCATCTGTAAATCCAAAGAAAGCCCCCAGATCCAAAATGTCTCCCTCATCCCAGATTCCCCTTCATTCCTGAGCACCTTAGATTTGGTATAAATAACCTGCTTGGGAGGGGGCTTTTTGAATTCGTACATAATTTAACCTTCACACAGTTTCTGCAAAGTCAGAATGGTGATTATTACCTCACATGCAGAAAAAAGTGATAGGAATTTCTGTCTTAAAAGTCTTGTTGGTGGACAAAGGAAGTTCTAGGATTTGGATCTTGTTTTTTTGGGTTCCAATCCCTTGCTCCAGTTAAAAAACTACCACATAAAATGGTGAGAAGTAGGTAGGCAAGTTTTTATTGATAGAGAGGAAATCAAATAATGGCAATGAGGAGACATCACCTGGAATGTTAGGCAGTGCCTAACTGGGGGATGGACAGACAATGGGCAGTGCCAACCCATAGGGTGGATACAAAAGACAGGCAAGGAAGGGGTAGAACCATCAAAGAGGAATAGGCTGGTGACCCCAAAGCAAGGAGGACCTAGTAACATAATTGTGCTTCATTATGGTCCTTTCCCGGCCTTCTCTCTCACACATACACAGAGCCCCTACCAGGACCAGACAGCTCTCAGAGCAACCCTAGCCCCATTACCTCTTCCCTTTCCAGAGGACCTGAAAAACGTGTTCCCACCCGAGGTCGCTGTGTTTGAGCCATCAGAAGCAGAGATCTCCCACACCCAAAAGGCCACACTGGTGTGCCTGGCCACAGGCTTCTACCCCGACCACGTGGAGCTGAGCTGGTGGGTGAATGGGAAGGAGGTGCACAGTGGGGTCAGCACAGACCCGCAGCCCCTCAAGGAGCAGCCCGCCCTCAATGACTCCAGATACTGCCTGAGCAGCCGCCTGAGGGTCTCGGCCACCTTCTGGCAGAACCCCCGCAACCACTTCCGCTGTCAAGTCCAGTTCTACGGGCTCTCGGAGAATGACGAGTGGACCCAGGATAGGGCCAAACCTGTCACCCAGATCGTCAGCGCCGAGGCCTGGGGTAGAGCAGGTGAGTGGGGCCTGGGGAGATGCCTGGAGGAGATTAGGTGAGACCAGCTACCAGGGAAAATGGAAAGATCCAGGTAGCGGACAAGACTAGATCCAGAAGAAAGCCAGAGTGGACAAGGTGGGATGATCAAGGTTCACAGGGTCAGCAAAGCACGGTGTGCACTTCCCCCACCAAGAAGCATAGAGGCTGAATGGAGCACCTCAAGCTCATTCTTCCTTCAGATCCTGACACCTTAGAGCTAAGCTTTCAAGTCTCCCTGAGGACCAGCCATACAGCTCAGCATCTGAGTGGTGTGCATCCCATTCTCTTCTGGGGTCCTGGTTTCCTAAGATCATAGTGACCACTTCGCTGGCACTGGAGCAGCATGAGGGAGACAGAACCAGGGCTATCAAAGGAGGCTGACTTTGTACTATCTGATATGCATGTGTTTGTGGCCTGTGAGTCTGTGATGTAAGGCTCAATGTCCTTACAAAGCAGCATTCTCTCATCCATTTTTCTTCCCCTGTTTTCTTTCAGACTGTGGCTTCACCTCCGGTAAGTGAGTCTCTCCTTTTTCTCTCTATCTTTCGCCGTCTCTGCTCTCGAACCAGGGCATGGAGAATCCACGGACACAGGGGCGTGAGGGAGGCCAGAGCCACCTGTGCACAGGTACCTACATGCTCTGTTCTTGTCAACAGAGTCTTACCAGCAAGGGGTCCTGTCTGCCACCATCCTCTATGAGATCTTGCTAGGGAAGGCCACCTTGTATGCCGTGCTGGTCAGTGCCCTCGTGCTGATGGCCATGGTAAGGAGGAGGGTGGGATAGGGCAGATGATGGGGGCAGGGGATGGAACATCACACATGGGCATAAAGGAATCTCAGAGCCAGAGCACAGCCTAATATATCCTATCACCTCAATGAAACCATAATGAAGCCAGACTGGGGAGAAAATGCAGGGAATATCACAGAATGCATCATGGGAGGATGGAGACAACCAGCGAGCCCTACTCAAATTAGGCCTCAGAGCCCGCCTCCCCTGCCCTACTCCTGCTGTGCCATAGCCCCTGAAACCCTGAAAATGTTCTCTCTTCCACAGGTCAAGAGAAAGGATTCCAGAGGCTAGCTCCAAAACCATCCCAGGTCATTCTTCATCCTCACCCAGGATTCTCCTGTACCTGCTCCCAATCTGTGTTCCTAAAAGTGATTCTCACTCTGCTTCTCATCTCCTACTTACATGAATACTTCTCTCTTTTTTCTGTTTCCCTGAAGATTGAGCTCCCAACCCCCAAGTACGAAATAGGCTAAACCAATAAAAAATTGTGTGTTGGGCCTGGTTGCATTTCAGGAGTGTCTGTGGAGTTCTGCTCATCACTGACCTATCTTCTGATTTAGGGAAAGCAGCATTCCCTTGGACATCTGAAGTGACAGCCCTCTTTCTCTCCACCCAATGCTGCTTTCTCCTGTTCATCCTGATGGAAGTCCTCAAACACCATTTCCATACCCAGGCATTCTGGGTCCCCACTGGAGGGTTAGTCTGAAGGGCAATGGCTGGGCTTTGGAAAACCAGCAAGTTGAGGACAGAGAGGAAGGCACACAGCAAACCATAAGCCCTTACCCAGTGCAGGACAGAGGATGCGGGCAGACCTATGGGTTACAATGTCTGGTCATTTCCCAATTCCAGATTAAACTGTCACCTGTTTTACCTTTAGTTTTATTAGTTTGTAGTCTTAACACCTCCAGCTTCTCTTGTTTCAGGATTTGGGCTTAAAATTGAGTGCTACTCTGCATGTCTAGTTTGAAATACTAGAGAAGGCAGAGTTGAGACAACTGATATGTAAAGCCTGGGGAAGAGTGATTTCTCAGGAGCGAGACACACTAAGTCAGGAGCAATGGGATATAGGGCCCAGTGGGGGCTGAAGTGCTATGTTCAGAGTAGCCCTTCCAATGGGCTTCTTCGTTTGATGGATGGAAACCAAACCACTCCAAACACAAGGTGTTAACTGCTCCTACTTGGGCAAAGACAGTTATCCTGTCAAGGTAAATTCTGCATACAGGCTGAATGCATTGTGGTAAAACACTACATGGAGGAAGAGGAGGAATGGGATTAAAGAAAAGGAGGCCTAGAACAGTGAGAGGGGCTGAGAGAGGCCATGTCGAAGTTAGTTGAGGAAGACTGTCAGGGGAGAGAAGAGAAGTCTGAAAGCAGAGAAAGGTTGGGAAAGAGGAGGGAGCCCTTTGTTGAGAGCCTGCTTGCTTCAGGCCTCAGGCTGGACGCTGCTACCTGTGCTGTCTGCATCTGCACAATGATCCCAGGAACAGGTATTATTTTCCCCATGTTATAGATGTGGAAACTGAAGATTACAGTTCAAATTACTTATGAGTTGTGAAACCGTGGCATGTTCTGCTGAAGATGGCAATTCTGGAAACTTTTTCCAAGTAGTTACCAGGATGGTGGGATTGCTCCTGGTATCTGGGTGATCCTAGAGCAGCTTCTCCCAAACTCCAGGCAGGGCCCATGGTAACACACTGAAGACACCTTAATGCCTTGGTGTCTTTGTTTCCCACGGCTGCCGTAACAAAGTACCACTGGTGGGTTTAAAACAATAAAAACTTATTCTCTCACAGTTCTGGAGGCTAAAGATACAACACCAAGATGTCAGCGGGTCATCCTGTATGACAGCTCTAGGGGAGAATCCTTTCCTGCTTCTTCCCATGTCTGATGGCTTCTGGCACTCCTTGGCTTGTGCCAGCATCGCAGCAATCTCTGCCTCTGTCTTCACATGGCATTTTCCCTGTGTCTCTGCATTTAAGCTCCCCTCTCCTTTCTCTTTTCAAGGCATGGTCTTAGGATTTAGGGCCCACCCTAAATCCAGAACAATTTTATTGAGAGATCTTAACAAATTATACCTGCCAAGTCCCTATTTCCAAATAAGGTCACATTCTGAGTTTCTGAGTGGGCATGAATTCTGGGGGAACACTCTTCTTCCCACTACACTGGGGATCTTGGAACTGGAGAAGAGGGTTCTCTGGTGGCAGCTTGCAAAGACCAGGAAAGGATGTGCTCACAGCAGGGATGGGGCCCAGGAAACTCATCACATGCCGGTCATTTCCATCAGTCGTAACTATCTCTAGACTGCTCAAAATGCAGTATAGTATTTTGTTGGCTATTGTTGTTACATATGTGCTGGTTTGTTTTTATATTGGCTAAAAAAAAGCCTAAAACAAAGGGGACAGGCTTTAGGCCCTAGACCAACATTCATGCTTCCCACTCCTTAGACCTGCGTGGAGGCAGCAGGCATATCCTTGTGGCTCCTCGCAAAGGTAGGACAGGAGGATGAGCAGCCGAGGGAACAAGGAAGCACTTCAGAGAGAGCAGAACTGTGGGGGCCAGAGGGCGCAGGCTAGGACTGGGGATATTGGAGGATAGTGGTTTGTGTGGGCAGAGCTGTGAGGGGCTGAGCAGCTGTAGTGCAAGATTAGAGTGGAGGTGGGAAGGGGGAAACACCTTGTAGAAGAAAGATAGTGTCTGTTAGTTTGATGGCCATCATCTTGGGGACGTGGAAAACGGAGGCATTAGCAGGTGGGAGGATGTGGGAGGAGTTTCTTGTTAGTACCCTAGAGTTTGCAATCAGACCCAGGTGAATGAATTCTCCTCTGGAGGATAAAAGGCCATGTGAATTTTACCCTCTCAGTCCAGGGGACTTGACAGAGATGGAGAGAGCTTCAAGCTCCATCTGGTCCTCCCAACACCCTACTTGACCCAGGGCAGGTTCCTCTTCCCAAGTTTTTACAGCCATTTCCTTGTCTCTCTCAAACAACACCCCCAACATTCAGCACGCATGCACTGGGAAGTGAATCTCTTCTGCCTCTACCTGCCTTTTTCTCTAGAATCGAAGTGGATTCTTCTGGGCCAATTCTGGGCATCCTCTCCATTCTTCCTCAGGTAACACTGAGAAAAGATGAGTTCGATGTAGGGCAATAATATAACTTACTGTAAGAATTGAGATACCATTGAAAATGAAAGGGGCCCATTAGCCACATGGGATGCTGGAACAAGAGGAGTAAACCAGGAATGGTCACAAGGCCCCTCCAGTGGAGAGGCTCTGAGGGAGTTTCTGGGTGCAGCATTATTCCTGCAAAGGGAGGTACTAAAGGGACTCCACACCAACCTGGACTTGTTGACTGGTTCAAACCTCAGGGCTGACCTAAGCATCATCCTATGAAGAAACCATGTGGACAGAATATAGGGCAAGGCAGGGACAACAGCATCCTACACAGGTGACACCCAGTGCAGAGCAAAGCATGCTTACTTATTGAAAAGAGTTACAAGAAAAGCATCTCTGGAAGAATGTCTAGGGTACCCCAAGTTCTCGCTGAACTTAGCATGGAGTAGCTCTTAAAGAGAAGAACTTCACCTGTGACCTTTACAGATTTATTTGGGAAATTGGAAGAAAAAGGGGGTCATCCAAATGGTTGCGTAATAAAATAACTTCTTTGTGGGGGAAATGGGATTCCCGTGAGCATCCCAGAGCCCCAGTCACCATCACTTCCTGAGAGGAAGAATCTTCCCATCAGCACCAGTATCCATAGAGATTTTCCTACTACTAGGCTCATTGCTGGGCCACATAAGGTTGGGGAGTGGGGATGGTCGGGAGCTGCTGGGACAATCCAAGAGAAAAAGGCTTTTTCTCTCTCGAGGGAGTGATTTCATAATAAGAGTTTGAGATAAGGGCAATGGATCCTAATAGATATTAAAGTCTCCATTTCCGTCCCTGAGCCATTTCCTCATTTTTCTTCTGTAGTGGCCCAGAAAGGAGGGGTGGAGATAGACTGATATCAGCCCCTAACAGTCTGTGTGACACACAGCCCCAAATGTCCTATATAGGAGAATCTTTGTGAGGTTTCTCTGGTTATAAATGAATGTGGGAATGGAATATTGGTGCTTTGAGACCTCTGTTGAAGCTGCATAGTGAAAACAAAAATGAGTTTTTGCTTCTTCCTCAGGTAACACTGAGCAAAGATGTCTAGCCATATTTTCATTTAGGGGTGTTGGGAGATGCTGGTGGAGATCACGGGAATGGCTAAAACCCAGAGGTGAACTCAGCTTTGCCATGGACCCATGAGTGAATCCATTTTCTGCTTCTCTACTGACATCTCAGACTCATCACCAGGTTCACTTTTACCATGTCCTAGAAACTCCCCTATGCTATATAAGAAGACTCATAGTATAGAATGGCATGAAGCATGGCCAACAGTTTTAATCACAGTTCATTTCCATTGCTTGTGGCAAACTCCCATGGCTCCCAAAAAGCTGATTTCTGAGGCTTGGGACCCCATAACCTAAGACTACCCAACCCACCTAGACTCAAACACAACATATTCCCTGCCTTATTCTAGGGTTGAATGTTCTTTCCTCCTATCTGGAAGCCTTCCTTTTCTTGCTGTCTGTGTTTGTGAATTTGAAGTTCCTGGGTTCCTTAACATCCCTACATCTCTGCCTGTCCTTTTATTTTTTTTATTGTGGCAGAACTTATGAATCATCTCCCTCCAACAGACATGATATTTTCTATTCGCCATCCCCCTCTCCTATAGACTCAACTACATGCCTTTCTCTCCCATCTCTATCCATAGTCTTTATCTCTGCTGCTGGTGGACTCCTGAGAGGGCTTCTTGGGGAATATGGGGCCCCAAAAATGAGTGAATGGCTTCTGTAGGTCAGCAAAAAGGATCTGAAAATGAGCCTACACCTGTGACTATTTCCAAAGGATTTTTATCAGCTTGCTCTGCAACTGATCTCAACTGCCCTCTGTGAATATGAGCATTTAATCCACACAACATGTAAAGCTAATTCTCAGCTCCTTTTTGCCAACCTACAGTTGCTATTCACTTATCTCTGGGACCCTATAGTCCCCCCAAAAGCCCTCTCAGGTGTCTACATGCAACAGAGTGCCCATATTCTGGCAAGAACCCATAAATCTATGCGAGACAGAATCATTAGAAACTTTAAAACTTGAGTTTTTGGAATGGAAAAAAAGCATGTAGTGGATGGATGAAAACATTATCATAGCAAAGAAGATGTTGTAATGCAGAGACCTGGGTTTAAGCCTTAGTTCTGTCATTTATCAACTATGTGACCCTGGGCAAGTGATCACCTCTGAGACTCAGTTTTCCTTGCTGTAAAATGAGCTCAATTACAAGCCCAACTTCATAAGATCGTTTTATCTCATTTAACCCACACAACATGTAAAGCTTTTAGAACAATATCAGTAAGTATTAGGTGTTATTATAACTACTACCAACCTGAAGATTTTTTTCAGGCAAAACATTTTCAGTTTTCTCAATTTTGTTATTATAGGGCACAGTTTTGAGCACGTCCTACTTTCCATAGCCCAATCACTCCCTTCTGAAAACATTAAAGTTTGTTTTTATCCCTCTATCTTTTAAAAAATGTGTTGTACAGGACCTGACCCAGCACCAGGTGGGTTCTGACCTACAAAGAGTAAAGGGGGAACTTTGCCTCCTCTTTCTCAACATCTTATACGTTAGTTGGTTCCATTAGGACAATTTATCTACTTTTTGTACGCTCACCATCCCGTTGACTCACAGAGCTCACTTTGACTCACCCCCTGGGTGTTTTTTCACATATCCTTCTTTCACATATTCCCCTTCCTGTGTTCATATAGATGGTTTTCTCTGTTTGGTGGGGGAGGAGGGAGAGAGAGAATGTTTATCATGTTTATTCAGCTTATCTCTCCAACCTATTAAGATTCTGCAGGATTCTAATTTTGTGATTCATTATATTTATCCTTCTATCCTCATGCCATCTCAGATATGATCATCTTGCCTGATTCATTACTATAAGAGTGATTCATGAAATTCATAGCAAGATCACAGCTCAACAGAGACCCCACATTCCCCAAGCCTTGTCTGAAGTCCAGGAGCTGCTAAAACACAGAGAATTAGCTTCTGGTCCTCCTCTGGCCCCAGCTGCATGGCTCTGAACAACTCATTTTTATTCTCTGGGCTTATATGTCCTCCTCTGTGATATGAGGACATTGGGTAAAGTGATCTCTAAGAATCTTCAAACTCTGCTCTTCAGATTCTCTGATTCAAAGCCTGCAGTCTCTGAAGTACCAAGAGAATGGGAACTCAGAGAAGCTAAGCTCTTCCTGGCCTCAAATCATACATATCTGTGACATAGTCTCAGACAGTCTGATGGTGGAAGAGGACAGCACTGGCACTGGAGTCCCACAGTTAGCAAGAGTCAACTGGAGCCCTGACACCTGTTCCCTGGCCCTCCTCCATCAAAAAGGTCTAGGGCCATGAATGACAAGAAAATTGTGTTAAAAAGGAGAGTGGCCCTGAATCAAAAGGTGGGAAGTAATGAGATGTAAATCGGGGTCTTTTAGGTAATAGCTGACAACTGGGGTAGGAATGGGGGTTCTGAGCCCAGTGCTGGCTGCCGGGCTGTTTATCTCTGAGTCACATCAGCACCAAGCCACAGCAGCCACCTGCCCTAGCTCCATCTCTTACAGTCACAACAGGATGTGGTTTGACATTTACTGGGTCCTGCATCTGGGGTGCCTGTGAAAGTCGCTCCCTCCACCCACCCACCTTCAGAGCATCATGAGAACCACACTCACCGCATCCGGCACCCAACCCCCTCCTATGCTGCTCTTTCTACCTGGGCCCCTGGTTAGCATCCTGGCAGTAGAAATAGAACTTCAGAGGGGAGGGGCAGGGTCTCTAGAGGGGAATCTAGGTATCCCAGATCCATGTGCAGGCCTCCCCTCCCCCAACACATCTTTACACCTGCTGGAGGTTATGCACAAGATCAAAGGCCACAGTGGGCACCATGAAGATAGTGGAGAATGAAAAACAGCTGCAATAACTGCTCTGACCCAGTTGGGATCCCTTCTGGTCCCACATCACTCAGGCAACTCTCTCTTCCCACCTGCCCCCCAAACTCCCTTCCACCTCCCTCCACATGTATCCTCCCACTTCCTTCCACTCATGTAATGAGAGGTGCTGATGAGTCACAGGAGAGGTAGCCCTAGATAACCAACAGACTGCAAAACGGACAGTCCCTGGATGTCTGAGCCAGTGTTTGTGCACTGCATTGACTGGCTCCTCGTAGTTTTTTCCTGTAGTTGCTAAAGCCTGTAAGGTCTGTGTGATGAATATTTTCTAACACATCTTAGAAGAACATAATGCAAGACAGAATGAAAAACTAGAGAGGCAGAAACCCCCAAAGTAAGTAGTGGGAAATTACCAGGTATATAATAGGTCAAGCCTGCTCTGCAGGAGCTCAAGGGATTGTAGCATTCTTATCCCAAACCACTGAATCCTGGGCAAAAATAAGAAGTCGCCTAATTTTAGTATTACCAGCTTCCCAACCCCGGGCATTCTTCATCTTACTCAAGCTGTCCAGAGGCCCCAGGGTGACTCCCTATAAGTCCCATGGGTGGCTGAGATCTATTTAGAGGCACAAGGGTATCTCCTTATAAGTCCCATGGGTGGCTGAGATCTATGAGAAGCATCTTGGGGAGAGTGCCTCTGGCCACCAGCATGTGGCCCTGAATCTTCCATGTGCAACTGGCCAGGGAAGGAGATATATGGAAATAGTCATCCTGCACATCTGCAAAATCAGATGCAAATCCTGGAAGCTCTCCTAGAAAAGAGACAGCCTCATCTGATTAAAGGGGCAAGTGAGTTTGATGAATTATTGGCAAGAGACAGCATGTCTGAACAGGATCGGTCATCCTAAACTGCTTTCCTTTGTCCCCTGGAATTATAATGACTGTGGATTTCTGAGTCCTAGATGGTATGGAAACAGTTATGGGAATGAACAGTCTTGCATGAATAAGAGCAGATAACATGGAGGATGTTAATTTGTTCTGCTGAATTTAGGTGGCTTTCAAGCCTCTCCTTCAATGCTCACCTGTCTCTAGGATGCTCTGTGCAATGATCAGGACTTTTTTTCTTCAGATTCTCTAAAACTTACAATATTCACATAGACCTGCACATTTCTACACAAACTGACTCTCCTGCTTGCAATGTCATTTTGCTTATATAACTATTAGCCTCCTAAAGAGCTAAACTTAGCTACAATTTTATGTCCTTTGTGAAGTTTTCCAGAATTTTTGCAGTATATTACAGGAAGGAAAAATCTGCCTCAAGTCTCTACTAATTCTACTTGACTAGTGGTGATTGCCTGAGACATTTCTCTATTAATGAGGATTCTGAAGCTGTATAAAGCCCCTACAGAATCAGCATCTGAATAGGCACAGCATAGGGTTCAAGTTTCATGGTTTTGCCATCCAAGCATGTTTAGCATTTTAAATATTAATATTTATTACATACTTGTAGTTTATGATTTGAAATTTTTTAACTAAGTCTTCCTCTTGGGTAAGTTGTAATGAAAATAATCTTGTAAGCTTAAGGAGCGGAAAATAATACCTGTTGAAAATTAGAGCTTGTAATAGGGCTTTATAAACACCATCTCATTTAATACACATAACAATTCAATGAGGCAAGTTTTATAGGTGGGGAAAAACTTGAAACCTAGTAAAATTAAATAACTAGGTCAAGTTCATAACAACTAGCAAATTTTTAGACTACAAAAATCAAGTGCTTTGACTAAATCATGCTATGACTGTGCCCAACACCATCTCGAGTACATTTTATTTTTCTTTTTAATCCTCAAAATGACTCACTGTGTCCAGCAAATAATAGCTGCTTAATACATAGGTGATCCTTAAAGTTCAGTAGGGACCCCTGGGCATTATTCCATATGTTCTTGATCACTCTGTGTCTACATCTCAGATTTTCCACTTCAGATTAAATGATACTAGAAATATGCACGTGTCTGGATTGATCTAGGTTAAATGATGCCCGGAATGGAGTATTTTAAGACATCTTGTGCCCCCTTGTGGAGGGGAAGGGACATTAGAAAGAAAATCTTTTTAAGAACAAGGACTAGGGAGGGATGGGGATGAGGAAGGAAGCTCAGTTGCCAAGGTAACCATCGAACCTCTTCCCAGCCATCCACATCAGCCTTTTCCTCTCCTTCATTTCCATCCAAGTGATTTCTCTTTTTTAGAGCTCAACCATTACACACACGGTCCTCTTCTTGCGTATCTCTTGGATCACCATCTGTCTGTCTTTGCTACAAAGGAAGGGCTACAAGATAGTACAACAGGACATTTTTTAAAACCTCAAACATCACCAAAATTTCTAAGTGCAAGTTTATTTTTATTTTTTTTTCTTTTGAGACAGAGTCTCGCTCTGTCACCCAGGCTAGAGTGCAGTGGCATGATCTTGGCTCACTGCAACCTCCACCTCCCAGGTTCAAGTGATTCTCTTGCCTCAGCCTCCCAAGTAGCTAGTATTACAGACGCCTGCCACCACGCCCGGTTAATTTTTGTACTTTTAGTAGAGACAGGTTTCACCATATTGGCCAGGCTGGTCTCAAACTCCTGACCTCAGGTGATCCTCCTGCCTCAGCCTCCCAAAGTGCTGGGATTACAGGCATGAGCTACCACGTCTGGCCTAAGTGCATGTTACCTATACTAACAAAACCACACTTCTGCCTCGAATGAGAACAGTCTCCTGAACATCTTGCCTCTTTGCCTGACTCAAAGCCTCAGGTCTAAGCCTCCCCATAATTTCTAGTCTCAGCAGAAAGATCAATGACAGGAGACTCTCCAGGTGATGAAATTAATCAATTAAGTAACCTGGGTTGGCATCCTCCCGTTTGTTCACCAGCTCACCTCCTGCCACAGGTATATCCTTTCTCTCAGCCATATATGCACAAACCCCCTCCCCACGGCACACATAGAAGAATTTGGAAGACTAGAAAATCAGGCAAGGTATAGCACACCTTGAGGGCTGGAGTATGGTAGCCTGGGCCGGGACATCCATACATTGAGAACTTGACTATGTGCAGGCAAATCACAGGTTCTGCACACATACAATTTTTTGTTCTCCCTGAGAACTTAGTAGAGTCTTTTGTAGAATTCTCGCTTTATTCCATTGCTTTCACATTGGCCAGCAGTCAGAAACCTACTTACAAATATCCTCCACCCAGTCCCTAAGTGAAGGCCCCTGGGGAGTATGGTTAGGGCTCAGGAGAGGGTGGGGTTTTTGCACAGATGTCTGCCCCACCCAGCTCAGTGTGACACTCCAGGCACAGAGATAGAAGCCAGAGTCACTGAGGAGGAGCTTCTTAGAACTCAGGATGAACTGCCGGTCCTGGGGTCTGGAGGCTGAGAGATTCTGGGGCACCTCAGAGCTGATCTGGCCAATACCAACGGAGTAGAAGAGCAGCTGGAGGCCCCTGCCTGCAGCCTGTCGGTACCAGTATAGGTTGGGGTTTGATGTTCCCTCCACAGTGCACTCCAGAGAGAGCGGGCTGCCCACAGGCTGCACCAGGGTCGCTGGCCATTGATGAATAGTCTGAGATCTGACCCCTGTGGGAAAGATAAAGTGCCATTTACAGAGGAGCACCCCAGCCTGGCTTGCCTTCCCCAGACAGAGGGGCAGCTCAAGCTCTTGCATGACACAGGCACCTGGAATCCATCATGGGGAGTAGACTGGGGGAGCCAAGGATGCAAAGCATCCCTGGGCCAGGGAAGACCAACAGAACGAACTCCTTCTCAGGAGATAGAGAGAACTAAGAATCATCAGATCAGCCCCTAAGGCTAAATTCCCATATCTGTTCCAGACAATCAGGAATAGACTCAAGAGTGTCAAACCAACAGCTCAGACTCTGCATTCACGGGATTGGGGTGAGGGTGAGGATGAGAAAAGAGGCTTGCCAGAGAGGAGGGCACCCACCAAAGAAAGTGCCCAGGAGAAGGGCAAGGAGAGAGCAGAGCATCATCCAAGCCAGCCTTTCCTTCAGCTAGTCTGGGGGACAGACGCCTCCTCTTCTGGGCCAGTGATGTGGTCAGGCTGCTCCCTCTGGGAGATCTGCTGCCAGAGCAGAGGAATCCTACCCCATGAGCTGGGGAGGAAATGAGGCTAGTCTTCTTTTAAGAGTGTGGTGAATCACCCCCAGCCTCCCTGGGAACCAGCTATACTCTGCACTTGTTATCTTCTTTGCATTCCTGCTGACATCCTGGTATGTAAATATATTTAATGACTCATTATTTACCTGTAAACTAAAGGTAACTCTCCAGCTCCCCCGGGAGACATCAGAAGCCTGGGAAAGCTTCAGAGAAACTGTGATACTGATAGAAGGATGAAAAAAGATTTTAGTTTATCTGAAATTGGAAACTAGAGCTAGACATGTTACCTGGGAGATGAAAGGATAGGGCTCAAGAGATTCAGGTATTTTGGGGTAATCAAAGCAGAAATGCTCAGTTCTGAGGGCAGGAAGCTTCTATGACAGCCAAAGGGATCGCCTGCATAATCTTCATCCCTGGCAGACAGATTTTGAGACCTGGACAGGCATAATTAACTCCTGAACTGATCAAAGTTGGAATCTGCTCCATGTGTCTCTAATGGGCCAACTAGATCTAATTTATCCTCTAAATGCAATATGAGTAATAGGAAACATCACAGAGACTTGGAATCATATGGATTTGGGTTCATTTCACAGCTCTGCTTCTTGCTGGCTTGGGAACTCTCAAGCAAACCCTGATTCTCAATTTTCTTATCTATAAAGTGAAAATAATGATGACAATATCTAAAAATTGTTGAAAGATGCATTTTGCCTGGTGCACTGCAGGCAGGCACTCTTACATATGTTGGCTTTTTTTTTTTTTTTTTTTTTTTTTTTTTTTTTTTTGACTCCCTATGTCTGCAGCAAAGATTGGGAGATTTACAATGGCATGGGGTGGAAGGTAGGGGCTGAAGGGATCACGAGCCACAAAAAACACAGTCAAGCCACGAATTCATAATAGTAAGGATTCATAATAGCTAAGCATGGGACTCTGCTAGGTAGCTGCTAAAATGTCATTCTGCTGAAATGGGACAAAAGACCTTCAGATGCCTGGAGGACACCAGCACACCCTTGGAAACTCCTCTTCCCTCTGTCTTTGCCATGCTCTGTATTCTGAAGGATTCATATTCAGAACAATTACTTAGTTTGGGTTGGATGTGGTGGAGCGGTTTGAGATGAAAACCCAGGAAAGAAAGCCGTAAAAGTGGCTGAACAGGGAGAATAAGCTTTAAGCAAATAAAGCATTTGTAACACTTTCCCATTTCATCAGGGCCTAGTGATGTCATATGTTTGTTGTTGTTGCTGATGCTACAGTAACACAATTCCAAGTTAATGTTGGGGTTCTTGCTTCTGACAGTTTTGGCTGTAGCACATTTTTTTGTTTGCATTTGAATACACCATATGTATAGGGGAATGTTTTGTTTTTTATCATTTCAAAATGGAATTAATCCTCTTATAACATTTATTTAAATGATAAATCAAGTGGTAAATATAGTTTGCTTGCAGTGAACATTTGGAACATATGATGAAAAATAGCTATAGCCAACGCAAGAGCAGTTTTCATTGAACAGTTGTTCAATCTCAGTTTTTAATAAATCTGATAATATAATATCTGTGCATGTTAGGATTGCAGAGAGTGAAGCCAAAATAAATATGTGCACACATAGCCTATTCCTCCCTTTCTTTCCATTTCTGTTCTCTTTCCTCTTTGCTTTTGAAATTTTTATTTAGTCCTGAGTGGGGATGGGGTGGAGAGAAAGTGGACAGTGGGTGGTGGGAGATACAGGGAGAAAGAATGAGAATTGCTCTTGTTCTCAAGGGTACCGCATCACGTTTTCCTCTGGCTGGCAGTCTTTAACACCAGCGTATCCTATGAGACCTGACTTCACTCATCAGCTGCATCAGCTCAGTGTCATTACCACATGTAGACAGCAATGTAATCCTCCTTCTTAGAGATGCTGCAGCAGATTGGAGGGTGAAGAGATGTATCAGTCAGATCAGAGTAACCAGCTGGCTCCTGGCTCCTGATCATTGTCACAGCTCAGTAGCTGGAAGCTCCTTCCATATGGCTGATGCCTTTAAAAAAATCTCCTCAATCTCCATCCCCATCTGCAATACTGTTTAGTTATTCAATCATTTAAGTCATTCATGTATTGAAAAGAGGATGGGGATATGATCCCTCTGCTCTGTGGCAGTAGATCTACTAATGGGAGAGTCCTGGCCGCACATCTGGCCTGGGTCTGGAGGTGCCCTACGGAATTGAAAGCTGGCTGGAACTGTCATCTTAACATGTCCTGGTCATCTTAACGTGTCCACCTCTCTGGCAAGCCTCTTTTCAAGTCTTTTTGTTACCATCTTCAGCTTTTTCCCTCCATACTAGATTCTTAATGAATTGCTGCCAACAAGAGAAAGCTTTATACATGAAGAGAATGGCAATAAGAACTAACTCGTCTTTTTAATTTTAAAACTGGTATATATTCCTATATAATAGGAATGGAAGATACTTGCAAAGCCTATTTGTTCCTCTACAGAAGAGTTAAAAATTACCTGGGCTAATGGAAAGAAGGGAGAGTCAGCCAATTAGATGCTCCTGAATGCCCTGAATTGTGACTTACCTCTTCTTATCCACATCCTGATCAAGGAAAGGGATGAGAGAGAGGTGGAGAGAGAAGAAATGGAAATTCAAAAGTTTTGACGGCAGAGGAAAATTGTGCTTATTTCCAGAATGAGACGAACAAGGTCCTGGGTCCCTACATGTCATACTGGCTAGAGACTGGTAAGTAGAAATGACTTGTGGTCAGCAGAATAATGGCTCCCAAGGATGTCCACATTCTAATCCCCAGAATCTGTGCATGTGTTAGATTACATGGCAAAGGGGAATTAAGGTTGAAGATGGAATTAAGGTTTCTAATTGGATGCCCTTAGAACAGGGAGAGTAGTCAGAATTAATCAGGTGTGCCCCATACAATCACAAGCATCTTCAACATGGAAGAAGGAAGCAGAAGAGAGTCAAAGAAAGAGATGTGGACATGGAAGCAGGCAAGAGAGATGCCATGCTGCTGGCCCTGGAGGTAGAAGGGGGCATGAGCTAAGGAATGAAGGTGGCCTCTAGAAGCTAGGAAAGGTAAGGAAATGGGTTCTCTTCTAGAGCCCTCAGGGAAGAATGCAGCCTAGCTGACAGCTTGATTTTAACTCGGTGAAACCTGTGTCAGACTTCAGAGTTACAGAACTGTAAGATAATAAGTTTGTGTTGTTTTAAGCCACTAAGTCTGTAGTAATTTATTAGAGCAGCAGTGGAAAACATACATGGCTCTAGAATGTGTCTTAACAGAGGGACCTGAGGTAGTCTCCAAGAATCCCCAAAGATCTCAGGATAGATCAGGAATAGCCATTTTCTCATTCACAGGGAAACAGATTAACTGAGAGAAGCCATCAAGCCTGAAGAGACATCGTGTTTGAAATGTGTAAGGCACAGTGTACCCGCCGTGGATCAAAACAACCTGAAGGACAGACAGACAGACACACCGAGGATCAGCAGATATCAGTGGGGACAGGTGCTGATGATGGTGCAAATGAGAGTCATGAAGGAAAGTTAAATGATGACCAAAGACCAAGTACCTTCCCCACAATGCTTTGACAAGCGCTTTTATAAGCACCCTGGAATTTAGACACTACCCGGGGAGAAAAGGAAAGGGAGACAAGCATGAATTGTCTGAGAAACCCCTGAATTAATCATGTGTACCCCAATGCAACAAGGATCTAGATATAGAATAATTTTAATTATAGAAAACAAAATTATATTTTACCCACCCATATTTGATGCCCATGAATTTCACATCTACCTTACGTGCACATAAAATTCAAGCTTAGATAGACGGAAAACAAAAAATCAAGAAGCAATATTTGCCTTCTAATAACTTATCTATTGGAGGAGGTAAAAGATAGAAAAGTAGTTCAGATGACAAATACTAAAAGAGTTAGGAACTTCTGCTTCCACTTACGATGAAGGAACTTGTACTCAATCCATCCACTTTGTAATTTTCCTTGAGCTGCTGTAATAAAGTACCACAAACTGGGTGACTTAAAACAACAGAATTTATTGTCTCATGGTTCTGGAGCCTAGAAGTCTAAAATCAAGGTATCAACAGAGCTATGCTTCCTCTGAAACCTGGAAGGAAATTCTTCCTTGCCTATTCCTAGCTTCTGGTGATTTGCTGGCAAATTTTGACATTCCTTAACTTGCAGCTACATAACTTTAAACTCTGCCTTTGGCATTACATGGCATTTTCCCTGTGTGTTTCTGTCTTCCCACGGCTGTCTTCTTACAAGTACATCAGTCATATTAGGAGTCCACAGTGCTCCAGTATGACCTCATCTTAACTAGTCACACTTGCAATGACCCTATTTTCAAACAGAGTCACATTCTGAGGTACTGAGGGTTGGGATGTCAACATATCTTTTTCTGGGGGGATGGTGGGTATAATTCAATCCATTATACCCTCCAATAATAAACACCTAGAAAACTGGGCAATATACGTGAGATAATTGTTTTCTAATATTGGACAAGAGATGGCACAAAACTGTGATCCATAAGTGAAAGGAGACAAATGAGGTGCGTGCTGTGATCATTTCCGTTTTCTACCCAGAATTTCCTGGGTTACTGTACAAACAAGAGGGACCCAAGCAGAGCATGGCACCCTGAAATTCTTACTGAGCTGAGGACACAGCTCAGAGAAGAGGAGGCCATGCACGGAAAGAGCCCCGCAATTTTCATGAGGTCTCATTGAGTCTTTGGGTAAATACTAAGCTGGCATCCATTGGGTGAAACTCCACAGGGGCAGGCAAAGAATAAGTACTGGAGAATTAACAACTGCTGGTGAACTACAGTATGAATAATTACTAGATCTTGGTCGAGGCTGAGAGAGATACAGCTCTGAGCCATCAGAATAGCTTTGTTGAATACCTGGAACATTGAACAGGTATCCCAGGAAGCCCATAACTTAGAGTAGGACTCAAATGGCATAGAATAAGTCTACCGTCCATTAACCCTAACAAAGCTTAAAAGAGCCCTTGAAAGGAAAAGCAGACAAGTTGACCTGCAAGCAAGTCAACTGCCCACTAGAATAAAGCTCAACACTCTTTGAGAGAAGAAAACAAAATTCAGATAATAAAAAAGTAACATTCATAATGTTGAGCATCCAGTCAGAAATTATGGGATATACTTAAAAGCTGGCAAATGTGTCTATGCTAAGTAGTAATATTAGGCAATTGAAATCAACCCAGAAATGGCAGAGATGGTAAATTAAAATAATGGGACTTATAAATGGCTAATATACTAAAATGGCTATTATTAAATATGTTCAAGGATTTATAGTGAAACACAACATAATGAAGAATGAAACAGAAACTATAAAAAAGCTAAATAGAACTTCTAGATCTGAAAAATATCTGAAATGAAAATTTTGCTAGATAAGCTTAAGTTGGAGTAGACACTATAGGAGAAATGTCTATGAACAGGAAATCAGGACAACAGAAACTGTCAAAACAAGAGAGAGGAAAATAAAGCTAAACAACTACAAAAACTGGAAGAGGTCTCAGGGAACTCCCAAACAATATCAAGCCACCTAGCACACATATCATTGGAGTCTTCAACATAGAGGAGAGAAAGTGGTGGCAGAAAACAATTATTTTTAAAATAGTGGCCAAAATGTTTCATACATGTTAAATAATATCCACCTACAGATCCAGGAAGCTTAGCAAAACCCAAGCAGGATAAGCTCAAAAAAGTTTGTTTATGAAAGAGATTACTTTCAGGTATGAGGCTCAGTTTAACTTTCACATAAGAGACAGACTCTGAGATGGTCCTTGAGAAGTCATAGGGTTTTAGACTGATAAAAATGACATTAAAAGGCAAGAAAGGATGAATGGTACAGAAATGACCAAAGGTACAGAGGCTGAAAGTACAGGACATCGGTGAAGAACAGTAAGAAGATGAACCTAAAGGGAGAGGAAGAGAATACATGAAGATAGGTTACAGTAGAATTTCCTAAAGCTTAACACATCTGTGTCTGAGGGAATTCTATGATGGGGTAACAGAGGCTGAATTTACCCTCAAACCTGAAACAATTAAAATGCATGAAATATATGAAACTCTGGACAACAGATGGCTCAAGACCGTGATCCCTGAAAGAAGTGAAATGAATAAAGTGAACCCTGTGATGGCCTCAGTTTATAGCCTGGAGATCTTTTTCAGGCAGTATTATAGGGAGGAGAAGCCCAAACAGCGCCTGGCAGTCTCTCTGAGTTAAGGAGACTTGCATTCAGGGTTTGAGGAGGCCAAAATGGCTAAAATTCCAGGGAAGAGACCCAGGGAGGAGAAAGCGGTGGGTGGGAAGTGCTCTGGAATGTGCATTGGACTCCCAGTGACTCTTCAACTGCTCTGACCAGTGAGTACAAGAAAACAACCTGAGGCTAGGGAGAGACCACTCGATGGATCAAGCAGAACCATCTCAAAGTCCACACGGGGCCGGGAAAAGATGGTGCTTCCATCAACCAGAGTGGGAGACCTCCTAACACAGAGGGCATTGAGGAGAATTCTCAGAAGCGGATCACCCCAGTCGCGGGAAGCAAATTTGCTGTACACTAAAGGCTGTCCTAGATACAACTTACAAAGCTCCAAAACAAGACTCAGAAATATCAAATTGTTTCTATGTAATCTATCTGCATCACAAAATAAAGTCCCAAATTTATTTAAGGGATACAAATACTCCAGTAGCTAGAAACGTAAAATTCAAATATCTGATATCCAATTTTAAAAAGTCATATATGCAAAGAAAAAGAAAAATATGGGTCATAAGGAGGAGAAAAACACTCAATAGAAACAGATCCAGAAATGATATACATGATGGAGTTAGCAGACAAGGCTATTAAATATATATTCAATATGTTCGGCAGGATAGAAGAGAGTGTACATATGTTAAGAAGAGACGTGGAAGATTTAAAAAAGACTGAAATAAAACTTCTTCCGATGCAAAATACAATGAATGTGATTTTATAATATACTGGATGGGATTAACAGCAGATTAGGTATCTCAAGTCAAACTTAAAGATAAGGTAATAGAATTCACCTAGGATAAAAACAGAAAGAAACTGACTTAAAAAAAGTGAGCAGAGCATCAGTGAGCTGTAGAACAACATTAAGCAGCCTAATATTGAGAGTCCTATAAAACTGGAGGACTAATGCAGAAAAAAGAAATTGAATAACTAATAGCTGAAGCAGTTTTAAATTTAATGAAAAGGAAAAGCCACAGATTGAAGAAGTTTCATGAACTCCAAGCACAAGTAACATGAAGAACACTTTAACAAGATATAGTATCATTGGATTGCTTAAAACTAATAAAGAAAAATCTTGAAAAGCAGCCAGAGAATAAAAGACACACTATGTACAAATGAACACAGTTAAGAATGACTACAGTCATCTCACTAGAAACAATTCAGGCAAAAGAGTGTGGAGAAACATCTTTAAATTATTTAAAGTAAAAAAAATCCTCTTAACCTAGTACTCTATATCCAGTGAAAATATCTTTCAAAAACATTGGCACAATAAACTTCTCAGACATGAAAAAACTAAAATAATTCTTTGCCAGGAGACACACACACTATAAGAAATGTTAAAGGATGTCTTTCAGACAAAATGAAAAAAAGTCCAGATGGAATTGGTAAGCCAGCTCCCTGTGAGGGATAAAAAGGAAAAAAGGGAAAAGCCTGGATTTATAGCATTTTGACCAATTTTGTGAATATAAATATTCCCACCATGGCCAAATTCAAGCAAACAACAATTTCTAACAACTGGTTCACAGAATTTCTGGATATTTAACAACTGGGTCCTATGAGCTGATACAAACCAACTACAGACTATTACAGATAGAATATCATTAGTAAATATGTAATAAATATAAAAAACAGTATTTGTGCCATTTAAAAAATCTCTTTAAAAATAATTGACTTTCTATTTCCAGTGAAAACAAAGTAAGGGACAAAATACATAAAGCACCAGTTGTCAAGACATTAGACATCAGGCAAGGAAGGACAAGAAAAAATGAGGTGAGTTTTATAATAAAACAAGCTTACCACCTTGAGACAATTTCCAGGCCATGGCACAGAGAGGGGAAATCCAGGGGGAAACCATCAAACTCCTCGAGTCAAGGAGACACAGCTGAGAGGAGAATAAGTCAAGTAGAGTTCACAGGGCTGAGGATAGCAGAGGAGAGAAGCGGGCAAAGAGAGAATTTGTGAGGTCATCAGAGAGCCCACCCTCAGTATTCAGTAGGGTATTAACAAGAGCATGAGTGTGAAAAAACCACCTGAGATTGGGAAAATAACCACACAAAGGATTAAAGAAAACAGTAACTGAATTTCATGTAGGGCCGGGAATAGTGTATAGTTTCACCAGCCAAACTCAAAAACATTAAAATTCATGGGGCATTGGGACAAGAGCTCAGAAGTGTTTGGGCTCAGAAGTGGAGGATAATGATCTCTAAACTAAATGCTGCTCTGCTGTCATCTAACAAATGATTAAAGCCAGGTACAAAAGCATCAGATTATTTCAAGAAATGTAACTGTATTCTAAAACAGAGCTCAAAAATATTTATAGAAAAATAAAAAGTCCAACACAAAATTAAAACTCAATGTATGGAATAAAATAAAAAAATTACCAAGCATACAAAAATAGCAGAAAAATGCAACGTATAATGAAAGGAAAACTGGCACAGATGTTAGAATTAGTAAAAAAATAATAATAATTTAATTTAAAAATAAAATAGTTAAGCTAGAGATGTTAAGCAGACATAGAAGATATTTTTAAAAGCTGCAAAGCCAACTTCTGGAGATGAAAATGACAATATCTGAGATGAAAAATACACTGGATGAGATTAATGATAGATTAGACAATGTAGAAGAAAATACTAGTAACCTAGGAAGATATAGCAACAAAGGCAAACCAAAAATGGAGGATAGAGGAAATAAAATAATTTTTGAAAGGAAACAGACAATTAATTGTTACAGGACAACTTAAAGTGAACTAACATAACTGGGGTTTTAAAAGAAGAGAAGAAAGATGGGAAGAAAGAAAAAACTATTGGAAGAAATCATGACTGAAAGTTTCTAAAGTCAATAAAACTCGAACCTCACATATCCAAGAAGCCTGACAAAACTCAAGCATACATACACAAAATACACCAAAGAATATCATAATCAGATTTCTGAAAATTAGTGTTAAAGAGAAAATCTTAAAAGCAGCCACAGGATAAAAACATGTTTTGTACAGTAGAACAAGATAAAGATGACAGAAGATTTCTTGGTGAAAACAAAGCAAGTGAGAACACAGTAAAGCAACATCTTTAAAATACTGAAAGAAAAATACTGTCTTTTTGATAATGACCAGCCTAACAAATGTGAGGTAATATTTTATTGTGGTTTTGATTTTCATTTCCCTAATGATTAATGATGTTGAATACCTTTTCATATCCCTTTTGGCCATTTGAGTGTCTACTTTAGAAAAATGTTGAATAATCAAAAAAGATGATTAGTGATGTTCAGCACCTTTTCATATACCTGATTATCTTCTTTGGAAAAGTGAAAAAATGAAAACATATATTCTTTGAAAACAGGCGGTTTGCCCATTTTTTTAAATGGATATTAATCCTTTATCAGACATATGGTTTACAAAATTTTCTCCCATTTCATGGTTTGCTTTTTCATTTTGTTGATTGTTTCTTTTGTCATGCAGAAGCTTTTTTAGTTTGATGTATTACCATTTGTTTATTTTTACTTTTGTTATCTGTTCTTTTGTTGTTACATCAAAAAAATTGCCAAGACCAATGTCATGAAGCTTTTTTTTATGTTTTCTTATAAAATTTTTGCAGTTTCAGATCTTACATTTAAATATTTAATCCATTTAAAGTTGATTTTCCGTATATAGTGTAACATAAGGGTTCAGTTTTATTTTATTTTATTTTTTTGGATACAGATATTCAATTTCCCAGCACCATTTATCGAAGAGGCTACCCTTTTCCCGTTGCATACTCTTGGTGCTTTTGTCAAAGATTAGTTGACCATATATGTGTGGGTTTATTTCTGGGCTTTCTGTTCGGTTCCTTTATTCTATATGTCTGTTTTTAAGCCAATACCATACTGTTTTGATTACTATAGATTTGTAATATAACTTGAGACTGGAAAATGTGATGCCTTCAGCTTTCTTCTTTCTTCTTAATATTGCTTTAGCTATCTAAAGCAATATTTAATCTGTGAAAATGCCACTGGAAATTTCATAGAGATTGCATTCAATCTGTAGATGACTTTGGGTAGTGTGGACATTTTCACAATATTGACCCTTCTGATCTATGAAGGTAGGATAGATTTCCATGTATTTGTATCTTCTTCAATTTCTTTCATCATTGTTTTACGGTTTTTAGTGTACAGATCTTTCACCTCCTTGGTTAAATTTATTTCAAGGTGTTTTATTCCTTTTGATGTTTGTAAATAGGATCATTTTCTAAATTTCTCTTTTACATAGTTCATTGTTAGTGTACATAAATGGAATTGATTTTTGTATGTTGATTTTGTATTCTGCAAATTTAATAAATTTGTTTATTAGTTCTAATACTTTTTTACTAGAGTCTTTAGGGTTTTATATAATTTAAGATCGTATCATCTGCAAACAGAGATAGTTTTACTTTAATAGTAATTTAGACACCTTTTATTTCTTTTTCTTTAATAATTGCTCTAACTAGGAATTCCAGTACTATGTAGAATAAAGGTAACAAGATGGCATATTTGTCTTGATCTTGATCTTAGAGAAAAGGCTTTCAACTTTTTACTGTTGAAAATGATGTTAGCTATGGGCTTGTAATATATTACCTTTATTGTGTTAAAGTATATTTCTTTTATACCTAATTTGTTGAGAGTTTTTGTCATGAAGGGATGTTGAAATTATCAGATGCTTTTTCTGCATCCGTTGAGATGATTATATGGCTTTTGTTCTTCACTCTGTTAATATGGTGTATCGTTTATTGATTTGTATATGTTGAGCCATGCTTGCATCCCAGGGATAAATCCCACTTGATTATAATGTATGATCATTTTAATGTGATGTCAAATTCAGTTTGCTGATATTTTGTTGAGAATTTTAACAACTATATTCATCAGAAATATTGTCCTGTAATTCTCTTTTCTTATAGTATCCCTGTCTGGTTTTGGTATCAGGTAATGCTGGCTTCATAAAATGAGTTTAAAAGGACTCCCTCTTCTCCAATTTTTTGGAAACATTTGAGAACAATTAGCATAAGTTCTTCTTTAAATGTTTGATAGAATCTGGCAGTGAAGCCATCAGGTCCTTGGCTATTATTTGATGGGAAAAATTTTATTACTAATTTAATCTCCTCAATCATTGATCTGTTCAGATTTTTTTCTTCATGATTCAGTCTTAGTAGGTTGTATGTGTCTAGGAATTTATACATTTCTTCTAGGTTCTCCAATTTGTTGGTGTATAATTCTTCATAGTAGTCTCACAATTCTTTGTATTTCTGTGGTATCAGTTGTAATATCTTCTCTTTCATTTTGGATTTTAATAAAAAAAGAATCAAGTAGTACAAGTTACATTATCTCTCTCCAGTGGGATTATATTAGAAATTAATAGTAGAAAAATCTGGAAAATCTCCAAATACTTGGAAACTAAATACATGTATATAAACTACCTATGGGTCAAAGAATAAATCAAAGGAGGAATTATAGAGTATTTTGAAGTAAATAAGGATAAAAACGCAATATATCAAAAATTTTTGAAATGCAGCTAATTCAGTACACAGAGGAGAACTCATAGCACTAAAATATTTACATTAGTGTACAGTAAAGGATTAACCTTGCCCAAAGAAAGTTTTGGTCCTCCCTTTTCCCTAGGCTTTGGATCATAACTTTTAAACCCTTGGAATGTCCTGCCTGATTAAAATAACTTTGTTTATCTGGGAGGGTTTGGGCCATACCAGACAGCCTATGCTAACAATGATTTATGGTGGGGACTTTAGGCTACACAGTGTATTAGTGTGTCCAAACCCCTGTAAAAAGCTCTGGACAAACCTCCAATAAAAACTCTGGACACAAAGCTCAGGTGAATGACTCCAGTTTTAAAAATTCGAAATTTGTGTGAAACCACCAATAACTAAAGTAATATTGAGAAAAAAGAAAGTCAATACTTTATGCATACTGTGACACATCATTGCTGAGAGAAATAAGTGCTGTTTGCACATCTCTGCTGGGGACAACTGGAAGCTGCATGCCTATGCTCTCTTGAACCCTGCTCTATGAGCCTCTTCCCTTCACTGTCTTTAATCTGTATTTCCACTCTAATAAACTGTGAGTATTGTGGCCTTCTTGAATTCTTTGAGTTCTTCCAGTGAATCACTAAACAGGAGTGATTTAGTGGAGTCCTCTTGAATTTGCCACTAGAAAATGAAAGTTCTCAAATCAATGACCTCAGATTCCACCTTATAAACTAGAAAAAGAAGAGCAAATTAAGCCTAAAATTAAGCTGAAGAAAGAAGGTGATAAATATCACAGGAGAAATTAGTGAAATGGAGAACACAAAACCAGTAAAGAAAAACCAAAGTAACCAAAAGTTTGTTATTTGAGAAGATCAATAAAATCGATAGGGTGCTAGCAGACTAATCAGGAAAAAAGAGAGAAAATATAAATTACTCATATTAGGAATGAGAGAGAAGGTACTGCTACAAAATCTACAGGTATTAAAAGAATGTTAAAGGAATATTATAAACAACTTTATGTCAAAAAATTTTGAGCAGAATAGAGAATCCAAAAGTAGATCCACACATATTTGGACAACTGACTTTCAACAAAGCTGAAAAGGCAGTTCACTGGGGAAAGAATAGTTTTTCAGTAAGTGGTTCTGGAGCAATTAGCTAACCATATGCAAAATAACAATAATAAACCTCAACCTTGCCTTATACCAGCAACACATACTCACTCAAAATGGATTATACATTTAAACAGATTTGCTAAAACTATAAAGGTTCTAGAAGAAGACATGAGAGAAAATCTCAGTAATGTTGGGCTTATTAGTGATTCTTAAATAAAACACAAAAAGCATGAAGCATAAAAGAAAAAAGCTGAATTTCATCAACATTTAAAACTAGATGGTGAAAAGATAACACTAAAGGAATGAAATGTTTGCTGGGTGCAGTGGCTCACGCCTGTAATCCCAGCACTTTGGGAGGCCAAGGCGGGAGGATCACTGGAGGCAGGGAATACAAGACCAGCCTGTCCAACATGGAGAGACCCCATCTCTAGTAAAAATACAAAATTGGCCGAGCGTGGTGGCACATGCCTGTGGTCCCAGCTGCTCGGGAGGCTGAGGCAGGAGAATTGCTTGAACCCAGGTGGTGGAGGTTGTGGTGAGCCGAGACTGTGCCATTACACTCCAGCCTGGGTGACAGACAGAGACTCTGTCTAAAAAAAAAAAAAGAAAGAAAGAAAGGCACAGGTCCACACAAAGACACAAATTTTCATAACAATTTTATTTGTAATAGTCAAAATTTGGAAAAAATCCAATTGCCTATTAATGGGCGAACAAATGCTGAAATTGTCATGTATCCACACAAAGGAAAATTAGCAATAAAAAGAATGAACTATTTAAATTTAAAACAGCATAGATAAATCTCAAAATAATATGATGAATAAAAGTAAAGAAACAAAAAAGAGTACATAGTTTATAATTGCATTATATTAAATTCTAGAAAACACAAAGAAATCTATAGTAATAGAAGAAGCACTCTATCAGTGTTTGTCTGGGAACAGCATGGAGAGAAGGATGGAATTATAAAAAGCCACAAGGCTATTCACAATAGCAAAGACATGGAATCAAACCAGGTGCCCATCAATGGTAGATTGGATCAAGAAAATATGGTACATATACACCATGGAATGGTACGCAGCCATAAAAAAAGAATGAAATTATGTTCTTTGCAGCAAAATGGATGCAGTTGGAGGCCATAATCCTAAGCAAATTAATCCAGGAACGGAAAACCAAATATCGCATGTTATCACTTAAAAGTGGGAACTAAACATTGAGCATACATGGATATAAACAATGGAACAATAGACATTGTGAACTACCAGAAGGGGGAGAGAGACAAGGGGAAGTGTTTTGAAAAACTACCTATCAGGCACTATCTTCTGTACCTGGGTGACAAGATCTGTACTTCAAACCTCAGTACAAACCTCAGTATTAGGCAATATTCCCATGTAACAAATCTGCACATGTTCTCCCTGTATCTAAAATAAAAGTTGAAATTTAAATAAATAAATAAATAGCGGGCCACAACAAAACTTTTGGAGGTGATGTGTAAGTTCATTACATTAAGTTTTATGATGGTTTCCCAGGTGTTTGCGTATGTCAAAGCTTACCAAATTGTACATTTTAAAGATGTCTATTGTTTGTCAAGTGCATTTTAATAAAGCTGTAAAAGAAAGAATTATTTTTGATACAGTGTTAGGACAACAGAAAACCACTGAGAAAATTTAAGCAAGAGAATGTCAATAATTAATGCCACATTTTAACTAATTAACTGCAATTAATCACAATCAATCAGTAAGAAAAGGTTTTGTGCTGAAGATTTTCCAGAGAGATAAGTAAGCAAGTATATCATGCATGCAGTGGAGCAGGGCAGAGCCTCATAAAATCCCTCTTAAACGTGTCTGTTCTTTTGCCAAATTTCCATTCTGGTTGCCAGCTACCTTTTTCCTCCTCTTTCTTTCCACAGCCACTGCCATCCTCATTATAGCCCCAGACAATTCAGCTCTTGAAAGTGTATCCAGCAAAACAAAAGTGTAACAGCAGCTCAGCACCACTTGGAAAGCAGTTGCATAGCCACCTCTTTCTCTACAAGCTCAGTCCTTCCTGAGGTTGCCCTCTCACCTATTCCCCTACATCAAAAGTGACTCATCAAAGTATTCAGTAGACAAAATTAGTCTCTATCCAGGGAGAATTCACTACTTGGAAAGTAAGATGTTCTGTTTCTCATTACATACAAAAAAAAAAAGTTGATAAAATCACAGAATTCAGTTTGAGAGAGAGGAAGATACTAAATGTCATTTGTCATTCTGACCTTGAAGTCACATTGAGTCCAATTCAATCAGAAAAGTGCAAGTGAAAATTTGGATTTTTAATGAGACACCAGGACTAGAAATACTGACTTCAGGGGTCATCCGCAGAGAGAAAATAGTTGAAATGTTTGGAATGGATGAGATCTCCAAAGCAACAAGTGAAGAAAAAGGAACAAAGGTCCAAAAATAAAAACTGTTGAACATCCACACTTATAGGTAAAAGGAGGGGAAAAGTAAGCTTAAGAAATTAAGAAAGTAGTTCTAGAGGGAAGACAAGAAATGGGATGGTATCTTGGAAGTTCAGAGGAGACTGTGGGTACAAAGAGGTGGCAGCAGGATTTAAAAGAACTTTAAAAATTCAGTAAAATTAGGACTGAATGACTTCACCGATGTTGTTGACTAGAGGAGGAGAAAGTAGCAGATTCAGAGCACTCATTTGACAAGTTTAGGGGCAGAGCGAGTAAGGGAGAGGTTAAAGGGAATGGTAGAGTTGAATACAGTCTTTTATTCCAACGTATTTATAGTCTGATTATATAGAAAGCCAAGAGGAAGAACTATATAAAGACAGGAAAATTGAAGATGCTAAAGAAAGAAGATATTTGAGAAACAAAGAGGCATGTGGATTAATTATTGGACATCAAGAAGGGGGAACTTTTTTCCTCTGAAATAGGAAAAGAAGAGAAAATGCGTAAAAGATAGACCTGCACTGAGGAAGGCCAACATACATACAGAAAGAGGCTAGATCTAATGATCGGTTGAATGTAATGTTTTTAAAAACCCACCATTTCACCCATCAGATTGGCATAATTAAAAGAATCAATAGTATCTGATGTTGGCAAGCATGTAGGGAAATAACATGCTCTCATGCACAGCTGGAAAGTAAACTGCAACAGTCTTTATGGAGGGTAATTTGGCAGTGTTTATTGAAACTCCACATGGCCGGGCGCAGGGGCTCACGCCTGTAATCCCAGCATTTTAGGAGGCCAAGGCGGGTGGATCACAAGGTCAAGAGATCGAGACGATCCTGGCCAACATGGTGAAACCCCGTCTCTATTAAAAAAAAAACACAAACATTAGCTGGGCATTGTGGCACGTGCCTGTCGTCCCAGCTACTCGGGAGGCTGAGGCAGGAGAATTGCTTGAACCCGTGAGGTGGAGGTTGCAGTGAGACGAGATCATGCCACTGCACTCCAGCCCGGCGACAGTGCAAGACTCCGTATCGAAAAACAAACAAACAAAAAAACACAAAAAAAAACAAAAACTGCACATAACATTTGACTCAACAACTTACTTCTCAGAAACAATTCCATAAAAATACATGCATAGGTGGGCAGAAAATTTTGCCAGGACTTCTGTTATAGCCTTATAAAGGGCAAAGTATAGGCAATATGTAAATATCCATCAGTAGAGAATTGGACAGATAAATATCCATAACATACATTTTAACAACAGTTAAAATGAACGAAATAGAACAAGATGTGGTAACATGGAAATATCCCCAAGGTATGTTGTTCAGTGAAAAAAGTAAGTTGCCAAGTAATATGTACAAAGCAATATGGTTTATATCAAAACACATTCAAAACATACACAAAGCAGTTAGCATACACGTGTGTGTATATATATGTGTGTGTGTGTGTATATATATATATGTATATGCCCACACACACACATATATATGTATGTGCCCACACACACATATATATATGTATGTGCCCACACACACACATATATATATGTATGTGCCCACACACACATATATATATATGTATGTGCCCACACACACATATATATATGTATGTGCCCACACACACACATATATATATATGTATGTGCCCACACACACATACACACAGATACACATTCATTCATTTAACCAAGAGTAATGGGGTGCCAACTATCCATTTCCATGAAGTTTATTTTAGTAGAGAATGCAAATACGTAGAGAGAAAAAGGACCGGAAAATGCACACAAGATTGATAATAATGGTTATTTCTGGAAAAGACAGCAAGAAAGAGAAGTGTCAAGATAATCTTTGATCTGCAGTGTTTATATTTTTGAGGTACATGTATTTTTAGACTATGTATTGAGAACCACCAATTATGAGTCCAACTTGCACTCCATTTTACTTATTTGAGAAGGTAAATAAGAGAATTCAGAACATTAGGCTCAAACTCCAATTCCTTTGCTTCAGTCTATAGTAAATACCTATTGAGAATAGCACCAAAAAGCAGTCAGAATGAGAGGAAAGAAAAAGAAGCAATGATGTGAATGGATGATCCCAGAAAGAGTGATACTATGTGGATTGAATATGCTGGAAATTTTTTTTAAATGTCAAGAAAGACCTGTCTTGTGAGACAAAGGCATGCAGTTTTTGTCCCATGTGGTGTAAGATTTAAGATCTAAAGGGTTACTCAATAGATAGGCTGTCCTCATAAATAAAGGCCAGAGAGAGAGAAACGAGAAAAGAACATTAATCAGTTACTGCATCATCTTTGGATGTGAAAATAGGTCAACAGAGAATGTTAAGTCATAGATTTCAAGGGGTCTGTAGACATTAAAGGCAAAGACCTCAAAGAATGACAAGCAGAGATAGGGTGGTAGAGATGGCCAAAAGCATATGAGTCCCCCACCACCCACCAGGGCCTGTCCTGCAGTGTTGGTTTTGGAGAGCCCATTGGTAGAGAAAAGTAGAAATTTTAGTATCCAAAGAGAAAAATCATGGTTTAGATAGGGCAAGGATGTGAATCTAGAAAGACACTGAGGAAACAAGAGAACAGCGTATACAACATAGCAGACATTAACTGCATAATGTGATTCACAATAGGGATGAGACTGGATGTGACCAACAGGATGGCTCAAAGGAACCAAGTCAAAACAGCCAGGATGGGGGTCCAGTGCACTGCCTCTGGGAGTGGTTAATTGGGATAATGGAAACATTGGGGCAGCGAAAAGAGGAACCATTCAGAGGAAAGTCAGAATGAGGACTGAGGTGTCTGGTTGCTCTCACTCCCAGAGCAAGATACATCAAAGAAGGAAAATCAAATTCAAGGAGCAAGAGGTCAGCATACGTGTGCACAAACACAAACACACACACCCCTACATACACACACATACACACATGCACACACATGCACACTTTCATACATGCACCCTAAGATTCCAAATGTAAGGATTGCACTGAGTCATACCAGCAGCAACAATCACTTGACCTGTCAGGGATGTTTATTTGTGACTATATTATGAAGAGAAGTGAGGATGTGAGAAAGTTTTACTTCATATCTCTGCTTAAAATCCTGCTGTGCTCTGTTAAAAGTAATGTGCTATATTATAATTGAATGGTCACTGACTAAGGGATGTTGAGACAAAAGAAATGTGGAAAAAAATTTAGGAAAGTAAGGAGTTACGAAAGAGGTGTTTTATGAAAAACAACAAAGTTTATGTGCAAATTGAAAATAAATGACAAAGAAAGTCCCAAATCAGTTTTGAAATTAGTAGACCAGCCTGGCCATCATAGTGAAACCCCATCTCTACTAAAAATACAAAAATTAGCTGGGCATGGTGGTGCGTGCCTGTAATCCCAGCTACTCGGAAGGCTGAGGCAGGAGAATCCCTTGAACCCGGGAGGTGGAGGTTGCCGTGAGCCAAGATCGCACCACTGCACTCCAGCCTGGCAACAGAGAGACTCCCTCTCAAAAAATAAATAAATAAATAAATACATAAAGAAAAAAGAAAAAATTAGTAGACTAAAGAGACATAAAGGATGGATAATTTCTTTTATTCTTAACAGATAACATATTATATTATGAATATTTGCTGTGTCCAGGTGCCATCTAGTTGTTTTTAACATTATCACCCTTAAAATAAAGCTACATAATCCTGAGAGGCAGTTGTTATTTGTCCCACTTAACAAATGAAGGCATTGAAGCTTGGAGAGACTAAATTACTTGCCCAGAGTCACACTGCACAGGCAGCATCTGGGTCCAATCTAATGCTGACTGACTATGAAGCTCACGTGTTTAATCTACACACTGTATTATTTCCCATCATACAGCAAGAGCAGCAGGGATTTGTGTCGCAACTGTGCAGACACTGCAGTTTCTCTGAAATCTATTAGTTCTTCTTGTTCCCCAGGCACTGTTCTTAGTGTTGTGTGTGTTTAATTCAACTTTATCCTGATAAAGTCCCTATGCTGTAGGTGCTTATGTTGTCACCTCTACCCCACAGATAAGAAAGCTGAGTCAGAGATGAGTTTGAGGATTCTGCCCATGGTCAACAAGATTAGTATTTGAGCCAAGCTACCAAGCCAGGAGTCTGACTCCAAAGCTTTCAGTGGTAGAGAAAAGTAGAAATTTTAGTATCCAAAAAGAAAAATCATGGTTTAGATAAGGCAAGGATGTGAATCTAGAAAAACACTGAGAAAACAAGAGAATACTGTGTGCAACACAGCAGACATTAACTGCATAATGGGATCCACAATACGGATGAGACTGGGTGCAACCAACAGGATGGCTCAAAAGAACCAAGTCAAAACAGCCAGGATGGGGGTCCAGTGCACTGCCTCTGGGTGCGGTTAACTGGGATAATGGAAGAAGTGAAGGATCAGAAGATAAGGATTAAGGAAAGAGAAAAGAACATGTATCAGTTACTGAATCATCTCTGGATGCCAAAATAGGTCGACAGAGACTGTTAAGTCATAGATTTCAAGGGGTCTGTAGACATTAAAGGCAAAGACCTCAAAGAATGACAAGCAGAGACAGGGTGGTAGCGATGGCCAAAAGCACGTCAGTCCCCTAACACCCACCAGGGCCCGTCCTGCGGTGTTAGAATCTGTTACAGAGATAAGAAAGCAAATAAGGAGGGTAAAGAAACAAGTGCAGAGGCAAATAGCTTGTGAGACACGGGCAGAATTCATGAGATGTGCTAAGGATAGATAAGTAAGTTTGTAAACTCTGGGACACATATGACCAGATAAAATGTCATCTGAATGTGCCAAACATAGAAAAGAATAAAAAAAGCAAAACAAAAAAAAAAGGAACAGAAAGAAAGCAGTTGGTACAAGTGAGACTGACCACATAGGCAAAGGGAGAGAACCTTTGGAGCAGGCTCCAACTGAAGGCAGAGTGGTAGACACAGGGAGGATGAGTCATGATGAGAATCTCATTAAAGGAGTGGCACTCATCAACAGGGCCTACAGGCGGGAGGACACTTGGCTCTTAACACAGGACATTATTACAAAGCATTAGCCACTGTTTTTCTAGACCGAATAAGTAAAACAATTATCATCTGGGAGCCCTTGAATTATATTTACATAAAAAATAAAATCATCTCTTTGGTTGATTATATTAGGAAGCATTGGTCTAGGTAAATCGTTCCAGTTCACCATGAGTCCATAGATTCATTCATTCCCACAATGAAAGGTATTCATAGTTCATTAAGGTCAACTCATTACATTTGTGGGTGAAAATAATGAGCACTAAAGTTGTTAAGCAATTTTCCTCACTTGATCAGTTTCTCATGGTCTGTTCAAGCTCAAAGAAAAGGTTGCTGTATAAACTAGACTGTCAATTTATAAATTTAAAATTCCATAATGAAAAATATTATTTCCACTGATTCTGGGGATGGACTCTTCAGCCAGCACATTATTTTCCTGGAGTGGAGACGTGTAGGGAGACAATTGATAATTGGAGGTCATTTTGTAAGTTCGGGTGGTTCAGATGATTTGTTACATTAGCCTGGCTTAATCCGCTATGAATACTTGAACAAAAGGAATTCTCCTGCATTAAATACTACTTATTTATTCATCTGTTTATCTATACCTCTATAGTACACCTTTTATATTATCTAATTAGATCACAATGACATCCTCTTAACTATCTAGAGGATGAATGTAAAATTTAAAAATTAGGCCCAAAAATTATAGAATAATGGAGAACTTGAGTTGAATAAGTGGATTGATTTTCCAGATGTGCCCCTGCTTTGACCTTTTGTGTGACCTTAAGATCTTTGGGATAAAATATTGACTACAAGGAAGATTTTATATTAAGAGCCTTATTCTTTTTCCTCTTCTCTTCTTTCTCCCTCTGATTTTCATGTCCTGCAGTTCACCCTAGCCAGTTAAATAAAGCCATCACCAATCCACAGAACTATCCTCTTCACTCCCATATTGAACAATGGGGTGTCACCTCCCCTGGGAAGGGGGACAGAGTTTGTTGGGATAGCCATAATAGATAATTATTTCGTTTACTTATCCCTTCTAACTAAGCCTCAATGCTCCCACATAATTATATCACTATTCATCAGATTCACTCTTAATTGGCTGTGTACCTCTAAGCAATATTCACACTTCATATATCCTTACATCTTTATTCTTTGATCCTTTAAAAATCCATAGTATCTCTTGACTCTTCACTTCACAATATGATGATATTGGTATCCTCAAACTTTCCTTTGTTTCTTTTATTTCCTTCCATGCAATAAATTTGTCATCTGCACTTTTACTTTCACATTGTCAAGGCTGATAATATTTACATTCTATTAAGTAGCATAATCAAGTATTTTCATGCCTTGTCTATAAGTTGATTCTAAAAGTTGAAACAAATTGTGTTTACATTATTAGGACTTCATAAATAACTGTTCAGCACAAGGCCATACAGATATAATTACAGTTACTCTCTTTTATAATTTGATTTTTTTCCCCTGGAATAAAGTTCTGCTTTTCTTAAAACAGTTGACTTTATCATATCCTCAATTTACTTTTTACGCTATCTACCAAGTAAAATATTCTGCCGTGGCAAAAACCTGCTATTTGTCCCTCCAGTATCTGTTCTCCAATTTCTGCTCTAATAAACCAAAATTAAATTTAGCTTGGAGAGGGACATTCGGGATAAAAAAATGATAAAACTTTTTTTCAGATTTGCTTATATTCAGGTGCAGTCATTGACTTAGTTCTGATGAAGGAATGTAAGGTTCAGTGTTGTGTGCAACTTTCACTAAGAGTCCTAAAAAGAATCTTTTAGTACTGTGTGTCCATTCTTTTTCCCTTCCTCTATTCTGCTTTCTGGTATCTTAGAGGGATAGCTTGCACTCAACCTTGGGCTGCTATTAGTACTTCAAGGGGAGCAAAGCAGACCATTGTTCTGGGTCCTAGATTTTGATGTAGCTGCTGCAGCTACTTGAAGTACTTACACTCAGGCTTTTATGTGAACGGAAAATAAACTTCCACCTTGCCAAAACTGCCCTGCAGCCTTCGTAATGGCTCAAGACTGCCTCACTCTGGGCTTCTTTCATGAGAAAAAAGAAAAGAAAAGAAAAGAAAACAAAACAAAGAAAACTTTTTTAGGGGGAGGTTGTTTGAGCTACAGTTATTTAACATCTCTTCCTAGCAGAAAAATTATAACCTAACTGACATAAACTCAGAAAGAATATCATTGTTTTGAACAAGTGCTTGACTCATTTACTTCATAAAGCAATACATGGAGGATGTTCAGAGTTTATTCTGGGTCACAGATGTAGGAAACTAAGTAAGACACAAGGACAGCTGGAGTGAGTCTAGTGAAACATATTCCTAATCAAATGAATTTTAGACTGGACGTCAATGGAAAACTATGGCTTCATTTAACTGGCTAGGGTGGACTTCAGGACACAAAAATCAGAGGGAGAAAGAAGAAAGGAGGAAAAAAATAAGGCTTTTAATATAAAATTATCCATGTAGTCAATATTTTATCCCAAAGATCTTGAGGTCACAGAAAAGGTCAAAATGGAGGCACAGCTGAATCAATCCACTTATTCAACCCAAGTTCTCCATTTTCCTCCAATTTCTGGACCTAATTTTTTAATTTTACTTTCACCTTTCCATATCCAAGATTATCCCTTTACCCACAATATCACCCTACTTCTGCTCACTTTATTATTTTCAAAGCTCTGTCCTTCCTCCCTGCCAGCTTGAGATCAAAATCCTCAGAGCTCTTGAGTAGACCAGAAATCTGGCCTCTGTGTACCTTTGTCATATTCATATATAGACACAGTGGGAGTGGGGGGTGAGTAGAAAATCACTTAGCCACAGCGATGGTGTACAGGAAAGAGAGGACAGCAGTCTTATGGATAAATTGCTTACACGCAGATGCTCAGCTGAATCTGTAATGAAAAGGAAATCTGAATGCTTGGCCAAGGAGAAGTAAATTCCCTGAGGTCAATCCTTTGTTGTTCTCTTTGATCTTCAGTAATGGGTCAATCAGACCACCTGCCCCGAAGCTTAGATGCTGTCCACATGATTTGCTTGCTGTCACTGTGTCCTAGCCAGAGTCTTGGGATTTAGGTTACTCTCGCATTTAAGAGGCCTTTATTGGGAGAAAGGATAATAATACTTAACAATTATACTCTACTTATATGCCACTTCTGTGTATTTTTACATATATTATCTAATATAATCCTCCCAACCAACCTGAGATACAGGCAGGTGGTTCATTTTAAAAATAATTTATCATTTTAAAAATAAAATACACTGTATATTTAGTTTATGATAGGCATGTATGAAGTATATGTTTAATCTTTACAACAGCCCAAGACCTAGACCATGTTTTACAGTTGAGTCAACCAGGGCACCCAGTTAGTAAGTGCTACTGGTATATAAATAAATTGTTAATGATTTTTTAAAATGCTAATGCCTACTGCTGATGGCCTGTGAGACAGTAGGGTGTGTATTTCTGTAGAGCAATTTGCTATACGTACATGAAGTCATAAAAAAGCAAATATTTTCTGACTTGGCAAATTTGCTTCAAAGAATTTGATCCAAGAAAATAATTAGACATCTAACACCTCAAGTACAAGAATATCCACTGCAGAGTTTTTTAATTGTGAAAAACAATACTGGCTGGGCGTGATGGCTCACGCCTGTAATCCAGCACCTTGGGAGGCCGAGGCAGGTGGATCACCTGAGGTCAGGGGTTCAAGACCAGTCTGGCCAACATGGTGAAACCCTGTCTCTACTAAAAATATAAAAATTAGCTGGACGTGATGGCGCATGCCTGTAATCCCAGCTACTTGGGAGGCTGAGGCAGGAGAATCACTTGAACCCAGGAGGCAGAGGTTGCAGTGAGCCGTGATCACACCACTACACTCCAGCCTGGGTGACAGAGCAAGACTCCTTCAAAAAAAAAAAAGAAAAAGAAAGAAAGAAAGAAAGAAAGAAAGAAAGAAAGAAAGAAAGAAAGAAAGAAAGAAAGAGAAAGAAAGAGAGAGAGAGAAGAAGGAAGGAAGGAAGGAAGGAAGGAAGGAAGGAAGGAAGAAAGAAAGAAAGAAAGAAAGGAAGAAAGAAAGAAAGAAAGAAAGAAAAAGAAAGAAAATACTGAAATAACTTAAATATTCAATCAGAGGAAATGAGTAGGTAAATTATAGTAAATTATAAAATGGAATATCTTTTATATTTCAAAACTTACTTTACAATATTATTTAATGATATGCAAAATAGTTTTATTGGCATGAAACATCATATTATGCTAAGTGAAAAATTTAAGTTCAAAGTCATAGATTGAGAAAAACTCATTTATCTCCCCTCACTCCAAAATAAAAGCAATAAAGTATAGAAATATGTTATAGGAAAAAGTATAAAAGAGAAGAAAAGAACATAATTGTCAAATACTGGATGGAGAATATTAACAAAATAAGATTTTAAGGCCGAGGCAGGCAGATCATGAGGTCAGGAGATTGAGACCATCCTGGCTAACACAGTGAAACCCTGTCTCTAATAAAAATACAAAAAAATTAACCAGTCGTGGTGGTGGGCACCTGTAGTCCCAGCTACTCGGGAGGCTGAGTCAGGAGAATCCCTTGAACCCAGGAGGCGGAGCTTGCCATGAGCCGAGATTGCGCCACTGCACTCCAGCCTGGGTGACAGAGCGAGAATCCGTCTCAAAAAAATAATAATAAATAAATAAATAAGATTTTATGAGTTTCTGAAAGACCGGAGATGGCTATGGCCAAGGTGATTTAATGTAAATCAGAGCGAAAAGAGACTAGCTCAATAGAGGTAGAAGAGAAAGCAGCAGGTGAGGCAGGGTCATTTTTATAGCATTCTATAAGCCCTTAGAGATGTAGTCAAAGCATGAGAAAGTGCTTAAAGTAAGACAACTGATTGAAGAACTGTATGTCCAATGGCTGCTGAGTCACACATCGCACACATGAGTATGTGTAAGGAAAGTGCCTATAAAGTGAAGCTGAATGAACTATCAGCCTAGGATGGGCAATGGCTTTCAGAGTACAGGCTGCCAGCTTGCTTATCTTAGAGTACAGCCTGCCTGTCCACATACCACACCCACAAACAGAAATCTTGCAGTCTTTGTATGCAGGGAAAAGGAAACTACTATCAGAAGAAATGTTAGTCAGTTACAGGTAATAATCAACATTTCTAAATTCATAATCATCTCGGACAACTGAGTATCCGCAGACATTTGATTAAAAAGAAAAGCAAAAGGCTCTGGCAAAGACAATTCTATAGATTTATCAAGCCATTTTATCATCCTCTGGGGAGTACAGAAAAACTACATTTCCCAGTATCCTTACATCTAGATTGGGCCTGATGACCAATTCTAAACAGGGGAATGCAGTAGAAACATAAGCCACCCAGGTTTGGCCAGAAACACAAAATCTCCTACATGTGATACTCCTCTCTCACTTTTTGCAGCAATAATGGGAATCCTAGAGTAGTGGTGCTCTGCATCTCTGAGTCATCCCTTATAGGAAAGTTGCCCCGGAGAACTCTCTGACCAGGATGATATGCATTGGCCTTTATGTGAGGTGAAAGCAAAACAAGAAAACTTACATTGGATTAAGGCACTAAGAATTTTGAGATTATTTGTAATAGCAGGTAGCATTAATTATTCTTACTAATATAGCAAAATAAAAGAGAAACACCAAGATAATTAAACAGAATATTGACCCCAGAGGAAACATATATAATTTTAGGAAAAGACAAAAACTTTAATTGAATTATAAGTCTAATTTTTCTTTTTTAAAATTTTGAGGCTGGGTGAAGTGGCTCACACCTATAATCTCAGCACTTTGGGAGGCGGAGTCAGGGGGATCACCTAAGGTCAGGAGTTTAAAATCAGCCTGATCAACATGGTGAAACCCCATCTCTACTAAATACAAAAAAAAAAAAAAATTAGCCAGGCTTGGTGGCGCATGCCTGCAATCCCAGCTACTTGGGAGGCTGAGGTAGGAGAATTACTGGAACCCAGGAGGTGGAGGTTGCCATGAACTGAGGTCGTGCCACTGCACTCCAGCCTGGGCAACAGAGCAAAATTCCAACTCAAAAAAAAAAAAATTGAGAAAACGTTATATTTATTTATTTAAAAAAAGAGTAAAATGAAAAAGAAAAAGAATAAGGAACAGTTGACATAAGTTAAAAATTATTGCTTAAATGATAATTTCAGGAGAAAAGCTATTAATAGAAAACATATAAATCACAAACAAAAAAAAAGGATGAAAAGCAGTCAGGGGAAAGGTAAGCACAGTAGATAAATATTTTTTACATATTCTTATACAACTTCAGAATAGAAATGATAAAAAGAAAACCCTAAAAACTGCAGAAAAAATAAATAAAACAAATTATCATGGGCAGAATTGAATCAGATTGGCAGCTGACTTCATACCAGCAACATTAAGTACTAGAAGTAAATGAAGTCAGGACTTCAGTCAGACTATAAAAGAAAATGTTTTACATCTCAAATACTATAACTAACCAAAATATTAATAAAGCATTAAGATAGAATAAAGTCATTTAATACAGACAGAGATGAAAGTTTTTCTATAAAGTGTATTAAAATATGAATTCCAGCATACACAAAAAATGTAGTCCTAAGGAAAAAAAAGCTGAAGATAAGAAATCAAAGTACAGTGAAACAAACTCCAAAATTCAGTAAAATTAAATCTCAGGATGGCCAGGATGTTGGTTCTGTGGTAAAACCAGGGAATAAGAAGTTCATATTAGAACAAGAAGTAAGAGCATTCTGCTAGAATATCTTAAGGAAGAAAATAAAATTTTTTAGGAAGAAATAGCATGCTAAGGAGGATGAATGATCTTAGTGAGAAAGTGAATGGATGCTCCATCCCGGGACTTTCTCCATGAGCCCATGTGCAAGGCCGCTCCAAAGACATCAATGGAAGTGCTACATGGGCTCAGTGACATGGACTTCCTTTGCAAGGCTAATAGGAGGTTATCAGCACCAGCAAAAGGAGATACTAAAGTTTAGTCCCCATCATAGCACCATTCCTCAGGTGTTTAAGGAGATCTCCCAGAAGCCTGATTACTTTGAATCCCTTCTATCTATCTATCATTAGGGAGACATAACTTAATTTCACAGGAGTATGTACATATTCTCAAGAAGAATTTTCCTTCCTTACCCACAATGTTTCTGTCAGCACCATCATTCTTGGACTTATTGAATGACTTATTCATCATTTTGACATCATCTCTGACCAAAGAACATATTTTATGGTGTTGTAAGTGTAGACGTAGACTTACGCCCATAGAATTATCTGGTTTTATCATGTGCCACACCACCTAGAAGCAGCTTGATTGGTAGAAAGACAGAATGGCCTGCCAATGGGTCAGTGAGGAGACCACCCTCTGAGAGGTTGGGGCACTGTTCTATAGTAGTGTTATATGCCCTAACCTAGTGGACAATATATTGCTTTATCGCTCATTGCCAGAACACTCAGGCCCAGGAAACAAAGAGTGGAGATAGGGATAGATTCTTCCTATCACACCTTAAGTGGACCACTTAAGGAATTTTGCTTCCTTTCCCATACCTTGTACTAATTTCTATCCAAGGGAGAAATTTTTCCTCTAAGAAATAAAGTCATTGTTCTATTAAATGGGAAGCTGAGATTGCCTTCTGGCATTTGGAGCTCCTCATGCTACTAAAATAACAGGCAGCAAAGGTGGTCACTGGCTTGAATGGATGATCCCCATGACCATTCATGGGAAATTCAGTGGCTGTTCCATAATAGTGACAAGCAGAACAATGCCTGGAACCCAGAGAATTCCCTGGGGTGCCTTTTAGCATCCCTTGTCCAATATATCTAGATAGGAAACACAGCAGCAACTCAATGAAGCCAGGATCCCAAGGACCAAGGACTCAGATCCTCTGGGAATGAAGATATGACTCACCCTACTAGAAAAGAACTCTGGCCTGCTAAGGTGCTGGTGGAGGACACAGGGCATAGGAGGTGGAATAAGGTCGTTTTGATTATTAATTTAGTACTCATGATCAGCTACAGAAGCAGGGACTGGGGCAGCCATGTTTTGTGTCATTTCAAGGACTGGGGCGGCCATGTTTTGTGTCATTTAATGCTTTCTTTTCCTCCCCTCCTTACAAGGCACACATTATGGGACGAGTCCTGGAATAGTGGCTAAAGCTTTAGGTTTCAGGAGGATCCAACTCAAGCCTCTGTTCAATCTCCTGGCTTCTTAAGGCAACTCAGACATCTGCTTTCCTTGATCCCTATACTCCTGAATCCACATTTACAGTTTCTGTTTCCTCCATACATCAGTTTGCACATAGGGTATATTCGTGAGGGTAACATTAGCTGCTGTAATAAGCGAACTCCAAGCTACATAGTGGCACGATCATGATGGAAGTTTATTTCTTGCTCATGTAGAGTGCTAAATGGTTGTTCCTGGTTGACGGGAGTTGCCTCTCCAAGGAGTAATTCATAGACTAAGGAGTTGTAATGGTTGTTCCCATCTGTCATTTTAAAAATGTAACTTCTGAGATCCTTCTGCTCATCTGTATCAAGTGAGTAAAAAGAAAAGAAAACAAAGATAAAGCACACCTGTCTATTGAGCTGTTTGGTCTGGAAGTGACACAGGTTATCTGTGACTGCAAACACCAGGGAAAACTAGTCACCTGCACCCCTGGAGATCTCTCTCTCTCTCTCTCTCTTTTTCTCCTCCCTCATCTTCCAGCTTTACTGCGTCTTTTGTACTGCCCCAGATCCTCCTTCCTCTATCTCAGAGCCCATATGAAAACTTCCAAGTGGCCCTCCAGGCAAAGCCATATTGTGATTTTGCTATCTTAGGAAAAATGAACAGAGGTACATGATTATGACTGATTATGACTAATTATGGCAGATCATGACCATTATCCAAACAAAGATAACCCAGGGTTATCTGAACCTTTTCCTTAAAAATGCATGCCTGTCTGTACTGATAAAAAAAAGTGAGCCTTACCCACCAATACTTTGTTCAGGAATCTTGTTTGCTTATACTTTTGCTTCCTTAATTGATTACAAGGAAAGTTGCCTTTTAATATCTCAAGGCAAAAGTAATTGCTAATGGATTTTCCTTCAAGACACCTGAGGAAGCACACCTCAGGGTTCTACTTCAGAAAGAGTGACATTAATGACCATAATACACCCTCTTCGTTGGTAGAATAAGAGCCTGCAGAAACCCAGCTTAAGGCCACCAATGACTCTCCTGTTGTCAGCACTCACTCTGTCCCCACCAGAATTACTGATGAAGCACGGAGACCTGAAGTAGCATAGCTGATAGCTGGATCTCCTTTGATCAGTAAATTTTATTGAGAAAAAAGAGTGATCCCCTTTGACTGCCCTCACTTTTTTGATATAATGAAATACACATCTAATTGCTATTTAAAAAATAATTAAACACAAAACCTTAAAATAATTAAACACAAAACCTTAAAGACTCACCCCATTATTACATAAAGCAATTCAGCTCTGCCTAAGCAATTATACCCACATTTATATATGCAGGACACACACACACACACACACACACACACAAAGGTGAGTCAACCTAATGTAGTCCCTGGATTTAAAGGGCAATTTCAGAGCACTTTGCAGTACTTAAGCATGCACACTGGAATCTCCCTTGCCCCAAATGTTTTACCAACACATTTCCTCCAAATAAAACAAAATGAAATAAAACAACACTCCCCAAGGAGAACTTTCAAACCAGCTGCTAAGAGGAAAAAACCAACAACGTTCTTTATCACTTTACACAAACTTCTACTTAGAATCTTGAATGTCTCACAAACTAGCTTGTCTCTCTGCCAACTAGTTTCTTAGCAGCCTTTTTATTATTATTATTATTCAGTGGCATTTAGCAGACGGAAAAACCCTAGATCACAGAGAAAAGCTCAAATTATAATCATACACAAACTTATCTGAGTTCCAACAAAAAGTCTTAAAGGCCCTAGTCACTTATTTATAAACACATGAAATTATTTGTTTCCATTTGGAAAAATAGACTGACATAACTGGAGAACACACTTATTACTCATAAAGCAGACGAAGCAAAAGTAGACATTTGACATATAATAAAACAACTTCAATATAATTAATGTAAATTACAGAAAGTTCCCATTTTTAGGAGTGTTGGATCCACCATCCCGACCACCACCACCACCATTACCACTACCACTAACATTAAAAAAAGAAAAAGGTGTTTAACTGGAAGCAGAATTGTTTTATAAAAATGCTTACAGAATAAAATTTTGTCAATATACTTCTGAGTGTTCAGAGTTTAAAGCATTCACCAAGGAAGCTATTCTAGAATCTCAAATTGTCTAGTTTTAAATAAGAAAAGAAAACTAAAAATAGAAGCAGACCTCATCCTTTTTTTCTTGTTGACCTCTTAGAACCGTCAGTTGCATATAAAGTTATTTCTAATTATAAGATATAAAAGTTCATAATACTTCCCACTCACTTGGCTTATTTGAAGTCTATTACAAGATATGTATAGATTCTCGTAGGAAACTTTGTTAACTTACCATCGCTATTAGTCTTCAGAATGAATTACATAAAATCAGAATGCATTGCTATGCCCCTTTGTAATCAGCTGCTTTGCTCAATTGCTACCAAATTCAAATTAAAGCAAATGATGGCTTTTGGAGACCATTAGGAATAATTATCCTTTCTACAATCCATAATTTGATCGTGGATAATTATGTGATGTAACAATAGAATAATTAGACTTATTTCTCTATCTGTGTTTGTGTGTGGCCTAGTCATGCCACATTTGCCAAATTATATTTTTAAATGACCTATTAAAATTATTCATCTCTATAAATGTAACTGCTAGAAAAGATTTAGATAATTGCAATGGATGTGTTACTCAAGATTGTATTTTATTTTCCTTTCTTATTACTAAAAATATTAATTTCAGTAAAAATGTTTTATACTGAATTATTTCAATGGGCTAGATACTATTAGTAGATAAGTAAGCAAATCTGACTTGGAAATCATTATGGAACATCAGTCCTGGGGAGGAGAAAGACAATCGTCAAAAACCACACAAATAAATACAGATTTACAATTGGAAACATGATGAAAGAAAAAACAGTCTTCTGTGAGTGAGTGTGATTGAAACAGCAACCTGTGAACTAAGATTTTTTTATTGTGGTAAAATATACATGACTTCATATTTATCATTTTAACCACAATTCACTGCCATTAAATATATTCACAATGTTGTACAACCATTGCCACCGTCTACACCCAAAATGTTTTCAGCATCCTCAACAAAAATTCTCTACAGATAAAACCATAACTCCTCCTTCTGCCCCTGGTATCTTCTATCTATTTTCTGTCGCTACAGATTTGCCTACTCTTGCTACCTGATCACTACAGTCTGAATGTTTGGGTCCCCTGAAGTTTTGTATGTTGAAATTCTAGCCCCCAAGCGGATGCTAATAGGAGGTGGGGCCTTTGGGAGGTAATTAGGTCATGTAGTCAGCGACTTCATAAATTAGACTAATGGCCTTATAAAAGAGGCCCAAGAAAGACCTCTTACCCTTCTGCCACGTGAGGATGCAGCAAAAAGATGACCATCTGTGAACCAGGAAGCGAGCCCTTATCAGACACTGAAGCTGTTGGTGTCTTCATCTTAGACTTCCCGTCCTCCAGAACTGTGAGAAATAAATTTTTGTTGTTAATAAATTTCTGTTGTTAATACCAGTTTATGGTATTTTGTTCTAGGAGCCTAAACAGACTAAGACACTGATACAACTGGAATCACACAGTATTTGTCCTTCTGTCTCTGACTTATTTCACTAAGTATGTTTTCAAGATCCATCCATCTTGTAGCATGATATAGTTTGGATGCTTTTTCCCCTCCAAATCTCATTTGGAAATGTAATCCTTCAATGCTGGAGGTGGGCCTAGTGGGGAGTGTTTGGGTCATGGAGGCAAATCTCTCATGAATGGCTTCATGCTGTCCTTGCAGTAATGAGTGAGTTCTCAGTCTGTCAGTTCATGCGAGATCTGGTTGTTGAAAAAACCTGGCATTTCCTCCCATTCTCTCTGCTGGCTCCTATTCATCTTCCACCATGACTGGAAGCTTCTTGTGGCCCTCACCAGAAGCAGATGTGGACACTATGCTCACGTACAGCCTGCAGAGCTGTGAGCCAAATAAACCTCTTTTCTTTATAAATTACCCAGCCTCAGGTATTCCTTTATAGTGACACAGAACAGACTAATACAGAACACATACCATTCTGGCTAACACGGTGAAACCCCGTCCCTACTAAAAATACAAAAATAAAATTAGCTGGGCTTGGTGGCGGGCTCTTATAGTCCCAGCTACTCGGGAGGCTGTGGCCAGAGAATGGCATGAACCCGGGAGGCGGAGCTTGCAGTGAGCTGAGATCATGCCACCTGCGCTCCAGTCTGGGTGACAGAGCGAGACTCCATCTCAAAAATAAATAAATAAACATAAATAAATAAATAAATTACATTCTTTTTATGAGTGAATAGTATTCCATTGTGCTTGTATACAACATTTTGCTTATCTATTTATCTGTTGATGGGCACGGATTGTTTCCACCTCTAGGCCATTGTGAATAATGCTGCCATGATGATGGGTGTACGAATATCTGTTCTAGTCCTTATTTTCAATTCCTTTGGGTATACACCTAGAAATAGAATTGCTAGATCATATAGCAATTCTGCATTCAATTTTTTGTGGAACTGCCATACTGTTCTCCACAGTGGCTGCATCATTTTACATTTCCCTCCAGTGATGTACAAAAGTTCCAATTTCTCCACATCCTCACCAACACTTTTTACTTGCTGTTTTTTTAAATATAATGGCTATTATATTTTAAAACATTTTAATTATATTATTATTTTTAAAAATTATATGTTATTATATATAATATATTGTATAATAGCTATTATATATTACATACAATATAATAATATATATTATATATGTAATACAATAGATAATATATATCATATATATTATATAATAGTCATTATATATTTTTTATATATAATGGCTATTATATCCTAGAAAGCATAAAGTGATACCCCATGATTTTAATTTTCATTTCACTAATGAGGCTGAGCATCTTTTCACATACTTATTGGACTGTATATCTGCTTTGCAAAAGTGTCTATTAAAGTTTTTGACCACTTTTGAATTGCTTTGTGTTTTGTTGTTGAGTCTTAGGAGTTCATTATATATTCTGGATATTAATTCCTTAGCAGATATATAATTTGAAATTATTTTCTCCTATTTGTTAGGTCATGTTTTTGCTTTCTTAATAATATCCTTTGATGCACAAAATTTTTTTAATCTTGATGAAGTTCAATTTATCTACTTTTTGTTTTGTGGCCTGTGCTTTTGGTATAATATTCATAAAAGTGTTGCTAAATCCAATCTATTGAGGATTTTTCCTAATGCTTTCTTCTAAGAGTTTTATAGTTTTAGCTCTGAAGTTCAGGTTTTTTTTATCCATTTTGAGTTCATTTCTGTATATGCTATAAAATAAGGGTCAAACTTTGGTCTTTTGCATGTGGATATCCAGTTTTCCCTGGAAAAAAATTGTTGAAAAGATTGTCCTTTGCCACTGAATAGTCTTGGCACACTTGTAGAAAATCAATTGACCGTGTATGTGATGGCTAACTTCTGGGCTGAAAACTGATGTTTTAAGGATGGACTGGAGTTAAATTAGTCTGGCATTTAAAGTCTGTTTGGGGTAATTCGGAGTTATTCAATTTACTCTGGTTTTCCAGCAGCATAATATAGGGTGACACTAAATCCATTCTTCTTCCTCATCCTGCAACCAATGTGAGTCATAAATATGCCAGTTTTTATTTTTTCTAGTATCCAACAGGTCATGATGATTCAGAAAAGCAAAACTCCCAAGGCCACCTATTAATTCTCATAAATAGTACAGAATAAAGTTGCAAGGAAGAAGAACCTAATTATCTAACAGTTAGTGAAGCCCACCTTGCCCACAATAAGATTAGTAATTTACGCTATAATCAAGAGCAGTATCAGAAAAATTTCTTCCAGGCAATTAAAAGATTTGTGGCAGGAGAAGGGAAGGGGAGTTGGAGTTGTCAGTGGGGATTTAATGACAGTTAACGGGGGAAATTTCTGTAATTTGAACTAATTATATTTTAGATTTTTATTATCTATCAAATGTCTCTTCTTCATTAATTTACTTTGAAGGAAGGAATATATCAAGTTAAGGAATTTACTCTATTTTCCAATATGAAAATAAATAATTTCATGTCTTCACTTAAAGGGATTAAAATTTTATGCCTATATTTTTGTTGAATTTAAATATGAGTAGACCATGATTTTAAAAATCGTGTCCCACTTTCAAACTGCATCTTTTTAGGTTTCTAATAAATAAAAAGTGGGCTCATTTTCAAGTTATATACCTTTTCATGATTGCTGCTTTAGCTACACAAAGACTCAGATGAAGTTTGAAATTATTGCTTGTAAGAGCCTAATCAATTTTATAGACAAGTCAACATCACCTTCCTGTCTCTCCTTGGGTTGTGAAGGTGCAGGGAAGAGGAGGAGAAGAGAAAAGGTGGGAAACAGGGTAGGGATGGCAATTCCCCCCCTCCAATTACGTGTGTGAGTATGTTTATTTAAACTCCATGATTTAAATATTTCAAAATTATACATTTAATTTTAACAGCATTCATTTGTACTGTCACTGATGGTTGCATTGCTATTTGAAAAGTGAAATGGTCAAGTGCCCCCAAAATATTGTGTCTCTTTTATGTAAGACACAAAAAAATTGTGTTTTCTTTTACATAAATGTTTCTAGAAATGCAATAGACAACATTTATGTGTATTATGAAATGGGAGAGAAATTTTTTGCTACATGAAGAAATTTCATGACGTACTTATTCCAATGACTTACCATAGAATTGTTCTGGAATATTATGCTTATTAAGACCTTGTACTTGGTTTGACATCTGTCACTTTAATTATGCTTTCTGTATTTTAAGGCTTTCTTGTTATCTTTTACCTATTTTGCTTTTGGATGAAGGAACCATGTCCATTTGCTTGTATCTTTTATCCATGACTTGTGAGGCTAACACCCTATTTTAAAGATAATCTTTCATGATTATCTTAGAACATTAAAATTCTTTTACCTAATTATGTCTGCAATAACTATTGACTTCCTCTGATGGATGTCAAGGAATTTTTCACTGATGACATCCCTGTCTTTGCTATTTCTCTTTTATATTTTGCATTATGACAACCTGGATATTTAAAATATTCTTTTAAAAACAGACTTTGTTATTATACTTACATATGATATTTTACTTTTGTCGTCATAATTACCCTCAATTACTTAATTTTCCTCTTACTATTGATTCATGATTTGCAAGTTTGTATTTTGTTTTGTGTTTTATTTATCCTACAATTTTAGATAGTTTAAGTGATTATAACCACTTTTTCTCAATCACATCTTCCCTAATGAAGAATGCAATTGATTATTCATCTCCTAATTGTTCAGAGCACATTTGTAATGCATCTTGCTGGAAACAGACTTGAGTGGCAAATTTTCTAAGAATTGCAGATTTGAAAATGGCCTCATCTTGCCTTTTGAGAATAATTAGCCCTTGGCTAAAGATCTAATGTCTGCGTCTGTATCTATTAGAGATGTGTGAAGTTGCAAGTAACACAAATTGCAATCACAGGTGTTTATTTTCCTCATGCAACAAGAAGTCTAGAGGTATATGGTCGCTAGCTTTGGCTCAGATGCCAATATGGTGCTGGAACTCCAGCCCTCATGTCTGTGGTAGGCAGAATATTGGTCCCAAAGATGTCTACATCCTAATCATTGGGACCTGTTGATACGCTCATTTACATGTCAAAGGAAAATGAAGGTTGCTAATCAGCTAACCTTGAGATGGGGACATAACCCTGGATTATCCCGGGGGGCCCGAAGTAATCACACAAGTCCTTAAAAGCGGAAGAAGAGGCCGGGCACGGTGGCTCACATCTGTAATCCCAGCACTTTGGGAGGCCGACGCGGGCGGATCACGAGGTCAGGAGATCGAGACCATGCTGGCTAACACGGTGAAACCCCGTCTCCACTAAAAATATAAAAAATTAGCCGGGCGTGGTAGCGGGCGCCTATAGTCCCAGCTAGTCGGGAGGCTGAGGCAGGAGAATGGCGTGAACCCGGGAGGCGGAGCTTGCAGTGAGCCGAGACTGCTCCACTGCACTCCAGATGTTGCTGGATTTGAAGATAAAGGAGAAGACCTCAAACTAAGGAATACAGTGGCTTCCAAGAACCACACTGGGAAAAGTGAGGAAACAGACCCTCCTTAGTGACTCCAAAAGGAACACAGCCCTATCAATACCTGGATTTTAGCCCACGGAGGTCCACTTCCGACTTCTGATCTTTGGAACTGTAAGATAATAATTATGTGTTGTTTTCAACCACTAAGATTTTTTCTGGCATTGATAGAAAACCAATGCAATGTTTATGTTTATTTCAAAGTAAGACAGAGGAGAAGAGGCCGTGCCGGGGAATTTGATTATACCGGGAATTCTAAATTTAAGTTTAGGATTCCCTGGCTAATTTTCATATTTTTAGTAGAGACAGGGTTTCATCATGTTGGCCAGGCTGGTCTCAAACTCCTGGCTTCAGGTGATCCACCCTCCTCAGCCTCCCAAAGCGCTGGGATTACAGGCGTGAGCCACCACGCCCTGCCTGACTGTTATGTTTGTCTTCCCCCCGCCACTGTCCCTTTTTATCTCAACCTTTTAATATAGCTTCCACATCTGCTTTTAACTCATTAAGAATATAAAGTGAAGACTTTTTCTTTGAACTCTTACATCTTCATTCCTTTTCTACTTTGCTTCAGATTGTTAAAAGATCTCAAGTGCTGTCGTTGCTGTTTACTCATTCTTCATGTTGACTAGCTCCACTTTGTCGGTGGTGCTTTAAGTTCTGATGGGATAGATTCTCAGAATCCATTTGAATGTAGAGAGAGACGTATACTATAAGACAAGAGAATATGGGAACCAGGAAATGTGTCAGCCACATCTACAAGTAGAAGGCAGATCTCATAGAAATGCAGGCCACCCTTTCAGTTTAGGAAATGCAAATGTTTTCAGAGAGCACTATCTGGAGGCGCAGCTCCAGAAATAGACTGCATTCTACTGGAAGAGCCGACCAGGGGACCATCTGCTCCACATCATAGATCATCCCATCTCCTATATGCACCTGAATGGAAAAGATACAAACCAGGAAAGGAGCAAAGAATGGTGTGGAGTGTTGATCACTTCTGCTCTGCATATGAGGACTGCCCTGCCCAAAATCTTATTAAAATCTAGAATGTTTTCAAGTCCTATTGTTTGTATGGGTAACTGCAAAGGATTTGTTATTTTTCTTTTGAGATCATGTCATGGTTATTTTAGAAAGAGGACACTCCTAGCATTTCCCTTCACTCCACTAACTTCCTGGGGACCATCTTTGAGCATTAAACCTATGTAAAGACAGTGGTCTGGGGGAAAGTACCAGCAAGTATATCCTATAAAAAGGAGATAGAGATCTCTGTTGATTGCAGGGAAAAATGTAGATTACCGTGATCATTTTATTTCATTTGTGGCAGAGGCTGCTGTTCCCCTGGCTAACACGCTTTCTTTCTTCCTCTCTTAGGTTTAACAGCTTTAATTTCATTTTGTGCAGCATGTATTTTGCAGGTTTCAAGCAGGTAGGGGTGGTCACGTGACACTGTCCTGGCCAATAATACATATGAAGTCACTGAATGGATCTTCCAGAAAGGTTCTTTGAACAGTGCTAATTCAGCTGGATGTAGCGTTTTAATCCTGTTCCCTTCTTTTTCTTGCCTGAAATTTGTAGACCTCATAGCTGGAGCTCTGGCTAAAATGTTGACAATCTGAGAACAAGTCCTCATCCTAAAGTTGGAGTCTTGTTGACTTGGGACCTTCATCGTATTTCTGTGTTATCTAATTTGTTTAAACCACTGTTGTACAACTTTGCTGTTACATATAGCTGAAGTCAACCCCTAACTGAGAGAAAAGCCATCCTCTTTCTCTTGGAGGCACTAATATCTCTGAATACCTTGTTATTATTGCATGGTTAAAGTAATATCAAAGTGTAGGACTATGATGGGTAAACTTTAATACCACCATGAAGGGTATCCATTACCCTTGGTCTACAAATCAGTTGCAATCTAGGTTTGACTTTCAAACAAACCAGTAACATAGGAGAATTTTTGAACATTCTAGAAGTTTCTGAACAGAAAACAATAAAAGCTTTAGTTGTACAAATGGGCATTTAACACTTCCATTGGTAAAGTGTTTGGAGACTAGACTCCAGCTTTTAGGAAGTGCAACTGCACCTAGAGGCCACAAAGCCTCAAGACAGTTCAGTGAAGGGCCTGAGCCCTGTGAGGTCATGCATTGGGAGCTATAACTAATGTTTTGGAATAAGAGATAGGGGACTCAGAAGACTCCTTTATGGCTTTTTACTAGAATTCTTATCAGTGAAATTATTTGTAAAGCTCTTTGTTTATGACAACATCAGCTTACATTAGCTGTTCTAAGGGGAAATAAGGAAGAAGAAAATTGCACATCCTAGGGGAGTGAGCAAAGCCCAAGAAGGAGGCAAAAACTCAGAAAAAATGAGGCAGAACCAATCTAGGAGCCTTCCTATCTCACCTGGAGTTTTCTACTCAGCAGTTCCTTTTGGTTCCAAATTTACATAATAGATTGTTGTGTGCCAGAAATGATTAATTCTGTGAGCCATAAACTTTATTAGGTCCTGCCCATTAGCAATACTCCAGGGTTTTTTTTTTGAACAAGTCAAAAAAAAAAATATATATATATATATACACACATATATATATAGAAAGAAACAGGGTCTCACTCTGTCGCCCAGGCTGGAGTGCAGTAGGACAATCTTGGCTCACTGCAACCTCCGCCTCCCGGGTTCAAGCGATTCTCCCACCTTGGCCTCCTGAGTGTCTGGGACTATAGGCATGCATCACCATGCCTGGCTAATTTTTGTATTGTTTGGTAGAGATGAGGTTTCACCATGTTGGCCAGGCTGATCTCAAACTCCTGACCTCAAGTGATCCTCTCACCTCAGCCTCCCAAAGTGCTGGGATTACAGGCATAAGCCACTGTGCCCATCCACATAGAAAAAGTTTAAATATTATTTTTTATTGATTCATTCTATAACACTTCTAAGCACCTGGAGTGTCCCAGGCACCAAACAAATTATAGCAAAAAATTTACATTAAACTTTAAAAAGGAATTCATTACTTTGCTTTTTAATAGCTGCAGGTTGCAGCATACTTTAACAATGCATTCTATGCTCTCCACCTACCATTAAAACTTGGTTTGATAAGACATAGGCAATTAGGATGCAAAGCCGACTAATCACAAATTTAAACCTCTTTGCATCCTGAGTATGACACTTCCTTTGAAAACTAGATGCCTCTCAAATTTTATTAACAAGACAAATATAACTAATTACACAAGCCTTGAGCAGCAAAAACTTCATTTCATATTATAGTCACCTAATATGAGGTATATCATGAAATAGAAAAGAAGGCAGATATTTTTACTGTTATGTCAATACAGGATACGTTGCAAATTACTACAGGAATTTCTGGGTTTTATAAAGTAACAACTACGGTTTGGTTTTGTCCATATTTTTATTTTAACATAATCTAGTTATGTGTCTTTTTTTTAAGTTTTCAATATAACCATAGATGTCTAGCAATCAGGCATGTTAATGTATGAGTTACGTAATTCCACACACAATGCAAATTCTGTTTCTTTGCAGAAGTCTTTGAAAGCCTTGGAGATAACCAGAAAATGAAGGAAGCCCTCCACCACTGAGTTTCAGGGCAAAGGGAAGAAACAAGATAAAGTAGAACCGTCAGTACAAGTGGAATTATTAATGACGTCCAAATGCAGTCATTAAATACTATCAGACTTATTTATTGACTCCTGATATTAAGAGTGAACAAACCCCTGGCCAAGTGGGAACTTGCTCGGTAGCCTTTATCTTTCTATCACTCATTCAGTCAATTCATTAAAGCCTGTTTGTCTCTCCCAGGTGACTCTGAGTTTCATTGTTTTGTTTATTGTGTTTGTTGGCTCATAGATCTCTTTCACAATTTTCTTCGGCTTCTGAATGCTCTTTAAGTACCAGTTTTGATCAGCCCATTTGCTTTAATAAACAGGAGAGCAAGATGGGACAGGGCGATACAGGGAGAAAAGGGGGCAAAGGGAATCGCACCGGGTGCTTGTGCTCCCTAGAAAAACCAGCAGGTGGTAGCAACACTTCGTGGCAAGGCCCCAGCCCAGCTCTGTAGGACCCAAACAATAGACCCCAAATCCCCGTCCTCGGCTAGAGAAGGGGTTAGAGGTGGGCGGAAACACTTTTCCTCGCGGCGCCCCCTCGGTTCCTCAACCCTGCCTCCAAGCGCCAGCTGAGAGCACCTTGCACCGCCCCTCCTCACTGCAGGGAGGTTCTCTCCGGAGCGCGGGCGAGGGAGGAGGCACCCAGAGGTGCAGCGACTTGCCCAAGCCATGTCAGAGCCAGGCGTACAGCAGCGCTTCCCCTTTTCAACCCGACTGCCCTGCCCCTTGGGGAGGGTAGATGGAGGGAGGTTCGACTCAGAAGCCCCAACGTTGACCAAGATCCAGACACGAAAAGAGAAAAGAGTTCCCGGCTAGCACGGCGACGCTTTCATACCGAGACGCCCCCCTCTCCCGCTGCCTCGGCTCCCCCTACCACCGCCCGTACTCTCCCAGATTTCTCAGTTTGTCTTTCCCTCCACCCCCTGCTTTTCCTTCCTTCTCTCTTGCTCAGCTCACGCCCACCTTAGTTCAAAGCTGAGTAGGAGCCCCACTGTTTTAGTTCCTAGAGTTAAAGCCGAAGAGGAGGGAGGCGCGAGGGGGTGTGTGCAGGGCTCTGCCCTGCCCTGAACTGCCACGGTCCGCCAGTTGCGCTTCGCTCCGCGGGTGTCCGACCCAAGCCGAGCCCGAGCCCGAGCCCAGGCAGGGGCTTTACAGACAGCCTCTTCCCTTCCCACTTCCTGCAGGCGCCCCACGCGTGCGATCCTCCCGGCCAAGACCCGCGGGAGGAGGCCGCCCCCTTCCCGGCGCACAGGCGGGGCCCCGGGCGCGCCCCGCGTCTCCCCCGCGCGCCGGGGCGGAGGAGCGGGCGCCGCGCACTCACCGCCTAGGCCGGGAGGGCGGGCTCGGCTCCCCGGAAGAAGGGAGTGGGAAGGCGGCCAAAGGGGCTGAAGGGGCGGGCCGGGCCGGCTTGGGAGGGGACGCGGAGGGGGCGGGCCGGGCTGCGTTCGCTCCAGCCGCGGCTCTACAGCAGCGGGCGGCGGGACCCGGGACCCAGCTTGGCGACGGCGATCTCGACGCGGGCCCCCAGGATCTCCCGGCGCCCCACCTCTGGAGCAGCCCCTGCCGCCAGCGTCAGGTCCACCCCGGAATCCCAGGGACTCTCGGCGCCGAACGGACCCGGGCCGGGTGCAACGGGGTCCCCGGACTGGAGAAGACGCGGGTGGCACCGTGCGAGCTCCAGGAGCCCCGGGTCCACTGCGAGGCCTCGGGGGGCGCAGACCTGCAGAGACTGCGGCCAACGGGAAGGTGAGCCCGCGGGGTTAGCAGGCGGCGTTGTGGGGGTCGGGGACAGTATGCTTGGGGACAGAGGAATTAAGGTTTGCAAGAGTAGTGGGGCTCCCCAGCCCCTAGGTGGCTTCCTGAGGGAGTACTGAGGATCCTTCCTCAAGGCCAGAGTGGGGTTCATGAAGGGTGAGGAAACGGTCAACCTGGCTACTCCCCTCTCACTCCACTCTGACCTGGCATCATTGACACCGCATTACCCTTGCTGTTAGGATCCCCCAGTTGCGTTCCCAGACATTCTCCTCTGGCTCTGGCTTGGGAGTCCTAATCTGGGAGGGTCCTCGCAGAGACGGAGCTCCACGCTTGGAACAGGATTGCCACCCCTCTGACTCCAGTGGCATCACTCCAATCCCCTTGGAGCTGGGAGGAGTCAGGAGGCTGACCACACACCTGTCCCCTGCTCCCCACAAGGCACTGTCCCCCCCAGCTCCATGACCACAGTTAAGCCTTGGAGGTGGAAGGAACGCTTGGTTCCTGCTGCCCAGCCATCACCCCCAACGTGCAACCAAATTCTATTGCGTGCTCCTGCCCCAGCTCCACCCTCGCTCTGCTCCCTCCATCTGGGTGCTTGGCCCTGCTTGCCCCACACCCCCACCCACCGATCTTGGCCGTCTGGCACCCTCTCTCCTCCCATCCCTGGGGGAGCTGGCATGGACCCAGCATAGCAATGTTGTAATGTCCCTGGCAGCGCCCATGGAGCGGAGCTGCTGGGTCTGTTCCCAGTTAACCCAGGCCCTCCGCCCGCCAGGGGAACTTGACTGAGGCTCTAGGAGGGGAGATGCTGGTCCTGAGCTGAGAGACCAGTGGGAGGGAGCTGTGTGGGGCTGTTAGTAGACCACAGAAGCTGCCCAAGTAAGGGGCATTGGAGCATTGAGGCTTCTGAGTGCTGCTCAGTGGGGCCACTTGGCTTTTCAGAGCAGTGGGCCTTTTTTCTCAAAGGAAGATTAGCGTGGGGGTGTCTATGTACTTACCTGGTGGCCTCAGAAGGAGGACTTGTTTGGAGTCTATTACTCCATTCAGGGTGCAAAAAGATGGTTGGCAATGACACTGAGTTACCAGAATGCTGGGGAGCAACAGGCTGGGGTGGGCTGAGCGTGGGAAAGGCAGGATCCTCCTTCTGGGACGGCTGTTCTGCTATCACTCTGTCCTGAGCCTGGGCCCTAGACCCTGAGTTCCCACTCTAGGTAGAAGGAGGATGGCAGGTTCTGGAGGGTTTGGGAAGCCTCAGGTTTCCCTTTCTTTATCCACTCCTCCCCGCCCCCCACTTGGCTCCCTCTCCCAGCCCAGGTGTTTCTGCAGAAGTACCTCCTGGGGCCAAGAGCAACTCACAGCCAGACTGGGGGTAGAGCAGGGGCCGAAGGTGAGGAAGAAGGGCCCATGGAACCACTCCGGAACCAGCACTGATGTGCATCTTCTGCCACAGGAAAGCAACAGCCCCCATCAACACAGACAGCATCTGCTCCCGCCCACCTCATCTCATACACATTCCCTTACACACTCCACCAGGTAGACACACATCCTCAGGCACTGCTGACGCAGGTGCTACTCCTGGCACTCAGGGGCTTTCTTCCACAACCTTCCACTTACTCATCTCTCAGGCACATTTGCCTCCTGCCTTAACACCCTCCCTTATGCTCTTTTCCAGAGCCACGCATGTCCCCCGTCAGTGCACAGAGTGGCTCATTCTAAGTGGCTGTCTGGCTAGACCTAGACACTGCCTGCATCTTAAAAGCCTCCCCCAGCTCCACAGCCTGGGAGTGGGAGGCACATTTGTCTGAGTCACAGTGCTCTGGGGGACATTCTCAGGGGCTGGAGGCCTCCAGGGACACAGGACTGTCCTCTGCTAGGTAATCTACAAATTGGCTTCTCCAGCCAAGGAAGCAGGGACTAGAAGAGCCGGAGGACAGCCACCTCCTCACTGTCTGTCCTGGATGCCTCCATGAAGCCTGATGATGGGATCCTTCTCAAGGCAGGAGGCCAGAGCACGAAGAGATCTCCAAGGTGGAGATTAAAGGATAGAGGCTTTGGCATTAAACTGAGCAAGGATTATACTGGAATTTCCTGGGCGTTTAACAGCTGTGGAACAGGATAGGGGACAGGGCCTGTGGTACTGACCCCTCCCACACTGACCTGTGTGGCTCACAGGTGTAAGGACCAGCCCAGCAACCACACCAGACATAAAACCTCGAACCGCTTTGCCCTTGGGACTGTTCTGTCCCTGCTGGACTCTGCAGCCTGCTTTGTCTCACTAAATTGTTCCTGTCTGGGCTCGGTTTGGGGCCATGCCCTTTACTATGTGTTCCCAGTGGACAGTCCCCTGGGTTCCCCTCTGTCCCTTCATAGCCTCATCCCTTTGCTTGACATCGTCGAAGAGAAGCATGCATGATGTCAGCAGCGGGACAGTTGGAACTTCTTGGGAGACAAGCTTAAAGACTAGCCAGAGATAACAATTATTTTGGTTTTCTTGTTGGCATTACTTCACTCATTCATTCTCAGCTCCTACTGTATTTCCACCTCTACCTTCTTCTTATAGATGAACATTTCTTGATATTTTGAAACATAGAAGGAAAATGGCATGGGGAGTGAATAAAATGTAAACGTATGCTTATTTGTCTAGGTTTTACAAATATTTTTCTTTTTTGTTTAGATTTTAATTATGAGATTTTACGTTAATTATAAAAATAAGGTATGCTTACTGTAACAAGAAAAATAATTGAATTATGTGTAAGACAAAATTAATGCCCCCACCTACAATCCTTCATTTCTACCTCCCACAGTAACCCATTTTAATGGCCTAATATGTCTTCTGCCTACCTTCCTCCAAGCTTATTTGGCTTACATTATTTAATCTTTAAAAATTCACTTTGTGGATTGAGGTGCATAAACTATATTAAGTAAGCTTGATTTGCTCATGAAAATATCATGTTTAGCATTTAATTGGAGCACGATTAATTTTTTAAATTCTTACCAATTTACCAATTTAATTTACTTTTAAGTCATTCTTTTTTTTTTTTTTTTTTTTTTTTTTTTGAGACAGCATCTTGCTCTGTCGCCGAGGCTGGAGTGCAGTGGCACGATCTCGGCTCACTGCAAGCTCTGCCTCCCGGGTTCACGCCATTCTCCTGCCTCAGCCTCCCCAGCAGCTGGGACTACAGGCACACGCCACCACGCCCAGCTAATTTTTTTTTTTTTTTTTGTATTTTTAGTAGAAACGGGGTTTCACCGTGTTAGCCAGGACGGTCTCGATCTCCTGATCTTGTGATCCGCCCACCTTGGCCTCCCAAAGTGAAATATTTCATTTTTATAGCAACATAACTCGTAAGCTATGCTTTGTAACCTATGATTCTACAAATCTTTACTTTTTGCCAGTTTCTGAAAACAAAACACAACCTTGATACCTAAGAAACAGTCTTATTTTTGTAAACCAAAGAGATGTAGCAGGCTTGTGGATCTATTGTCTCTACTGTATCAAAAAGATATTAAGTGATATATCTATAAAAGAAGCTGAGAACATATTATAAAGTCATAGACTGCAATTTTTGTTACCTAAAACTTTGTCTAATCCGTCTCGTTTTCTCCACCATTGTTTTATGTTCACATTTCTGCTGCTTCTGGTTTTATATTTTTAAAACCTTATACACATCTGAAATGTGAATATTTTTCTAAAGGAGATAAGTTCTTTTGCACATTCTTGTGTTAGAGAATTTCTAAATACTGACCAGTTCCTTTTGTAAGTCAGAGGAGAGAGGACTCTCAAGCAGGCTGTGAGAGAGGAGCAAGGGGCCTGGCTTTGCAGAGGCTGCTTCCCATCTCTGTGGCAGGAGAAATGTACTGGCCTGTCCCTGGGATGCTCTCCTGGACCAAATGCAGAAGATGCTCCATGCCCACAACCATTGAAGACACCTTTGAAAAATCAAGTTCTGAGTCCTGCTTACTTAGCATTCCAGGCATGTGGAGCAGCCGTGTTCTTGTCACTTATGTTTCTGCCTTTGAAATTGGCTTCAAAAGAATCTGCAGTGGTATGAATTTGCTGACAGCAATTTATTCCATATCTTAATAAAGCTTCCTTTTTCTTTATTTGGATTCCTGCAACAGGGGTACACCCATATTCTTTTTATATATTAAAATTAAAAGTCTTGAATTTATCTGGTTTGTTTGATAAGTAAGAACTCACCTAACTTCCTAGTCTGACTCAGCAACAATTTTTTTTTTCTGAAAAAATGTATTTATAACCTTCAGTCATCTGGATCTGAATCTAAAAGAGGTCCTCATCAAACATTAGAAGTATCCTTCTGGGTACTTTAAGATCCTCAACCATTTCTTTTTAATGAATATCTTTGTTCTTAGTAAAATTTCAAAAAATTGCTGAAGTGGTCATCCACAGGCAGTGTCTCCATTTTCTTCTTTTCTTTATGCTGTTTCTTGATGGCAGAAGCTGAGTGGCCTTAACATCCATGTTTCATAATTGCTTTTGCTCTTTTCTGGATCTTCTGGAGGGAGGCCAGCTTCGTGTTGTCATTACGAGGCATGCTAAGGCTATGCAAGCACGCCCTATTGCAACCACAAGTGACTGTGTTCCTTGTAGTTCGGGTCATCAAAGCAAATATCTTGCTATTCATCTTCCAGAGTGTTCCATATTGGACAGCTGATACTATCTGCAGCGCATCTTTTCTATCTTGCTTGGCTGTCTTTCAAAATAATTCATTGAAATATTTCCAAAATATTTATTGTTCCTTCTTCATGATTATTTGCCTAGTTGTAAGCTTGAGAAGACACAGGGCTTACTGTTTCTTCTTTGTACAGATTACAGAATCCATCCATGTTCTGAGTGAAAGAAAGAGACTATTTTAAAGAATAACTTCTAGGCAAATGGTAAAATAGCCTTCATTGTTTAAAAACCTGCTGCTGGCATTTTCTTTCCCTGATAACAGTATTTCTAAGGACTCCGTGATTCTGGTTTGCTTCAGTGTGTCAAGCACGTCTCCAAATTAAGCCATTGAGAGTTTGGAGGGGATGCACTTACAACATGAATTACTTTAGGATATTTATTAAACAGCCACTGGTGACGGTGCCAAGGTTACAGAATTTAATAGCTATGCCTGCTTTTTACTTCATGATCTCCCCGTTCCTCTCCAAAGCATTTATTTCATCTGTGAAGGATCCTAGTAGCATTTCAGACATTTTTGCAAAGAACATTACTTAAGAGCAATTTGCCATATGGAAATGCTCCTTACTTGTCTCCATAGGCTGTAAATTGAACTCTCTATTTCACAAATAGGGTTAAAGATGTATAAAAGGTGAGTTTCAGGGGCTAGTTGGCAGGTGCCCACTCTACATCAGCCCACGCGTATGTAGAAATGGTGTATTTCCATGATAACTTCATGGACAGCACAGCCCGCAGTGCCAGAAAAAAATTAGTAGGAATCAAATTATGATTTTCATATTTGTTGCAATTAAAGTTTCATAGTTTGATTTTTGTTTTATGATAGCTTTCAACAATCCCAAGGCCATATATATCCAGGAAAAACAAATCACAACTTCTCTTCTAATTGGCTTTTTTTTTGTTTTCCTCTCAGTTCTATGTCTTTTGAGCAATCTGGGCAACATGTCTCTTTTTTTTCTTCACAGAAATAAAGGGATTATAGTCCACCCAATTCACAGACTTCTGAGACTCAGACACGAGGAGAGATAGAGAACCGCCAATCTCTAGATCAACAAGCAAAGGAGGTGCCAAGCCTGTTTGTCTTCATTGTGACACTGGAGGTAGCTATTCCTTCTGTTCATTTGCTCGTGAGCTTAGTGGTGTACCTTCTGAAGGCACAGGAAGGTTTTATATAAGAGGTAGCTTACTACATAGTTCTGAGAAGCCATTATGAGGATATGAACACTGTTTTGATTAACTTTACTAAACAGTTATTATTAAAGAAAATTTTAATCAATGATTTAGTTGAAAGAATACACATGCAACAGTTTAAGAATGCAAAAATTTAAATGGATACAATTAATGAGAATACAATGAAAGTTAAGTCTCCCTTGCACTGGGTCTCAGTCCACTTCCTTTGCCTTTTTCACAGGTTTTGGATGCTCTTCCATAGATATCCTTCCATACATATGTATGTGTATATATCCTTCTTAACAAAGGGGAGCTTACTTTACACTGTTCTCCATTGTCCCACTTTCACTTGGAAATGCTTTTTATATCAGTGCATAAACAGTTGCCCGTATTTCTTTCTAAGGATGTACTATAATTTTACTGTCTTCCAATTGATGGACAGTTAGTTTACAGCCTTTTCTCTTATAAACAATTTGCAATTAATGTCTTTGTTCAAACATCTGTGCAAACCCATACAAGTATACAGTACCTGAAGGACACATTCTTACAATGTAGTTGCTGGAAAGATATTACCCAATTGTCCTCCCAAGAGAATATTCCAATATGGATTCAAGCAGAGTATGTACAAGAGAACCTATTTCCCATATCTTGTCCAACATGGTAAAAATGGTGTCTTAGGCAACTGTGGCTGCCATAACAAAGTGCAATAGACCTAGTAGCTTATACACAATAGAAATATCTTTCTCACAGTCTAGATGCTGGGAAGTCCAAGATCAGGGTGCCGGCATGGTCAGTTCCTGGCGAAGCCTCTCTTCTAGGTTTCAGACTGCCCTCTTCTTTGTTGTGTCCTCGAATGGCAGAAAAAGGGTGAGAAAGCCCTTTGGGGTCTCTTTCATCTGGGCACTAATCTCATGATTAGTGAGGGCTCCACCCTCATGACCTAAAATTTCCTCCCAAAGGCCCCATCTTCTAATACCATCATCTTGGGAGTTAGGATTTCAACATATGAATGGAGGGGGGGCACAAATATTCCTTCTATAACAAATGGCCTGTTGCTGTAGTTTTAACCTGGTTTCCTTTCAATGTGAGCAAACAAGAAGCATCTTTTCATATGTTAAAGCCATAGGGTTATTCTTCTGTAAGCTCTAGGAAAACATGCACCCCTTGGGGCACGAGGATCTTTGTTCACAAAGTGTATGCCAGACCTCCATAGCTCTGCCCCCTCCCTGCACTGTCTCATTTATCAGACTGAATCTTCATGCCTGTGTTCTTTCTGTATTTATTCTGGTCCCTTCCCTCCCATCATACCCCACAGCCATCTTCCTGTGTCCCTCCCGCTTCACTGCTTCACTGCCCCTCTGAAATTTCTAGAGCATCCAGGTCCATCGGGGGTGGGGCGGTGTGGTGAGGATTCAATTCATGTGTCTGTAGGATGCAGCAGCTTCTTAACCAGCTGCCTTTAATGAAAATCTTCTAACTTCCAATACAGGGTGGCTGTTGGAGGAAGGGAGGAGAGTAAATGAAGAGAAAGAACTGGAATAACCCCTTGCAGAAAAAAAAAAAAGGGTAAGATTGACCCAGAAACACCCTCTGCCCCACTTCTAGGAAGGAGAGCTGTGAGAAATGAACACAGAGACAGGGTCACACAGGGAGTAGGCACGAACACTCCAAGATGGTCAAATGTGCACCGGCTCAGGAGAGGCAGTATGCAACCTGGCTTCTGTCCCATGGTGGGTGCTGGGGCGATTGGAGAGCTGTAGGAGGAGACACAGACACGGGGTCAGCTTTTGGAGCTTGGGCTGTATATGAAGAAACACTTTCTTCCCACCTGCCTCTTCTGGTCTTGTGTGTCTCCTCAGGAAGCAAGCTTAGCTGTACACCCTGAGTCTTGCAAAAGCTGCAGCCCCACCCAGGAGCAGGGTGGTGGCTGGGGCGATGGTGGACGCCCTGAAGATGTCCCATGGCTACTGAAGGGGCTGCCCAGTTAGGGAACAGAGTGGCGGGCATGGTGTGTAGCCTATGGGTGCTGCTCCTGGTGTCTTCAGTTCTGGCTCTGGAAGGTAAGAGGGAGGGGAGACAGGAGAACCCAGACCTGCCATAGAGACCCAGTGAAAGGGGGAAGTGGGAAAGATTTAGAAAAGGTAGATAAGAGTGAAGACATCAATAAAGGGAAAGGCATGGTGAGGATAATGAAGACCCACATCAGATTTGTCAGAGAAAGGACCCTGACGGACAGCTGTGCTCCTGCTGGCAAAGACATGGGCCCGGGTGGGGCATTCTTTTGTTCCCGGTGGGAATAGAGTAGGGGCTGGCAGTGCTGGCTGGAGGCTTGGCCACTGTGTGCCCCTCTTATTTCTGGGCAGAGGTATTGCTGGACACCACCGGAGAGACATCTGAGATTGGCTGGCTCACCTACCCACCAGGGGGGGTGAGTGCCACTCTAATTCTGAACCTGAATCCCTTGGCCCTGCCCCTCCCTGTTCCCTGGAGAGTGGAATTCATGAAGGAAACCCTGGGTGAGGATTATGGGAAAAGGATCCCTCCCTCTAGAGCACCAAGATTTCAAGGTATCCTCTATCTGCTTTGCTTGTCATTAATTTTAAGTCTCAGTGGAAGAGATATGTCCCCTTCCCTATAACCTCTACCTCGCCTTGCTTAAGCCCGGAGCCCCTAAAGCTTCTCCTGGCCCTTCCTGCAGTGGGACGAGGTGAGTGTTCTGGACGACCAGCGACGCCTGACTCGGACCTTTGAGGCATGTCATGTGGCAGGGGCCCCTCCAGGCACCGGGCAGGACAATTGGTTGCAGACACACTTTGTGGAGCGGCGCGGGGCCCAGAGGGCGCACATTCGACTCCACTTCTCTGTGCGGGCATGCTCCAGCCTGGGTGTGAGCGGCGGCACCTGCCGGGAGACCTTCACCCTTTACTACCGTCAGGCTGAGGAGCCCGACAGCCCTGACAGCGTTTCCTCCTGGCACCTCAAACGCTGGACCAAGGTGGACACAATTGCAGCAGACGAGAGCTTTCCCTCCTCCTCCTCCTCCTCCTCCTCCTCTTCTTCCTCTGCAGCGTGGGCTGTGGGACCCCACGGGGCTGGGCAGCGGGCTGGACTGCAACTGAACGTCAAAGAGCGGAGCTTTGGGCCTCTCACCCAACGCGGCTTCTACGTGGCCTTCCAGGACACGGGGGCCTGCCTGGCCCTGGTCGCTGTCAGGCTCTTCTCCTACACCTGCCCTGCCGTGCTCCGATCCTTTGCTTCCTTTCCAGAGACGCAGGCCAGTGGGGCTGGGGGGGCCTCCCTGGTGGCAGCTGTGGGCACCTGTGTGGCTCATGCAGAGCCAGAGGAGGATGGAGTAGGGGGCCAGGCAGGAGGCAGCCCCCCCAGGCTGCACTGCAACGGGGAGGGCAAGTGGATGGTAGCTGTCGGGGGCTGCCGCTGCCAGCCTGGATACCAACCAGCACGAGGAGACAAGGCCTGCCAAGGTGAGAGCCCACTCGTCTTGCACTTGCCCGACACCTCCCACCCACCCCCAGCCTTTGGGCTCCTCTCTGAACACCCCAAAATTCATTTTATCTGCAAAAGGTCAGGAATAAGCCATCTTAGGAAAGGACCCTGATTTTCCCTAATTTTATTTCTTAAAGCACTCAAACTTACTATCACCCACTCATCTGAAATTTCTGGAATCTTCTGGAGCCTTTCACAGCAATTGCCTTCTCCTAAGTCTTCAGGCCTGAGAAGCGATGGAGACCAAAAGGAGTTTAGCTCCAGCTCCAGGGTTACTATGGAATAGAGTCCTTTGGTTCCCATTCGCCCTTCTGTTGGGAGGGTCCCTGCCTCGCTGGGCCAGGTGACAGGGACGCAGGTAGAGGAAGGCAGTGGATGGCAGCTAGGGAGAATGACTGCAGCAGCAGGCCTCCGCAGAGGGAGCTTATGCAATAAGCTGGGAACACCCACATCTGGCACTGGGCCTGTCTGTAACCCCCACTGCACCTCACTTTCTCCATCCATGGAAATGCAATTCTGTCCCAGCAATTGGCAGAAGAAATCTCTGCCTGAGGGAAGAGAGGGTGGGGTTCAGTCTTGGAAGAAAAGGAGAACCAGCTCTGGGGAAGAGAAGGCTGCGAGGATACCTGCCTGCTGTGTGTTGGGAGCTCAGGGTGGGTGGACAGAGCGAGTGTGACGCCCCCACTCTCCTCTGCCTCCTCAGCCTGCCCACGGGGGCTCTATAAGTCTTCTGCTGGGAATGCTCCCTGCTCACCATGCCCTGCCCGCAGTCACGCTCCCAACCCAGCAGCCCCCGTTTGCCCCTGCCTGGAGGGCTTCTACCGGGCCAGTTCCGACCCACCAGAGGCCCCCTGCACTGGTGAGTTCCTCACCCAGCCCTGCAATGGGAAAGAGACTTGGAGAGGGGCCAGAAGTGGGGGTAGCAGGCAACACTGGGGGCTCTTTGCATTTGGAGTGACTTGTTTTTCCCCTATTTTCTTGGCTTCCTCCCCTCCCTGTCCCCACCCCCTTCTCTCCCTGACCCATCCTTCCCTGGGCCCACATCCTGCCTCTCTGGGCTACCCCCACCCCACGCTCTTCTGTCTCCTTCCCTCTCGGCCACCCACCCTCCCCTGGCTCCTTCCTTCCTCAATCACCCCCACTGCTGCCCTCTTGGCCCTTGGACTGCCATATCCTCCGGCCCCCCAGGTCCTCCATCGGCTCCCCAGGAGCTTTGGTTTGAGGTGCAAGGCTCAGCACTCATGCTACACTGGCGCCTGCCTCGGGAGCTGGGGGGTCGAGGGGACCTGCTCTTCAATGTCGTGTGCAAGGAGTGTGAAGGCCGCCAGGAACCTGCCAGCGGTGGTGGGGGCACTTGTCACCGCTGCAGGGATGAGGTCCACTTCGACCCTCGCCAGAGAGGCCTGACTGAGAGCCGAGTGTTAGTGGGGGGACTCCGGGCACACGTACCCTACATCTTAGAGGTGCAGGCTGTTAATGGGGTGTCTGAGCTCAGCCCTGACCCTCCTCAGGCTGCAGCCATCAATGTCAGCACCAGCCATGAAGGTGAGCTCTTTTCCTTGGCCTTCAGGATCCCCTGCCTCCGCTCCTTTGAGCCCCCTTCCCTACTCCTGATCTCCAGCCTGGTCCATCCCTGCCGCCCTCCCCTCAAGGCTGATCCTGCTCCCAGGGACTCCTATCCCCATAATAATTTTCCTTTTGCACTCTAGTGCCCTCTGCTGTCCCTGTGGTGCACCAGGTGAGCCGGGCATCCAACAGCATCACGGTGTCCTGGCCGCAGCCCGACCAGACCAATGGGAACATCCTGGACTATCAGCTCCGCTACTATGACCAGGTGCGCAGGAGGAGTGGGGGTTCCGCAGTAGGGCTGGTAGGAGCTCATAGGCCTCACAGTGGGGCCCAGAGGTGACCAGGTGCACAGGAGGAATGAGGGGTCCGCAACAGGGCTGGCAGGAGCTCACAGTCCCCACAGTAGGGGCCAGAGGCTGAATGGGCAAGGAGAGGTGCCCAGAAGTGTGCAGCACTGGGCATGTGTCTGAGAGCCCTGTCAACCAGGGAGGGTGGCTGGGGGCCTTAGGGGCAGAAGCAGGGGCAAGAGGGGGCCAGGCAGGGAGTGAGTGGCTGTTACCCCCAGGCAGAAGACGAATCCCACTCCTTCACCCTGACCAGCGAGACCAACACTGCCACCGTGACACAGCTGAGCCCTGGCCACATCTATGGTTTCCAGGTGCGGGCCCGGACTGCTGCCGGCCACGGCCCCTACGGGGGCAAAGTCTATTTCCAGACACTTCCTCAAGGTGAGCGGGGGTCAAGGGCCAGATGGGCAGATGAAGGCCCAAGTGGGTAGTGAGGAGAGGCCCAGGGACTGTCCGGCCTTGAACCCTGGCCCCGTGCTTCCCAACCAGAAGTTCTGTGGGAAAGGAGAGTGCCTTTTGCTCAGCAGCTGACCTAGGGGCTACTCGGGGAGGTGGGGAATTGTAGGGGTATGTATGCATGTTGAGTGTGGATATAGGAGGGCTGTGGGGATGTGTGTGTGTGTTGTGTGTCCCTGGGTGTGGATGTGGGAGGGCTGTGGGCGTGTGTGTGTGTTGTGTGTCCCTGTGTGTGGATGTGGAGGGCTGTGGGGATGTGTGTGTGTGTTGTGTGTCCCTGTGTGTGGATGTGGGAGGGCTGTGGGCGTGTGTGTGTGTTGTGTGTCCCTGTGCATGGATGTGGGAGGTTTGGGGCATGCGCGTGCATGTTGTGTGTGCCTGTGGTGTGTGTGGGTGCCTGGGCACATGAACAAGCACCTGTGAGAGACCTGGCCCACCTGTGACCCTGTCGGCTGGTCCCCCAGGGGAGCTGTCTTCCCAGCTTCCGGAAAGACTCTCCTTGGTGATCGGCTCCATCCTGGGGGCTTTGGCCTTCCTCCTGCTGGCAGCCATCACCGTGCTGGCGGTCGTCTTCCAGCGGTGAGTCCCCACCCCTGCCCAACTCTGCCCAGCACCATTAACTCCACAGCCAAACCTCAAGTCCTGCCAAGTCTGGAGCCCCCTGCAGAAACCTCACACTGGTGCTCCTCCCGTCAGCCAGCCCCTGCCCTGGGCCCCACGTGGAGATGGGCAGGAGGGCCAGGCTGTCGTCCCCCCTCCACAGACCGACTAAAGAGCAGTCTGGAGGGTGACAAGGGGGCAGCAAGGGGGTGGAAATGGGAGCGTCATCCCCAGTCACCGTTTTGTTCCTCAGGAAGCGGCGTGGGACTGGCTACACGGAGCAGCTGCAGCAATACAGCAGCCCAGGTGGGGATGAGGAGAGGAAATGGGTGGGGCTGGGGAACACATGGGTGGGGCACATGGCAGGCAAGGCTGGATCCCCCCAAGATTGGGGGAGCTCCTTGGCACAACCTTCTGGAGGTAAGTGGGCATGTCTGGGGTGCGCGGGCAGCCCTGCCTTTCACAACACGCTCATAACATACTCCACACCCCTCCAGGACTCGGGGTGAAGTATTACATCGACCCCTCCACCTACGAGGACCCCTGTCAGGCCATCCGAGAACTTGCCCGGGAAGTCGATCCTGCTTATATCAAGATTGAGGAGGTCATTGGGACAGGTACAGCAGGGCCAAAGCAGGGATCAGAGCGACGGGGCTCCCTTGTGGCCTCCGCTGGCCAGAGTCCCATCCAAACACAGCAGGACGCTGTGAGCCTTGATCCCCACCCCAACCTACACCTATTTTCCCAGGCTCTTTTGGAGAAGTGCGCCAGGGCCGCCTGCAGCCACGGGGACGGAGGGAGCAGACTGTGGCCATCCAGGCCCTGTGGGCCGGGGGCGCCGAAAGCCTGCAGATGACCTTCCTGGGCCGGGCTGCAGTGCTGGGTCAGTTCCAGCACCCCAACATCCTGCGGCTGGAGGGCGTGGTCACCAAGAGCCGACCCCTCATGGTGCTGACGGAGTTCATGGAGCTTGGCCCCCTGGACAGCTTCCTCAGGGTCAGTCCAGCCTGGGTGAAGGAGGAGGGTCCTTGGGTCCAGGAAAGCTTCCAGGAGACGAGGTCCTGTATCTTTGCTTCTTACCACCCCACCTTCCATGGTCTCCATCCTTCCTTCCCAGCCATTTTCTGATTCGACACCCTCCCCCTCTCATGCTGTTGTCTGCTGTGCAGTATGTTGAGGTCTCCCCCTGTCTCCGATCACTGACCTCTGCCCCCTGCCCCTTCCCCTCAGCAGCGGGAGGGCCAGTTCAGCAGCCTGCAGCTGGTGGCCATGCAGCGGGGAGTGGCTGCTGCCATGCAGTACCTGTCCAGCTTTGCCTTCGTCCATCGCTCGCTGTCTGCCCACAGCGTGCTGGTGAATAGCCACTTGGTGTGCAAGGTGGCCCGTCTTGGCCACAGTCCTCAGGTGAGAGCACAGCCTTGGGGACACAGCCTGGGGCCTTGTGGCATGCCCCAGCAGGTGCTGGGGTCGGGGGTGAGCTGGAATCTGGGGTAGGTACCTCAGCCGGGGTGTCATAGTCCCTGAAAGGAGGGAGGCTCTCCTGTGTGATGGGGAGATGAAAGCCTAGGCGACGGGGTTTGAGGGATTTCAGGGACCGAGACAAAGGGGATGAGGGAGGGGAGGAGACCTGCAACAATCTAGAACTACCTCCTGCCCTTCCCCCATTGTGGAGATTACACAGACTCCAGAGTCAGCACAGCTGGGTACAAATTCTTAACACTCTGCTCTCCAGCTCTGTGACCTTGGACAAGTTCACTTTCTCTAAGCTTCACCTTCTGCTTCTGTGAAATGGAGATAATATCATCCACCTTGGAGGGTTGTTATGAGGATTAAATGAGATGCTTGATGTAAAACCCTTAACATATCTGAGCACATAGTAGTTGCTCCATAAACGTGACTATTGCTTCTGCTTCTGTGAAATGGAGATGATATCATCCACCTTAGAGGGTTGTTATGAGGATTAAATGAGATGCTTGATGTAAAACCCTTGGCATATCTGAGCACATAGTAGTTGCTCAATAAACGTGACTATTACTATGATTATTACTATTTGCTTTTGACTTTACCCCTCAGGGCCCAAGTTGTTTGCTTCGCTGGGCAGCCCCAGAGGTCATTGCACATGGAAAGCATACAACATCCAGTGATGTCTGGAGCTTTGGGATACTCATGTGGGAAGTGATGAGTTATGGAGAACGGCCTTACTGGGACATGAGTGAGCAGGAGGTGAGCACTGACCTAGACACTGCTGATTTCCCACCCCGATCCCTCCCAGGTTGGAACATTCTAGGACCTCCATTCTCTACTCCGTTTGTATTCTAAGATCTCATGGCTGTTGGATTGCCATATCTTTGAGTTCCTTCTCCACTCCAACCTCATGCTCCACCAGATTCCAGCCCACCCTCTTACCCAACAAAGTACTCCCCTCTACTAACAAAACTTCCCATCGTCATAGTCTTCCTCTGACCCCCAGGTACTAAATGCAATAGAGCAGGAGTTCCGGCTGCCCCCGCCTCCAGGCTGTCCTCCTGGATTACATCTACTTATGTTGGACACTTGGCAGAAGGACCGTGCCCGGCGGCCTCATTTTGACCAGCTGGTGGCTGCATTTGACAAGATGATCCGCAAGCCAGATACCCTGCAGGCTGGCGGGGACCCAGGGGAAAGGTCTGGAGCTTGGGGCTAGAGCCTGGGAAAGCCAGGGAGGGTAGATGCAAACCTAAAGAAAACTGAGGAGAGGGGCTAAGATGAAGAGGAGACCTTGACCCTGCTTGCCCCTCCCCTCTTAGGCCTTCCCAGGCCCTTCTGACCCCTGTGGCCCTGGACTTTCCTTGTCTGGACTCACCCCAGGCCTGGCTTTCAGCCATTGGACTGGAGTGCTACCAGGACAACTTCTCCAAGTTTGGCCTCTGTACCTTCAGTGATGTGGCTCAGCTCAGCCTAGAGTAAGCAGGGAGTGGTGGGGTGGGGGCGAATGCTCCAGGCCCCTGGCTGGGGGTCGTATTGGGGATCTCGGAGAAGCTGGCCCAGATTTGATCCCTTCCCTCCCCACCAGAGACCTGCCTGCCCTGGGCATCACCCTGGCTGGCCACCAGAAGAAGCTGCTGCACCACATCCAGCTCCTTCAGCAACACCTGAGGCAGCAGGGCTCAGTGGAGGTCTGAGAATGACGATACCCGTGACTCAGCCCTGGACACTGGTCCGAGAAGGGACATGTGGGACGTGAGCCGGGCTCCAACAGCCTCTGTGAGAGATGCCCCACACCAAACCCAACCCTCCGATGGCTGCATTCCCTGGTCCTCCGCCTCTCCACCAGCCCCCTCCTCATTAAAGGGAAAGAAGGGAATTTGCAAGTTTGGTGTGGTGAGGCCTCAGTCTGCAACGAAGGGTGAGGGAGGCCTCAACGTAGGAGCAGAGGGGTGGGGCCGGCAGATGGCACTGCAGAGATGCAGAAGGGCAGCTGGGCAGGGATCCGAAAACGACTTTATTGAAGATGGAGTTGGCAAGACCTAGCCCCACTTCCCACCCCCAGAGCCGTTCCTGTCTCCCTCACTCACACGCTTTCCACAAGCTCTGCACTTCCCTGCACCTGCCTGGGTGCCCTGGGAAGGGCTCTCTCCCCACTTATGACCCTGGGGTGGAGACCGAGCGCCCAAGCAGGCTGGCCTGTTTTTAAAGTGCTCTGACATGCAGTGCTCCTGTCGGAAGGGTGATGAGCAGGCCACAGGAGAGTTCCTCACGCCCTGCCAGCCCCGTGCTTGGGCTGGGCTTCCTCTGCCCCAGAGCTGAAGGAGTAATGCAGGCCTGGAGCAGTGATTCTCAACGTACATTCCTTGGCGTTCATGCTACTCCTCTTTCTCCCCTGGGGCTGGGAGATGAGACCTCTGGGTGTTTGGTTTTTGTTTTGTTTGATGCACCCAGGAAAATGAGAGCAAGTTCCAGGAAGCGAAGTGAGAACACGCAGTCAGATCTGATATTCCCAGCTCTCCCCGTCCTCCAGACCCCTGTTGATTATCCCACGCAGGTCTCTCCTCAGGGTCCCTTGCCGAAGCCTTTCCCAATTGGCACTGCTGCGGGAGGTACTTCGAGACACTGAGGGCGTAGGAAGGGACAGGTGGGGGCTGAAGGGACAGCCCAGCTCTAGTTTTTCCACTGAGTCTTTGTCCAAATCCTCAGAGCCCCGGGTGTGGAAGGCCTGTGCGTAGCGTTGGATCCGCTGCCGGTTGAGATCTTGCCTGTCTTCCACCCTGTGGAATGCGGGAGGACTTGAGACACAGCCAGGACTTGAAGAACAGATCCAAGAAGGATGCTTGTCTGTTATCCCCTGGTCCTCCCATCCCCGCCATTGCTGGCCTTTTCCCTTTTCTGCAGCCATGGTGGATGCCTGGGTCACTGGCCCCTTGGCAGCTAGGCCTCAGAAAGCAGCAGGCTCTGCCACAGACTCCCTGGATGCTTTGGGAAGTCTGAGCTCCAAATGGGACCCCTTCCTCACCAGCTCAATCAACAAGCATAGAGCCTAGGGAGCACACAGGCCTCCACAGGGAACCCAGGAGCCGGAAGCTGTCTGAGCAGGGGGATACCCTGCCGATGAGGCTTCTCAGGGGACACCTACCCCCGCATATCACTCACCGCAGGAACCAGCGGTCCCCCAGGCCATACTCCCGTCCGCAGATCCCGGAGCGAGGCCACAGGCAGCGAGGCAGCTTCCGCTCCAGCATCACCGTGGTGGCCACAACCTGCGTATGGGAACAAAAGGAGAAGTCAGAGATGAGGCTGGGCGCAGACAGAGGTAGGGGTAGGGCAGCCTTTGTTGACCTTCTTCAGTGGGAGAGAGTTGATAGAGCTTGAGACCAACAATTCTTTACCCAATGACCCAACATCCATGACGCAGCCAGGCCAGAGGCAGGAGAAAGACAGGAAGCAGAAGCCCCATTCCCAGGAGCACAGGCACCAGAGAAAGCAAATAGAAAGGGCTTTTAAGGGCTCCCAGATATTTTGACCCTACAGACATAAAGGCCACTTATAAATATAAACATCCCACTTAGAATATCAATATATATTCCTGGAGAAAATATTTTTCTGAGTGAACCTTATTTCCCAGCTTAGTTTTTCCACTCCGTTTTCTACACAGCATAGTTAAATGCCTTCCAGTTTGGGAAATTTCCATTATTTTGCTGAAATGATTTTTTTAGATAAATTATTTTCTAGGTGTTTTTTAAATGAGGATTTGATTCATCTCATGGTCTTCTCTCCCTATCTTGAAGATCTGGCTGAAGATAGCTTCTGCTACTATAGGAAGTTTTGGTGGCATTACTTTTTTAACACATCCTGCTTTCCATATCAAATTTTGCAGACTTAAATATTATCAAGAAGACTTGATACTCCAGTTTTTATTTGGGAACAAAATGTACTGAGTGCAATTTTAGCCACCGTTAATTTTCTTTTGATTTATTTCTTGTTGATTCCTCTAGAAAACACTGAGCTTTTAACTGTTGAGAAAACTGTGAGGCATCTTCTCAGCGATTCCAGTATTGCCTGGTTGAATTGCTAATCAGTGCTTCTGTACATTTTGCATGATTTTGCTAGCTTTGCCACAACTGTCCAAACATAAGTGGGGTGGAGATATCCTGCCTCTCAGCTTGGCAGGTTCCTTGGTAGGAAGGGGATGACTTGCCCTAACCCTCCCTGCCACCAGGGGGCTCACCTGGGCCCTCCACAGCTCATCCCGCTCATGGGCCACTCGCCAGTGAGTGTCGCCCATCATGGCAATGAGGAGGTTGAGCATGAGCAGTGTGGCGATGATGGCAAAGGCAGCATAGGTGATGCTGTACATGAAGGGCAGGTCCACGTTGTAGTTGGCTGGGCCATCGATGATGGTAAGGAACAGCTCGAAGGTGCTGAACAGGGCCATGGGGTAGTCGTAGAAGTGGCCTAGCTCCTCGGGGTCCTCTGTCTGGAAGATGATATAGAAGGCTGCTCCACCCAAGGGGGTGAGGGTTACCATGGCAACCATGCAGACGACCAGCCCACCCCGGGCTCTGCGTGCATGTCCATCCTGGTCCCTTCATCTCAATATCACCAGCTCTGCAGTGCTCCAAACTTTGGGTTTTTACGGTCCCTAGTTTTCTATGAGCCTCATCTTGATCCTAAGAGCCACCTCTCCCTAACACTCCCGATTTTTCTCACCTCTGGAGGACGTCCCATCCTCTGATACCATAGGTCTCCTCTGATCTCTGCATTACTCCTCCTCCCCAAGTTTAGCCAGAGCCAGTGCCCCCTAGACTTTCTCATCTCTTCCCTGCCATGGCCCCTGGTCCTGGACAGATGATTACCTGAAGCAAAGCCCAGGATGACCACAGCCATCAGCCAGCAGAATCGCATCAGGTCGCCAAAAATCATCTAGAAGGAGCAGGAGGCAGAGAACATCTGCACACATTCCCCAAGCAATTGCCCCATCCAGCCTCTAACAGGTCTCACCCCGACAAGTCTCACAGCTCCACCCTCTGGGACAGGGATTGGCTATCTATGGCCTGTGGACCAGATCTACCTGACCTGCTTTGGTGTGGCCTTTGAACTGAAAAGGGTTTCTACATTTTTTAAAAGGATTGTTAAAAAAGAAGAAAAACATGCAGTGAGGCCATGTGTGGCTTGCAGAACCTGCAATGTCTACTGTTCTGCCCTTTATGGGACCGTCTGCTGACTGTGGCTCTGGGGCCTTTCTCTAGGGAGCTTGGGGGGAGGACTGACCTTCTGAATCATGATGGTGAAGGGGCCTAGCATCTGGAATCCTCGGGCGAAGTACATGACGTTGCACCAGCCCAGCACGAGTGCAAAGGACATGGGTACCACCTCCCCGCTGGCACTGATGAGCCGCATCACCATGGTCACCAGCACCATGAAGGCATAGGTGATGCTGGGGGAGCAGGGAGGAGGGTGATGAGGGGAGGGCTGGGATGATCCTGGGGACCTGACAGCAAGAATGTAGCTGGGAAAGTACCCACACATGCAGATTCAGCCTCCCCACACTCAATGCCCAGGGTCATACACACAGCACTAGAGAGGGGGCTCTGGAGCTAAGGTTCTTGAGAGGTCAGGAATCCAAGGAGTGGAACTGGAGCCCTGTTGAGGGAAGGGATGGGAGTGAGAGGAAGGGAACTCACATGAGGACATGGAATGGGCCCCCAAGGATGGTCTGTCCAAAGAAGCGAGTGACCCCCATTCTGAAGATGTCTGGAACCTGAAGAGGTCAGGGAGACACAAAGGCACTCAGATACCGGAACTTGGGCTGGATTCCTCGGGCAGACAGCCTCACCCAGAGTCCATCCACACCTCACCTCTACCAGCAGGATGATGATAGCCCCAATGACAGTCACCAGCTCCCCGACCAGCCGGATATCGTCCTTAGGGGTCACGTAGGCTTCCTAATGGGGGAGAAGAACAGTCAAAATGCTCAGGGCTTTCAGGCCTCTGCCCTGCATTTCCATGGTGCCCAGGGTCACCAGTCTTAGCAGATTCTTTTTAATCTGTTAGGTTTGGGTCTTCTCAAACTCTGCTCTCAGAGTAAGAGCGTATGTGTGTTTTTGTGGGCGTGCATTTGGAGTTTGTACCCATATATTTGAGATTAGAGCAAGGGGAGAAATGGTGTGAGGGAGGAAAGGGACACCAGTCTCTGAGGACAGAGAGCCAAGTCCTGCCCTGCTGATCTGCTCCTACAAGGGTGTCACCTGAAGTAGCTTCTGCTGTAAGAGGGTGTTGTCCCGGGGGCTTGTGCGGTTATTGGTCCTGGGCTTGAGGGGGCGGTAGATGCAGCACATGGTGAAGCAGATGATGTACAGCAGATATATGGCACCCAGCATGCAGAAGTACGGCCGCCCGTACCGCTTCCACTTGAGGCTCACCAGCTCCTTCACCGGCGTCTGGTCCAGGATCTGGCGAGCCTGCAACAGAAAGAGAACAGGTGGCTCAGAGACCCTGACACCCCTCCCCAGCCACAGCCTGCTGTCATGAGCCATACCTCCCGCTTCTTGGTGGTGATGATAAGTTCCAGCAGGGACTGCTCATCCCCTGAGGAGTCGATCTCTGTGAGGTCATAGAGAGTCGAGGTCAGTGGTCCATACGTCCACTGGGTGTGCTTCCGCTTCTGCATCAGGTGCTGAAACATCTAAGGGAAAGTGAAGATGACTCAGGAGCAGTAAGCAAAGGGGACGGTCACAGAGTGTGGATAGGATGCATGTGCAGGAGGACAGCACCCCTGGAGAAGGTGGCTGCCCTTTCATTTTGATGACAGCCTTTAGAGGGCAGAAGAACCCACATTCACAGTGACATTCATAGGTTCCTCATCCTCTCCCATGACTCCCTCCAGAGTTTGGAAAGGGGAGACGAGAGGCTGGAGGGCCCTGCTCTGGGGGCTGAAAGGGAAGGTGGGCTGAGGCATTACAGACAATCCTAGCATGGGATCTAGACTCTGTAACCCCCAATGCCTCAGGGGAAAAGGAGTGGGCAAGAAAGGGAACAGGTAACCACAGTGGGAGGGGTTGAAAAATTTCTGAGTTGAGAATGGGATCTAAGCATCAGGGATCGCGTTCACCTCTGTTTCTCCCAGGGCCAGCGGGATAGGTTGAGGGTCATTAGAAAGACACCTCAGGGATGGGGACCGTCTCTCACCACAGTGTTACCCTCCACTCCAGCCAGCTTGAAAGGGGTGAGACCCTGGTGATTGGGCACGAGGTCCAGGGGCTGCAGGTGGTCCCCATGTCTGTCGTAGGACAGCAACAGGTTGTACATCTGGCAGGCAAAGGTTTTGTTGGGCTGGAGGATGAGGATGTGTAACACTGTGTTTCCTGGGGAGGACACAGGGTATCATGTGGCCACTGGCCTAAAGTCCCTGATGTCCCCATCCCCACCCTGAGGTCTTCCTGAAGGTCCCAGCCCCTCTCCTCACCCTGTCCCTCACTCCCTGCAGCATCCCAGCTCCCCTCCCCATCTCAGCTCTTACCCAGGGAGTCCTGGGCCCGGATGTCAGCTCCATGCTCAATGAGCAGCCGCACGATCTCCTCACTGTTCACACAGGCAGCAAAGGACAAAGGGTGCTCCCCTGTGGACACAGAGAGATCTATGGTAGGAGAGTGCAGGATGGCAGGATGGGGTGGACAGTCTCCCCCAAGTGACAGCCTTATCTTCCCCCACATCTCAGCTCAGGGCTTGAGGACACTTTTCCTGCAGAACCAGAGGAAGGGTCGTGGGGTAAATTGGCCTCTAGTCTAATTAAGCCCTAGAAGGATTGCTCCTCCCAGCTGCCCAACAGATACGGCTGAAGACAGGATCCTCCTCTGCCTGGCCCTGCCCTGCCTTGCCCACCTTTCCAACTGCCCGTCCTCCAAGCCCAGCCCTGCTCTCACCAAAGTAGATGAGGTTGCGGGGACTACGGCGGAAGGCAGTGCCTGTGGCTCTGGCAGAGACACTGGCCCTGCGGGCAAGCAGGGCTCGCACCAGGTTCATGTTCTGGTTCACAACAGCGATGTGCAGTGCAGTCTGACCTGGCCCAGAGACAGCTGTCAGTCACGGGTCTGTTCCCAGGATCCTGCAGGGGGTCCCTCCCATATGCACCCCAGTCTCTTTCCCTCAGGGGTAGCCTGGGATGGAGAACAGGGAGCCCTCGGGTGTTCAGGATTCCCAGGGGATCCAGCTGCTGCCCATCTCTTCCTCTTCTCTAGGCCCCTGGCATTTCAGGGGGCAGGCGTTCTAGTGATGGGCAGTCAGGACTGACACGGAAGGGAGACAGAGAAGAGAAAAAAAGAGTAGGAGGCTCAGATCCCCTGTGTCTTTCCCAAATTATCCATCACAGAGACTGACTTGAAATACCCAACCAGTCATTCCTGCTCTTCACCCCAGACCCGTGGGCCCTCACCCTCATAGAGCTCAGATGTCATGGGCTCAAAGACCAGCTCCGGGGCAGCCTCCATCAGCACCATGGCGGCCTCCAGGTTGTCATAGAGGGCTGCTATGTGTAGCGCTGTTTCCCCCATGGCTCCTGGCATTTACAGAGAGGTGGGTTATATGGCTTCTGTGGGACAGCGGATTGGAGACGATAGATTCAGAGGCCAACAGCACGAGGTCCTGGGCACTCCTGGGAGGCCCCATGTGTGGGGCTCACCTAGGAGATCATGCTGCATTTGTGCTTCTTACCTCTCTGGTGCACCTTGCAATCCTCATACTTGAGCAACTTGTTCAGGGCCTGGACATCATTATCTTTGGCAGCTAGAAGGAGAGGAGACTCCCAGATCCTATGAAGGGATGGAATAGGAAAGCTGGAAACAGTGAGCATACCTAGTTGTGGAGGGAGAGGCCCTGGCTTGACTCCATTATTATACACAGATGTGTGTGCCTCAGCAGCAGGAACCTCAGGGTCTTCAATCAAGGCAGGTGGGGCCATTGATGTCTTTTCTCTTTACAGTCAGTAAATACAATCAACTTTTTGCCCATTTAGCATGCGTTTTGAGATTGTCCGTGACTGGTTTCCTTCCCCCCTACCGGGTCCTGGGACCAGAATGTATCATGTGTGAATGTATTATCAGTGCATTTCAGGTACGGAGGGGAGGAGTTCTATGTAGACATGTGCTTACCTGCTAACCAGTTTACCCCTGGAGTGGTCCTGTTTGACCCTCACCAGGTGCCCTGAGATTGCCCTCCAGGATAAGCCTTGTTTTGCATGGACCGAGGGGTGCAAGGAATTCCTGTCTCATATTTGTGGAGGGAGTCATATGCACAGGCTAGCAGGATTTCTCCTGTTGCACCATCCTCTGCCTACTTAACCTTCTCAGCAGAACCCTTTGATCCTGGCGCTTCCCTCCCAACAATAGCATCTTCAGGGCTTAACACAAAAGAACAGTGGACCATAAGAACAAGCCTGGCTCCAGGCTTTCCTTCCTCATAGGTGTTCATTCATTCATTCATTCATTCATTCATTCATTATCTCTGTCTCTTCCTTTCTGCCTCTCGTCTTTCTTCTCACATCATCTCAACAGCCTTCCTTCTTAAAGTGGACCCCTGGATCAGCAGCAGCACATGAGCCCTTATAAGAAATGGAAATGCTCTGGCGGACCCTTCCACCTAGTGAATCCAAATCTGCAGTTTAAGAAGATTTCCAGCTGATTCCTGGGCATATGAAAGTTGGAGAAGCATTGCTTAAGTGGTCCTTGCATGCAAAAACCGGTGGCGATAAATCAGAGACAAGCTCAGGGGTCTCAGTTTCCAAACAGCTCACATTAAAGTTTGTGAAACAGTGTTCTCCATCATTTTCAGACCAGCTGTCTAGAGGGCTTTAGGTACTACTTTGTTTCGGCTATTGGCCCCTAAGACACAAACTATGGCCAACAATGACAGATGCAGAGAAAAAAGAGAATCCAATCTAGAGGATTCATTCATCGAATTTCATGTGCATCTGAATGTTCCCATTCTGTCTTCGGACCCTTCTTGGATTTACCCAATTTGGGATTCATGGATCCGTTTATTTTGCTGAGTCAGATTAGTCTCTCCTTATTATCCACTTCTCGCTTGTTTTAGGCAAAATTATCTTCTCTGAATCCCCAGATCATCTCTTTATTCTTATACCTACTGTGTGCTAAAAATCTCTTTTAAAATTAGAACTTACCCCAACTAAGACACATGGGTCCCTTTGATTCAATTTTCTCTTGGCCTGGAGCCATTTGGTCTTTCTATGGGAGTAAATGAAATAACTCTATTTATCCATAGTTTGACAGTTATGTGACATACAAAAAGACATAGACAGGAGCTCACATTCTAAAGCGCTGGCAGTGGCAAGAAATTGACTCCAGAGCCGGAGGTGGGAGGGCAATCAGAGAGGAGACATCAGCTCACTCATCTCCTCTGCCTTGCGCCCATGCACAGCAGCTGCCACCAGGTCCTGTCAGTTCAGCATGGAAAGCTCTCTCTTCATTCAGTCCCTACCTCCTTGCTCCTGCTAACCCTCATTAATTCAAGTCTTCATTCTCTAGCCCAGATTAGCAAAATGCTAAGGATAAGGAACACAGAAGCTCTTTAAGGTCTTTGTGCAACTACTTTTCCACCCTCTGCACGTCCCACCCACTCCTTAGACCTGGCATTTTGGTCTCATCCTGTCTCAGCACTGCAGAGCACACCATTCTCCCTATGTCTGTGCCCATGAAGCTCTTTCCTTCTAGAATCCAACTCCCCCAGCCCGCCAATTGTTCATTGTGTCTTCTGCACTGCCTATGCCTAGAAATACACCTAGAATGGTGTAGATGCTCACTGACACCATCTGTAGAGTGAATGAATCAGCAGCAATGCCAAAAGGTGGTTTGAATTAACTGTTATTATTATTTTCATCAGCTGCCCGCTAAGCCAACTTTCAGCAAGCATATAAGTGAAAAATAGTACACTTGGTATGCAAACACAGCTTCAAAACAAGTTTTCCACATTCCCTCCATCACCACCACCACATCAACCATTTGCACAAAGCCCTCCTCTCTGGATACCCTAGACTGAGGGGAAAACAATCGCTAGCACCACATACACACACACAGACACTCAGAAGTTCTTCACTCTCTCCTGTGGCCTTACTTTTATTTCAGCATCTTTCACTGGGTGCTGTAATTGCTATGTATCTGTGTCCCTTCCTCTATGCTAAGGGTACTCGAGGGAAGAGACCAGCCACTAACTCTTCCCTGCCCTCCTCCAATATGCTTCCACGTTTGTGTCCCATTTTGACCAAATGTGTGAAAGATTGATGGCAAATCTAGAAATGGGTCCGAGAGAGCACCTTTTCCAAGTCCAGAGTTCTACTCGCTGTATCCTAGATGTTAGTGGTGGTATAGTCAGTGGCAGGCTCAAAGATTCCCCTTTGGTCCCTACACGTCTCTGAAGCTGAAAGTGTCCCCCATAAACCTCCATTCCCTATGAATTCTGACACTCTAGTGGCCTGGGGAAAACAAAAAGCTACTGTCAGACCCAGAGTTGCTAGAGTTACCAAATAAAAATACAGGATGCTCAGTTAGATTTGAATGTCAGATGCACAATTTTTTTTTAGTATAAGTATGTCACGTGCAATATTGGGGATACACTTATACTAGCAGCCTATTCGTTATCTCAAATTTAAATTGAACTGAGTGTCCTGCATTTTATCTGGCAACCTAGCCAGACCACACCCTGCGTGAAGAGCCAGCTTATGACCCAACCCAGCAAGGTTTGTAGAGAACTAGCCTCCTCCGACTGTGAACTCCAGACTCCAGCAAAAAGGGGGGCCCAGCCTGTGGACGGGTTTTGAAGGTATCCGGCCCAGCCATTACTTGCAATAACCTCATATGCCCACAAGGGGACAGCACAGAAAGCCCTAGCTCACCTGCTTGGGAGTAAGGCTGACCCCAAAACACCTGACTCTCCTTGGGTCCCTGAAGGAGGTGCACAGAGCTGACCTACTCAAAGATTCCTGTGCTTGGGGGACAAATAGATTTTTCAATAGCAACTTATCACAGGAGTTTAGATCACAACACGGGGGTCAAAGGCAGGGACACGGCTAAGCACCCTGCACATGACAGCCCTCACTGCAAAGAATTATCCTGTCCAAAATGTCAATAGTCCAAGGTGGAGAACCCCTGATTCAGAGGTACAATGATTCATAATCCGTTTTAGAATGAGGATTCTTCACTCGAAAAGGAATCAGAAATATCCTATACATAAAAATGTTTTCTTATGGATCACTAAATACTCAACTAAGGGAGAAACAAAAAAAAGTCAGATGAAGTCTTTTAAGCTCCCACTGATGAAGTAGTCAAAAGAGATTATAGAGCAAATCTGAAACTGTAACAATATGAAAGGTATTTTCAGGTTCTAGAATGTTTTCTTTTACTAGGCAATTAATTATAATAAAATTGAACGGTCTAGTTCAACATTAGCCTGGTGAAAACCCAACTAAGGGGTTCCTGGCACAAAATCTAGCACATTATTTCTTGAGCAAACAGATCAATGACCTCCTTCTCAGGGCTGCCTCTGGGCCACCAGGGAAGGATTCCTGACTTCCTCTCTCCGTCTCCTCCACCCCACACCCTCATCTGCTCCTCCATCCTTGTAGATGTGTGCACTGTGTGCATGGGTCCAATTTGGTTTTTAGGTGCTGAGAAACAAGGCAGGATCACAAGACTCTTGAGAAAAGTTCAAATAAGATTTTTAGAGCTAGAAAGCCCCTCAGGAATTGAGTCAAATCTGCTCATGAAACAGATGGAGGAAGCAAGTCAGAGACAGAGCCACGACGCATGCCCCACTGGTCATTTCTTGGTCACGATTCTCAGTTTTAATCAGGGCTGGAAGAGGAGTTAGAGAAGACAGGCATGGGTCCCACTGGTCTCTCCACAAATACCTTTCCCACCAGTGAGTGTGCCCTCTGGGCAGGGCTGGGGCTGGTACACAACAGGGTTGCTCGGAGTGCGTGGCTTCTTGCATTCCTGGGTGGATACAGTGCTGTGCGGGGGAAGTTCATGGCCCCTCTCATTCCCGCAGCATCTCACTCATTATCACTTTTGCTCTTTACAACCCTCTAACACCAGCTGAATAGTTCTCCCATGCTTCAGAAAAGGAAACTGAAGCGGCATAACCAAATCATTGCCAGAAGATCACACGGAGTTAAAGGCAGGATGCTTGGCCAAGAATCCAGCCCCAGGCTCTGACCACTAAATTATGTGGTTCTTCTAGTTTTATGGCTCCTCCTGATTTTTCTTGGAGGTTGGGGGGCAAGCCTGAGCAGTGACCACAGATGAAGGAAAGAGCGGTAATGTGTGGGGCGGAGGCATACATTGGGCACTTGTGGGCCACCTCCCTCCAGCTCATGTTCCTGGCAATGGGGATGAGAAAGCCAAAGTGGTTGTTTAGAGATTTGGAATCGGCTGCCATCCTAAGTGCCACAGCTCCTTTTGTGCACATGTCTATTTGCGCATTTACAAGTAGGCACGTGTGTAAGTATTTACCAAGGCAAGCATGCACAATATACCAGAGAAACCCAGGGATGACTTTTCAGACACTCAATTCACACATTTCATACAGGTATTTAACCCTAAAAAAAGCTCCAACAAGCATCACCTTCCCTCCAAATTGCTCCTTAGATGACAAAGTGCCAGCACATGGGCTGGAGTGGGGTTCAGGTTAAGCAGCCTCTATGAAGCTGCCCAGGACACCCCACAGCAGCCGAAATCAGATCTCACACTTCCCCCTCTATGCTTCCAGAACACTCATTTACACCCTTCTAGTGATGTCTACTAAGCCCATCTTTAGCCCCGTATGTGCCTTCAGTAAACTTTGGTCATAGGAATGAGAACTCCCTGAGAGCAGGAACAGTGTCATATTCATTTTCTGCAGAAAGGTGGAGTGCCTTATGTTCAATAAATGTGTAATGCATTAAATATCAGGAAGTGAGAAAACCCAAGCCCAAGGGGGAGATGACCTGGAGGACACGGGAGAAAGTTGAGAGCTCGACTTGGATCCCAGCAATGTAGATTTAAGCAGAGCGGGCTGCGTGCTAAGCACCAAGAAACGTCCACTGTAAAAAGAGGAGTTTGGGTTCCCGATCATCCTGGAGAGACTCAAAGCCTTCCTTTCTCACTAGACCATCCTGTACCGCATGGAATCCCACGCAATCCCACCCCACAGTTCTCCCTGTGAGTCCCCTTTGGAACAAATTCAACTTCACCATTTACTTGCTCTAGGGTTCTGGGCCTGCCCCATTCATAGGGGGATAACAGGACCCACCTTCCATTATTGTTACCGGGATGACAGAGATAAGGCAGGTGGTAGTACCTAGTACAGCACTGGGTTCTCAATCATTGTGTGCTCCTTTCTTCCATTAGCTCACCCCTCACTTGTCCATATTGTTCCTATTTACTTAGTCATCCCATGTTTATCTCAATGCCCCCATGCCTTCTCTTTGGTTGACGGCACAGATTAGGAAACTCCCCTTGCAGGCAATTTCAGCATCCTTCTGGGAAGTGCCCACCCAAAGAAGAGTCATTGCTCTGGACACCTGATATCCAGCAAGAAGAAGGCCAAGAAAGTGCGGAGGCCAGTAAGGAGATCAGGGCAGGGAGGGGGGATCCCTCCCAAGGGTGACATCAAGCCTTTCTAGCCAAAGTCTGCAGAGGCAGCCCCCATATGATCTGAGGAAAAGTGAGGGCAGACAGGACATGCGGAAGCAGCCTATTCTCAGCCACTCAGCTCAGGGCCTCCCCTCTGCTCTCCCCTGATATCGCACACAGGGAATCTCCACCACCCCTTCCAATCCCCCAGGCCTTTTTGCACTCTGTGCCTGGATCCCCTGGCCCTGGGGTCCTAAGAGTGGGAAGAGGATGAGTGAAGCCAGTGAGGACGACCTACTCTCTAACAACAATGCCATTCTGTTGCCCCAAGATGTCATCAGCCAAACATGTGCTCCAGTCCCCACTCTCCCAGGCCTTGGGGGAGAGGTGGGCGGCTGGAGAGACGGGAAGCCATAATTCACAGAAAGAGACCATCCCCAACCCAGAATCCTTCAGCAAAAGAAAACACAGGGGCCTCCAGGCAGCCTCCCCGGTCAGGCTAAAGCAGGCTCCTACTCTTGGGGTCAGAGAAAAACCCTAAGGCACAAAGACTTCAGGCTTTCCTCTATGACCAGACATCTGCCTCCTTCGTGACCCAGGGAAAGCCCCAACAGGCAGGACTTCCTTCTAGCATGCCACCAACTGGGTAGAGAACTCTATTAGAGACCTTGAAGAAGAGACCACATGCAGGGATAGCCCTGAGTTCCGATTCCCTGCTCCTCTCCTGCTCTGTACTCCAAGCTGTCATGGTGAAGAAAGCAGGACACGGGTTTAGGAAGTTTTCAGGGGCTGGAAGCCACCAGTGAATGTCCTTAGGGCTTAAACGCTAGAGTCTCGATTTCCACCACCTGAATGCAGAAGAGCACAGGTCCTCGGAACATCTGTTATTTTGACCCGCTTCCCCCCAGTCCCCACCCGCACTGAGAGAGAAATACACCTCAAGGTTGGGTTTGAGCGTTGTAGGTCTTCATATCCCCCCAGTGCTGGGCAAATAGTAAGGCCTTGGTCAGTGTCTGATGAGACAGATACATAGGAATGGTCACTTTTTTCACATTTTGTCTTATTTTCTGGTTCCTGGTGTCCGCGGTTCTCTCTGCTTCATTCATTCAATCGTTCACTCATTCCTCCATGCGAACATACGTATACTATGTGTTCCTGCCAGAGAGACTGTTCTAGAGGCAAGCAGTGGAGATACAGAAGGCATTGTCCTCACCTGCCGTCCCCTCTTGGGTGGAGGGGCTGTGATGCTCTATCCTTACAAGCCCCAGCAAGACGCCTGGCCCTTAGAGAAGTACTCACAAGAGGCTTGCAGAATCGAATTAGATCTTAAGATAGTGAACACCTGTGCCCATCTCAGCCCCATCCTCTTTCACCAGCCCTACAGGCTGAGGCTCTTAAGACAGAATGCTCCCAAGGAGCCAGTCCGGGCCTGGGAGCACCATCTGTCCAGCCAAAGGTGCCAAACAAAGACGGGAGGTGAGGGAGGGGTGAGGGGTAGAGGTGCAGGCCTGGGGAGGTGGGGAAGGGAGCAGACCAAGGGGGCCTTACCTCTTCTGCTGCAGCAGGTTCTGCTCATCTCGGCTCTGGGCCCAGGACTCCCGTCTCTGGAACCATCTGCAGAACTTGCTCCATAGGCAGAGAATTAGCCCTTTCTCCTTGGGCAGTGACAAACCCATGGGGTGTAGGGCCGGCTCCTTGGGGGCCTGAGGCCGAGGCCAGACCCTGACGGGACTCAGCCTTGGGGCCACATCAGCCCCCCCAAGGGCCGGCCCACCGTCTCCCTGTAGAGGTCCCGTCTCCTGTCTCCTGCCTTCCTGACGAGTTCCTTGGGAGTCTCCCAGCAGCCCCAGCCAGTTTGGAGAGGGCTGTGAGTTTGTTACACTTGGCAGAGCCAGCCAGGACTCTGCAGAGCTGGCCTGTCTGGAGCTCCTGCTGGGAGTGAGCAGGAGGAGCCAAAGCTGCACGGACACGCCCTCCCTCCTCCCAAATTACCTGAGATTTAAAGACACAGGCCAGCCACAGACCTGCCTACCAAGGGGGACTTGTGCCAACTCCAATTCTTTCTCCACCCAGGGCTCTCTCCCTGCCCCCAGGCCAGTCACAACCAGGGAGGCCTTCAGAAAGACTGGCGAGGCCTCCCTTGGACGTCAGAACACCCAGTGACCTACCCTGAGAGACTCTAGGCAGTGAGAAAGGAGGGGAGGAGTCAGGGCAGGCCCATTCCCAATGTTGAGGACTCCCAGGAGGGAGCGCCACACTTTCCCACAGTGCCTCTTCTGCCGACCACCTGCCTCACTCTCTGCCTCCCCCTGCTTATGTCCTGGAGAATTCCATTTTCTGGACTCTTCCAGTTTCATTCTTGCCAGGCCTGAAATAGGTATATAAATTGCGAAGATTCTCAGTTCTCCCAGACTTTCCTCTCAGTCCCCATCACCTTTGGGTCAGCAAACTTTTTCTGGAAGGGCTGATAGGAAATGTAAAGATGTTAGGTTTTGCAAGCCATGTACACTCTCTAATGTACGTTATTCTTTGGTTTTGTTTTGGTGGTTGTTTTCTAACCACCCCCAAAGATGTAAAATGCATTCTTCGCTCACCAGCCAGGGCACAAAATCTAGCTCTGGGCAGACCCCCTGCTCAGGAGCTCCACAGACTGTCCACAATGCCCCGTGCATGGGGTGGGTGCCCGATAAAATACAGGACACGTGGTCAAATTTGAATTTTAGATAAACAACAAAGAATTTTTTAGTATAAATATACCCCACGTTTTGCAAGTATTCTATCTGCCAGCCTTCCCGTGGAGGTGACATTCAGCTGCTACTGTGTGCTGGGCCTTTTAACTGAGCGTTCCCAGGTAAACTCGTAACAAACCTGCAAGGCAGGTATTATTATCTACATTGTATTGATGGGAGAAACCAAAGCTCACCATGGTAAAGGAACTCTCCCAAGGCCATAGAGGTGGCAGAGGCAAGATTCACACCCATCCCTCATTCCAAGCCCACTTCTTTCTCCCTAGCACACCTCCTCATTCTAACTGGCCAACAGAGCTTCAGAGAGGTTAAGTGACTCGCACAGTCATACAGAAGAATGATGGCATTAAGCATGGCCCATCGTCTTCCCACAACAAAGAGCTCCATCATGAGCTTGCTGGAAGCTGTCGGAAAGGTCATTTAGTTCAACTTTTCCACTGGAAAGGGGCAGAAGCCCGGGCTTATCCAACCTCCTGGTGCCAGCCAGGTGCCAATAGCCTAGGGGCAGGTGTCTGGGTGTTCAGAGTCACAGGTGTGTGGATCACTTCCTAGCTTCAGAGTCTGTTTTGTCCTAACTTTCTCTGACTCAGAGTTGGAAGACCCAGCCAGGGGAGTGTGTGTGTGGCGTGTGTATGGCGTGTGTGCCCATGTGCATTTGTGTGTGGTGTTTATGCGTGTGTTCATGATGTGCATCGGTGGGGTGTTTTGTGTGTGGTATGCTGTATGTATATGATGTGCCTGTGGTGTGTTTGGTATGTGTCTACGTGTGTATGATATATGTGATATGTGTAGGTATGGCCTGTAGAGCGTGTGGATGTGGTGTCTGTGATGGTATGTGTGACATGTGTGTTGTGTATATACGTATTGTGGAAAGATTGTTGCATGTGTGTTGTGTGTATGGTGTGTAGTGGGTGATGTATATGGTACCTTTAAGGTATGTGTGCGTGTACATGATGTGTGTGTGTGTGTGTGTGTGGTGTATACATGATTTGTGTAGTGTATGGTGGGTTTACTATGTGTGTATGTATGGTGTGTGTTGTGTGTGTATGTATGTCATGGGGTGTGTGTCATATGTGCTGTGTGTGGGGGGAGTCGGTGTGTGGAGGGAGGTGGATGCTGAGGTAGGGCAGGGGAGAGAAGGACCCCTTCAAGTGGAAAGCTATTTGTGTTCCTGCCGCTGGGCAGAGGCCAGGCCACGCAGTCCTGAGCAAACAGTTCAATTGGATTAGCTTCGTCCCCACCCACCTGGGTCAGTGGGTTCGGGCTGGGTTGGGGGAAGGTGCTAGAACCCAAACCTTGAACCCCAAGACCTTTGTGCCCATTAAGCCAGTGGTTTGTCGCTTCAAAGACCTATTTAGCTTCAAAGACCCCAGTTTAGTGTCTGGTGGGGAAGGAGAGAAAGCAATGAGGCCTTCGTTACGCTGGGGAGGGAGGCTGGGGGAGGGAGGCTTTGGGAGGGAGACTTAGGGAGGGAGGAGGATAGGAGGAGGACAAAGTTGTTTTCCAATGCTCTTCCTCTTCCTCAGCCTCCTCCACCTGGTGTTGTGCATGGATCAGCCAACAGACTCAAAATTGGGGTGTCCAGATGGGAGGGGAGGACAAGTTTGCAGGATATAAGCTTCTGGCTGCAATGTTCTCTTGGTCTTTGGACCTAACATCGTATCAGTAAGGGAAGGTGGCCCTAGGGTAGGTGGCACTACCCCCAGAAGCTCCTGAAAGCACCCCCACCAATCACTTTCAGTCTCGCATTTTTTTTTTTTTTGAGATGGAGTCTTGCTCTGTCATCCGGGCTAGAGTGCAGTGGCGTGATCTCGGCTCACTGCAAGCTCTGCCTCCTGGGTTCACGCCATTCTCCTGCCTCAGCCTCCCGGGTAGCTGGGACTACAGGCGCCTGCCACCATGCCCAGCTAATTTTTTGTATTTTTAGTAGAGACGGGGTTTCACCATGTTAGCCAGGATGGTCTCGATCTCCTGACCTTGTGGTCCGCCTGCCTCGGCCTCCCAAAGTGCTGGGATTACAGGTGTGAGCCACCGCGTCCAGCCTCAGTCTCACATCTTAAACCTGCATCCCATATTGCTTGTTTCCAGGGGACAGGAAGGATGCCGTGGACCTCCTTCTCCCTTGAGACTAGCACAGCCCCCTCTGTGCCACTCCACCCCAGGGCAGCACCTCCTGACATGGGAGGAATCGGTTCTGTAACCCACAGTCAAGGAGTGGGCATGCCCAGGAGGCTGTGAGTTTTGGGGTGAAGGTGGTGAGGGGGAGACTGGAGATCCTGGGAGAGCACTCACGGGGCTGGCCTCTCCCGGTTCCCTTTCCCAGGCTCCAAAAATAATAAGACTTGTGTGACTTCTGAGTGAGTCGCTCTTCCTCTCAATGATTTTATCCATAATGATGAGTGCATGGCCTGACCTCTTTTCTGCCCTCGTGGTGGCCTCTGACCAAGCCCTGAAGAGAACCGAAGGGGTCAGGAGCCAAGAGGGAGGGAGGACAGGACTGGAGCAGGCAACCTGGGGACCAGGTGGTTAAACCAGTCCTCCCTGCCTGGGGCTGAGCCTCAAATGCTAAGTGAAAGTGAGGTCCTCAGGCTTCCCTGGGGGCCCCAGGGCAGAGTGTCAGAGCCTCCTCTGACGGCCCCTGAGAGGGGCAGAGAGGTCACAGTTACACAGTCCTGAGCTGGAGGCACAGGAGCTCCAAAGAGCTCCTGTGCCCCCGATGTTTCCGCATTTGGGGCACAATTTCTCGACCCCGGCACTATTGATATTTCGGAACAAATAATTCTTTTCTGCAAGGGCTGTCCTAGGCATTGTAGGAAGTTTAGCAGCATCCGAGCCTCCACTCACTGGGTGACAGTAGCATGTCCCTCCCCTCCATTGTGACCACCAAGGAATGTCTTTACACGCTGCTCATGAATGTTTTTACACGCTGACATTGGCAAAATCATTCTCCATTGAGAACCACTGATTTAGAGCCAGAAAAGTATATGTATAGTTTTTTTCTGGCTTTGTCACTTTTTATTTGTCCTATGTCTTTCTATGTTTCGCTCAGTTTTTCCTGTCTTACTGCCTCTGTCACTGTGCAATAGTATCTCTGCTCCCTTGCTCTTAGTCTCTGTGGTGAGGGGTGTGTGTGTGTGTGTGTAGTGTGTGTGTACATGCATTGCATGTGTGTGGTATTTTGGGGGTGTACTGGTGTATTTCTATAGTGTGTGTGGTATTTTGGGGGTGTATTGGTGTATTTCTATAGTGTGTGTGGTATTTTGGGGGTGTATTGGTGTATTTGTATAGTGTGTGTGGTATATGTGTTGTGGTATGTCAAGTGTCAGTGTGTGGCCTGTGGCAGTGTCCCCTGGCCTCTTGGAGGGCGTGTCCTTGCTCTCTGCTCATGAGGGATGGAACCAGCAAGGGGTAGTGAGGTCAAAAGCATTGCTTACTCACTCAGCTTGGAGTTTGTTCCAGTCACTGGGTTCACCAGCCGTGCGCCAACTCATAAAGCCTGCAAAGGAGCCCATGACAGTTAGTGCATGCACACACACACACCTGCAGACACACACACACCTGCAGACACACACATGCACACACACACCTGCAGACACACACACACCTACAGACACACACACAACCTGCACACACACACACCTACATACACACACCTGCAGACACACACACACCTGCAGACACACACACCTGCAGACACACACACACCTGCAGACACACACATGCAGACACACACACACCTACAGACACACACACACCTGCAGACACACACATGCACACACACACCTGCAGACACACACACCTACAGACACACACACCTACACACACACACCTGCAGACACACACACACCTGCAGACACACACACACACCTGCAGACACACACATGCACACACACACCTGAAGACACACACAGACACACACCTGCAGACACACACGCCTGCACACACACCTGCAGACGCACACACACCTGCAGACACACACACACCTGCAGACACACACACGCACACACACCTGCAGACACACACATGCACACACACACCTGCAGACACACACACCTACAGACACACACACACCTGCAGACACACACACCTACAGACACACACACACCTGCGCGCACACACACACCTGCAGACACACACACCTGCACACGCACACACCTGCAGACACACACATGCACAGGCACACACACCCCTGCAGACACACACACATCTGCAGACACATACACATGCACACGCACACACACACCTGCAGACACACACACATGCAGACACACACACATGCACATGTACACACCACATATACACACATCAACATACACACATACACCCCATACCACACACACACACACAACCACCACACACACATGCACACCACATACTACACAGCCCACACACACCACACCCACATGCAGCACACACACAGGCAGCACACACCACCCATACCACACATACACACCACTTACATACCACACACACACAACCACCACACACACATGCACAGCAGACACCATGCAACCCCCACACAAAGCACACACATGCAGCACACACCTACCACACACACACCACATACCGCACATACTACATACCACACACACACCACACACACATGCGTCACACACCACACACATTGCACACACACCACATACCACACACATCATGCACACACACTACAGACACCGCGCGCACACACACACACACACACACACACACACACACACCCTACCCCCTACACCTCCCACCCCAGGGATGGGGGCGCGGTACGCTGCTGCGGTGCCTGACTGGAGGTATCTGACTGTCGCGCTGGCTCTGCAGTTCCCTGGGAAGCACTTTGTTCTGAAACTCTCCAATGTCCTTTTGTACTCAAACATCCAGCGCATCTGAAGAAATATGCTTCACCCACGGTCCCAATGCACACGAAGTCACTTCAACTTTCATAGGTCAAGAGGTCTAATTTATTGCAGAACTGCCATGCACCTTTCCCTAGAAAGTGACTTTAGTCCCGGATCCCTTTTCTCATCCCAATCACTCGTTGTAGCTCCATCCCTGGGGCTTCAAGCCCTCATTTCCTACCTCCCAGTCCTTGGCCCCACGGAGCCTCCGCGCCCAAGGAGCTTCACACTCCACACGCTTCCTTAGCAAGATCTGGGGGCAAGATCCAAGAGCAGGGTGGTTGAAGGGCTGAGTTGGAGATGAAAATATGGCACAGGGAGGCAGAGGTGATGAGCAGCCACACCATGCAGCCAGTTTTACCATCTAGATATGCATGTGCACGTTATTTGACATAAATGTATGCATGGTGTATTTTGTGTCAAAATGAATCAATACATGACAGTGATGTTCCAGAGCAATTGTGTGTGTGTGCACGCAGGTGCCTGTTTTCCAGCATCTTCCCAGCAGTCTATAGATTTCAAGACCCACAGGCATTCAGTCCTCCTGGGCCCCTACCCCTGTGTAGAATGCACCCAAAGGGCATACGTGGGCATCTGTATGGCCACCGTCCCCTCTTCTCCATTTCTCCCCACTGTCTGCCAGTTCTCACCCCTCTCCTCTCCCACTCCCCTCCTCAGTGGAAGGTGGGTCCAACCTTGGGAGTGCTCATGTAGTTTACAGCCCCTCCATCACCCTCTCAATGAGTTTGAGTTCCCCAGCCAGAAGATGTCAGGGGAAGGGCTGAGTGCTGATCTGGGGAGAATGGGTACTGACCCTCTTGGGTTTGTGAGAGGAGGCCTGAAGCTTTGGAGGAAGCCCATATGCCCCACCTGCTCTGCCCAGCTGCAGCTAGAATCCCCCTGCCCCCTGCATGGGTCCCCTGACATCTGGTACCCGCAGGAGGATGCCAAGCTCTTCAGTCTTGCCCTGGGCCCAGCCTCTGGTCCTTCTGGCCAAGTTTCCCCCAAGCCTCTTTTTTCTGCCCCTCATCTTTTTCTCTCTTCCTCATGAGACCCCAAGTTCTCCTCCCTGTGAGAACTGGACCCCAATCCTCTTCACTCTACCATACCTGGCCCCATCTCTTCTCTTGCAGGCACAAAAGACAAACAAGAAGAGAGGCTGCAGCCCTTTGGGAAGCTTTACAAGTAGGCTAAGTGTGCCTTGCAGCGGATCGGCTTTCTGGGAGAAGTAAAATGGAAAGAGCAATTGATCTGTAATAAAGACAGCTGCATTCTAACCCCAGCTGACCAGAAATCACTTGGTGTCCTTGGCCAAGTCACTTACATTTTCATTTCCTGATCTACAAAAATAAGGACTCCAGATATTGAGTGCCCCTGTTCCCTTTTCCATTCTCTGCTATCCCAGGTAGCCCCCCTCAGCTTCCAGCTATAGGCAGGATGGAGCTCAAAGCTTCATTGTGTCAGAAAGGGCTCATCTCTCAGGTTAAGCCTGACTGTCTTTGTCTCTGAGTTACACAGGAAGGAGAGAGCAGGCCGCAGGCAGAACATGAAGACACAAAGCCTCTGATTCTCCTCTGACCTTCCGAATGACAGGATTCTGTGGTCCAAGTAGCTCTGGCTGAAGAGAGGATGAAGCTCCTGAACCATGGTGATTCTTGGAGCTCTGGAAAGCCACAGATATGGAGGGGACAACGTGCGTGTTCCCTCTGACAAGGCGGGAGTGGGCTGGCTCCCCAATCCAGGGCAGTGTCCCCAGACTCTGGACTCTAGGTCACCAACAGTTTTCACTCCATGAGAACCTGGCTGTTGCCTCTTAGCCAGAGAGTGGGGAAAGGAGGGTATGTGGGGGCCACTAAGCCCAGAGTAAACAGCATTATTTGGGGCTCAGAAGACAGGAACAAGCCTTTATCCCAAAGCCCATCATGGCTGTTAAAAATTCAAACCCAAAGCAGAATTCTTTTCCAGAAGCATGCAGTCTGCTCACCATAGCCTTCTGGGCAGCAGGCCTGCAGGGGTGGCATTTGATTGCCAATCTTCCCCTGGTTGTCCCCACCTGCACTTCTTATTCTTCTCTCTTCAACCAACAAACTCAGTGAAAGGGCAGACAGTGAGAAGAACTCTATTGAATTCTATTTAAGGCAAGCAGTCACCCAAACACCCCACCACCTCCTTAAAAAAAAAAAAAAAGCAAAATGCCAGACTTGGTTAAGAGTGGAGGATGGTTTAACATGTACAGACGGCCGGGCGCGGTGGCTCACGCCTGTAATCCCAGCACTTTGGGAGGCCGAGGCGGGCGGATCACGAGGTCAGGAGATCGAGACCATCCCGGCTAAAACGGTGAAACCCCGTCTCTACTAAAAATACAAAAAAATTAGCCGGGCGTAGTGGCGGGCGCCTGTAGTCCCAGCTACTTGGGAGGCTGAGGCAGGAGAATGGCGTGAACCCGGGAGGCGGAGCTTGCAGTGAGCCGAGATCCCGCCACTGCACTCCAGCCTGGGCGACAGAGCGAGACTCCGTCTCAAAAAAAAAAAAAAAAAAAAAAACATGTACAGACATGCCCAAACCATGGGAGGGGGACACACTGGAAGCAAGCTGCCTCTTCTGAAAGGTCTGGGTCTGAGGGGTCCAGGACAGAGAGACCCAGAAGCAGGGAAGGAGCAGAACTGAGGGGGAGGAAGTCCCCTGGAGGTGGAGTAGGGACACACCCAAGAACCTAGGGGCTGGGAGGCACCAGCGAGTCAGGGTGCAAACCTTCCCCAACTTTTCTCACAACGGGAGCTTCGCCCCTGGATAGAACTGCAGTAGGGAGAAGGTGGTGGCTCAGCCTCCCCCTAGACCACAGGGTAGTGCTAAGCTGAGACACCAGGACTGGGCAGATTCTGTGGCAGATACCTGAGCTGGGAGGCTGAGAGGAAGGTGGAGTGGCAGCAGCTGAGGGGGCCAGGAGGTGGTGTCCCAGCTGGGTACAGGGAGGGATGGAAGCCCAATAGTGTGTTCTCCAGATGACTGTTGGGAAATCCTGGACCTAGCTGGGCACCAGGAGCGTGAGGTCGCTAGTCAGTCACTACACTAACAGGAACTAGAAAATTAAAAAAAAAAAGACTTTAGCTATTCTGCAACTCCCCACCTCCCCAGCCTCCATCACACGATTCTTGGAGCATGGGGCATGGTTCCCTCCTGTGTGTAGTGCCCTGTGCACGTGGGAGTGTGGATGCTGGAGTGTGCAACTTGGCTTTGTTTGAGCATGTGTGTGCTGGTACAAGCATGGGGCAAGGTGGGAATGGGCGACAGCTGGAGTATACAATGATCTCCCGATAGGAATCTGTTTACCCATCACCCCTGTCATCACAGAGCTATGTGCTGTGCCCTGGGAGCAGTTCTCCTGCCCGGGGCTCCCACTTGCCCTCCTTTATCTTCTCCTCCTCCTTCTCCTTGCCTTGCCGAGGTTTCTAACTATAAGAGCTGACTTTGGAGTGTCTGAGGGAACCCTGAGTCTTCAAGCTGCTGGGAAGTCCAGGAACTGTTTCGCAGGCAGTACTGGGCCTAAAATTCTTGCAGGCAGACCAAAGTGCAGAAGGAAACTATTGGCACAGGGCTGCCGATCCGAGTCAACACTGAAGGTGCTGGTGGATGATCCTCTGACTGAAGTTGTGTGCCCAACATTGAGGGTGGCTGCTGCAATGTACTAAACACACTGTCAGAAGTGTGCAAGTGCCTGTGAGCTGACAGACTCAGAGGTGTCTTTTAGTTCCATTATCTGTGTTCACCCTTGCTACAGACTTTATGAAGAGGGTTGTGCTCCATCCACCAGGATCTGGATTTGTCCATCTGTCCATACAACGAGGGAGCCCTTGTGGAGACAGATCTCTCCGGGAGCCCAGAAATCCTGGGTCATTGCCCTGCTCCATTCTGGTGAGATCTGTGACTTCAATCAGACAATCTCTCTGAGAATCAGCTTCCTTGTCTGTAAAACAGGAACGCTTAATACTGCTCTGTTTACTTTATGGGGTTGTTTTTAGGATTAAAGAAGATAACGACCATGAAAAGACTTTATACACCATAAAGTGTCATATGAATGCAAGTCACTTGTTTTATCATTTTGCTTTGGGGGGAGTATTTGAAATCCAACCCATCTAGGAAACAGCTTTCTGGTAGAGACTTTAGAACTGTCTTATCTCAGGGGCTCTGAATTGTGAGGTAGAAGTACAAGGTCTTGGAGCCAGATAAATTTGGGTTCAAAATCAGACTCTGCTAATTACTGGCTGAGTGATATTAGTCAAATTGGCACACCCCTCTCAGCCTCAGTTTCCTTGTCTACAAAAGGAGCACGGTAATAGTCACTTGACCTTAGGCAAGTAACTCACCCTCTCTGGGCCTTAGTTGCCTGTCTGTAAAATTAGGATGACAACAGCTAACTTGCAGGCTCCTGAGAATTAGATGAGAGAGAAGAGTGTGGGAGGCAGCTGGCCCATGGCAAATATACAGTAATAGCCTCTGTTCTTATTCCCTCATTCTTCTCTTCTATGGCTGTTATTCTGCCTTGGAGCCCTTTCAGTGATAGACCACATTACCCTCTGGTGAGAAAATCCGCTCTCTCCCTCCAGGAGACTAGAGTAGATCCTGCCTCAGGCTGTTACCACCTACACAGGGTGGGTTTCTGTATCATCCCTTCCATAGACCTCACCCCCTGCTCTCCCAAAGAGACTGTTTACATCTAAGTCTCTTGTTCACTGTTGACTTGAATAGTGAGGAAATACGGGTTATGGCATTTCCCCTACACCAGGCTCTCTAATCAGGCCAATCCTGCCCCAGTTCAGGAAGATGCCCCAGATGATCTGTTCATAAACTCCAGCTCATCCTCTGAAGCCCAACTTGAATGTCACACTCTCTCTTTTCTTCCCTAGGCACCCAACTCTACCCAGTCAGGGCCAGTCCCTGCCTCTCCTGTGCCCCCACCTCTCTTCCCTCCTGCCCTGCATGGAAAGGATCTTACTGCATTAACATTGTCCCTTTGCTTGCCTATTTTTCCCACCTAGAGAGTCTCAAAGGAAGAGGCTAAATCACATCACATTCTTCTTTTTCCGCACTGGAGTGCCTGGCGTAGAGTTTATGATGAACTACGTTTTATGAGGAATGAGCTGTGCCTGGGAAATTGCAAGCTATTTAATAGGTATATTTTCTTTCCTAGGCCCCAAGGGTAAAGGTGGCCCAGTGTACAAGAGAGGGGCTCAGAAGGTGGTGAAGAACAAGGAAAGGTGGCAGGGAGGTGTGTGTGTGCCCGGTGGGGTGGGGAGGGGGTTTTTCAATCCCCAGCCCACACACAGAGAAATGGCCATCTGCTCTTGAAAGATTAATTGGCCTGGATAAGGTGGGAAGGGAGCAGCAACTAGGATGGAGGAAAGGACGTGGTGTATGTAGCAGAGACACCTGTCTCCCCAGCCATTCCCACCCTCCCGCCCTGAGCTTCCCCATCAGGTCTGGCCTGGGACCCAGAGGGAAGGAGTGATCACTGACCTGAGACCTGGGGGGTTGGCACAGAGGCCATGGAACCTGGGATTGCCTCCTTCTTGCCCCTCAGGTTCACCAAGTTCACCTGTGGAGGGAGGGAGAGAGAGAAGGGAAAGAGACAGAGATTTCTGCCTGGGTAAAGAAAGAACAAGTTGCTTGGGCAACATGGCTAAACCCTGTCTCTGCCAAAAAACAAACAAAAAACTAGCCAGGCATGGTGGTGCACCTGTAGTCCCAGTTATTTGGGAGGCTGAGGGCTGAGTTGAGACTGCAGTGAGCCACCATCACACCACTGCACTCCAGCCTGAGTGACAGCGTAAGACCCTGTCCCCCAAAAAAAGAAAGAACAAGTTGTTGCAACCCTCCCTTTGCAGCTTCCCTCTCTGGATGTGGTTTATTTAGGGAGAAGAGAGAGACTACAGGATGAGGGGCTGGAGTCTGAGAGTTCCTGAAGAAGTAAAGAGCCATCATTGGGGGGTTACCCTCTCTGACCTATGGGCATGACAGAGGCTCTAAGGACCTGGCCAGTGTCACCTTCATGGAGCCATGGCCTTTTATTTCTACATCTCTTTCCCTTATATCCTTATTTCTGAATTGGAAGACAGTGTCCAGAGGGGGCTCAGAAAAAGCAGAGGGAGCAAGAGCACAAGAGAAGGGAACCAGGGCAGCCCAAGGTATTGCAATCACTCCTTACAGCAGTAAAATTTTAGGAACGTGTGTGCTTTCACATGCTTGGTGCTATTTTCTTGTCATAATCATGTCAGGTACACAAGTCAGAAATTATCATCATCACTGACTGATGTACAGGTTTCCTCACTAATACCATGGCAGAGCTGGGGAGTAAAACTGGGTTTTCACATGCACACGTCATCCGGCAGGGGCCCCCGTTCTCGAGGGAGCTCTGCTCATGGGGATGAGAAAAGAGGCAGCGGCTGAGGTGGCCTTGGGTTAACCGAGCACCTAAGACAGTACCGACCAAAGAGGGCCCTGGTGGTGGTTGGGGCAGGGTGGTAGTGATGATGTGTCTTGGAGGCAGGTTGTAACCCTCAGTGGGCACCACAGTTTGGTCAGGAAGAAGAAAAAAAGCAGCTCAAGTAAAAGGGCCAAAGAAAGAAAGCTTTGTTGAAAAGAGAATGACCTTTAAGAATCATGAAGGAGGCTGGGCGAGGTGGCTCATGCCTGTAATCCCAGCACTTTGAGAGGCTGAGGCAGGCGGATCACTAGGTCAGGAGATCGAGACCATCCTGGCCAACACGGTGAAATCCCATCTCTACTAAAAAAAATACAAAAATTAGCTGGGCATGGTGGCACGTGCCTGTAGTCCTAGCTACTCAGCAGGCTGAGGCAGGTGTATCGCTTGAACCCAGGAGGTGGAGGTTGCAGTGAGCTGAGATTGCGCCACTGCACTCCAGCCTGGCAACAGAGCAAGACTCTGTCTCAAAAAAAAAAAAAAAAAAGGAATCACGAAGGAGAAGCTCTTCCTCACAGGTAAGTGCAGGAAGCACTGCACAGGTAAGTGTGGAGGCACACACTCAGGCTTGCCATGCTGCAGCTGGCTTGCACAAGCCCCTACCCCCTCAGGCTCAATTGATCCTAATTGCCGCCTCCTCAAACCCAGGGATAACAAAGAGGTGCAAGCAAAATGAAGAAGGTGTGTCCAGTCCTTCCCCAGGTGGCTCCAACCTGGCTGCCATCCCAGGGCAGAGAGAGGGGGGCCACACTTCACCAACTTCTCCCTGTCTGCATGACATCACTCAGCATTACCTGGTTAAAGTATTTCTCACCATGCCCATTTCTCATCTTTTCCTCATTAACCTTTAAGAAACAAGTGAGCTTGACTCAAGGAGGTAAATGATCCTTGACCTCATGTCAAGGCATTCTCTCAGTTTTTCCTGGAGTGATCTCAGGTGTGCCAAGCAGCCTTCTGGATGCCATTGTTGGCCCCTCTCTCTCTCTCCAATGTCTCTTCTCTGCCCTGCCATGCAATGCCATCCTGCTCTAAGGACCTGCTAAGACAGCCCTACCTTGGCTTACTCTCTCCCTCCTCCTTTTTTTCCCCTCCCTCAGCTCTGCCCAGACCTTATCTTGCATTTCTTCAGATGCAACACAGGGGGAGGAATGCTGACCTCTGGCCCCCATTCCTGAGGCTTCCGGCACAGCCATTCCTCAGGTGCAACTCAGCTGTTCTTACCAGAACCCAGCACCTTGTCAATAACATACTTTGCAAACGTCTGAGGGAGGGAGGCATTTTAAAAGTCCAGTGATGCCTCTGAGAACAACATTTTCTTTTTCTTTTCTTTTCTTTTTTTTTTTTTTTTTGAGATGGGGTTTCGCTCTTGTTGTGCAGGCTGGAGTGAAATGGCACGATCTCGGCTCACTGCAACCTCCACTTCCAGGGTTCAAGCAATTCTTCTGCCTCAGCCTCCCGAGTAGCTGGGATTGCAGGCATGTGCCACCATGTCTGGTTAGTTTTTGTATTTTTAGTAGAGATGGGGTTTCTCCATGTTGGTCAGGCTGGGCTTGAACTCCCGACCTCAGGTGATCTGCCCACCTTGGCCTCCCAAAGTGCTGGGATTATAGGCATAAGCCACTGCACCCGGCTGAGAACAACATTTTCTCATTGCTTTCCAGCCTCTGGCCTATGAGACATACAGAAGCATGAATATTTTTTTGCATTCTATATTCTGAAATAATCAGGGATGGGGGAGACAGAGGGGGAAGAATAGTAACCATTTGTGGGTACCTGAAGAATTCCTGAGGCAGAACGAGCAGTGGATATTTCTTCTACTCCCTGTCCCTGTCTCTGAAGTCCTGTATAGAAGCCTTGCAGCTGCCAGGCAGGAAGAGACATTTGCCATCTCGTTTAGCACACGGGTCACTTCCCACATCTGCCCTGCAGTGAGCTGATGTCTGTGTGTATGTGTTCTCTTCCCTTCTCACTTGGGCTCCTGAGGGCAGATGTGGAATCTCACAGATTATCTTAATGCCTCTTACAGAGGGTACCACATACCAGACAGTAAGTGCTGTCCCAGAGCTTTGCTGAAGGACTTCTTGCCCCCTTTTCCTCCTCCTCCTCTTATTCTTCATCTTTTTTCCCCTTCTTCCTTCTTCTCTTCTCTGTCAGTCCCCCTCCTGCCCCTTCTCCTCCACCACCTTTTTCCTCTTCCTCCTCCTTCTTCTCACTCTCTCTCTCTGTGTCTCATATATACACACACAGACACACACACAAATACATATTCACACACACGTATATTTAGGCTAAAAACATGTTCTAGCAATCACATTTGCATTGGTTTTTATTCTTTCCAAAGTGTTTCCACTCATATTATGTGGTCATCTTTAATTACTACAACCTCACTCAAAAGGCAGCTATTTTTTTTACCACCTTTGACAGGTAGAAAAAAAGTGGAAATATGTGTGGCCAGTAAGAAAAGTCAGAATAAAAATAGGTCAATCATTCATAGATTCAGTTAATAAATATTCATTTCACAATACATTGTACTAGGAATTATGCCAGGTACTGGGAATACAAGGGTGAATAAGATGGACATCATCTTTACGTTTGTGGAGCTCATAGTCATTTAAACAAACAAGTGCAATAAAGTCCAGTGTGTGTAATAAAAAGAAAATATAGGTGGTCTAGCAACATAAAGCAGGTAGTCTCTAACCTAGTCTAGGAGTGAGTCAGGGAGCCCCCTCTCTTACCACACATGTGCACATTCACCCACCCTAAATGTATAATCTTTAAGCTGAGACCAATAGGATGAATAAAAGTTACAGCGATGGGCCGGGCGAGGTGGCTCACACCTGTAATCCCAGCACTTTGGGAGGCTGAGGCGGGTGGATCACGAGGTCAGGAGATCGAGACCATCCTGGCTAACACGGTGAAACCCCATCTCTACGAAAAATACAAAAAATTAGCCGGGCGTGGTGGCGGGCGCCTGTAGTCCCAGCTGCTGGGGAGGCTGAGGCAGGAGAATGGCATGAACCCAGGAGGTGGAGATTGCAGTGAGCAGAGATCATGCCACTGCACTCCAGCCCGGGCGACAGAGCAAGACTCCTTCTCAAAAAAAAAAAAAAAAAAAAAGGCACAGCAATGAAAGAGGAAATGGAGGCAGAGGGGTAGAAAGGTCCAGAAATTATGAAAGCCAGGGGGAAGGAGAATATAGCACTACCCAGGAATAAAAATAATACATCATGGTAAAATCATGTGCAGAATGAGACACTTTAAAATATCCTAAGTGACAAAAGCAACAACTCCTTTTCTAATCTACTAAGCTATTATATGTATTTTAAGATAAACATATACATACATATACTTGGAAATGTCTAGAGTATTTTTGGAAGGATAAATAATAAACTTTCATTAGTGAATGTCCCTGAGAATAACAAGCAAGAGGCTGAGACAGAGATAAGAGAGCTTACTTTCCTAGATATCTTGTGTGCTGTTTGGGTTTTGTACCTTGTGATGTGTTATCTAATCAAAATTAGTTATTTTTCAAAGGAGAAATTTAGGGACTAGACTATCCACAAGACGTGAGATCAACTGGATATGAGAGTTGAGATAGAGGTGTGGAGGATGGGACGCCTAGGATCCTGGCTTAGGCAACTTTGTTGTGCTACCACATACTTGGTTGGAAACACTGGTGGAGGAGCAGGTTTGGTGAGGAAGAAAAGCTGTTCAGTTTGGGACATGTTGAGTTTGAGGTGTTTGTAAAACATCCAGGTAGAGCGGTCCAATCAATAGGCGTCCAAGCCGTTCATGCCTGGAGCTCCGGAGACAGATCTAAGGTGACGATAAGGAGCTAGGGATTCTGAGCTTGTGCATGGTAATCTATTGAATTAGGCAGGACTACCCAGGTGGTAAGGAAAACAGCCTGTGGACTGAAAATCTTTAAGGGGTCAGTGGAGGAGAAGCAGCCAGGACAGCTGCGATATGTGGCACAAGACGTGTTGAGAAGTGGCGCACAATTAACCGTAATCTGAATGCTACCGAGTGTTCAAGCAAAACTAAGACTGTTCAGTGGATTTAACTACAGGTATCAGTATCACGGAGAAGGCAGGGTCAAATCACAATGGGTTGAGGTGTCAGTGGGAGGCCAGTAGACAATGGGATTTACTCTTAAGAAGTTTGGCCCTGAACAGGGAGTAGCTGAAAGAAGAGGTGGGGTTGAGGGAGGGAGTTTGCAGTTTCTTCGAAAATGCAAAAGAATAGAGCATGCTTATTTGCTGACAGAGCTACCAGAGAAGGAGAAGTTGAAGATACACACGTGAGAGGGGTCAGAGGAGACAGTGATGGACACAGGGTGTGAAAAGACAGAGTGAGGAATGGATCTAGAACACAGATGGGAGTTTAGCTTTGCACAGGAGTGGAAGTTGTAAACTGAGAAAAAGATGTCTGAGACAAGTCTCGATCAATTTACAGGTTTATTTTGCAAGGTTGAGGACACAGGAAAAAGAGACACAGGCCACAGTAAGATCTGAGGCCTGCACTTTTTCCAAAGTGGGTTTTGAAGGCTTCAATATTTAAAGGGGTTAAGTGGCCAGGAGGGGAAGGAGAAAAGTTAAAGAAAAGTGGCGGAGAGTAGACAAGTGGTTACATTCTTTTGAGGCTTTGATTAGTGCTCACTGAATCCACATGTTGCATGTGAGAAGCAGGGGACAGAGGAACAGTCATTTATGTATTTGTGTCATGCTCAGTAAATCTGCACTTTACATAAGACAAAGTAAATTAGAGGAAGAAGTCAAATATGCCTTCATCCCAGGGTAGGAGGAGGGACGATTTCTATTCTTCTCTTCTCCTGTACCCGTGAAGATAAACTGTTAATTTATAATGTCAGGGTGAAGGAGGCCATCTGGGGAGCTAATGTGGCCTTCTGTCTTGAGGCTATCTGTTTAGGAACAAAAAGACAGGCAGTTTCCAAACTTTTTGGAAGAAAGGCAACTTCCAAAAGTTTGACTCAGTTTCCAAACTTAACTTTTCCCTTTCACATAGTGAGTTTGAGGTCCCAAGATGTTATTTTCCTTTCACATCCTCCCACCCTGTTCTTCCAAATCTTTCAGGGAAAGCATTGTAGAAGAAAGTGAGTGTCTGATCTCAGGTTTGGTCTGATCCCTTGTCACTAGGACAGTTTATTTCTAGAGGGTTAGGTCCCTCATTTTAGAAAGGATCATTCTTAGCAGGTTGTGAAGTTTCATGTTCCACAGAGAAAAATAGGGGAAAGAAGAGAGAAAGAAAACCAGTAGAAAAGGAGGAAAGATCATGACAACAAAAGGGGAAAGTAATCCTGGAAAACTGATTTAGGCTATATTGCTCTGAAGTCCATGAATGAGTAGGCAGGCACAAAAGTGGTTTATATATATAAATAATTTGCTGTTACTTTTCCCAAAGTTTAAGTTTCAAGTTTCACTTGGCAGAACTTTAAGAAAAGCACAGTTTTAATTTTAATTTAATTTTAAATTAAAATTTCTAGTTTTAATTTCTAGATTCCAAATGAGAAAAAAAAGGGAAAAAATGAAAGAAAAAGGAAAAAAAAAATGAACAGTAGTTTGGAGACTTGTAGCCAGGAAAGGACTTAGGATTCAGTCCAAATGCATTTTAACAAAGAATGAAACTGAGAAACAATTGATAAGGTGGGGTCTAAGAAGAGGTGTTTTATATGTTTTTTTAAAAAAAAAAAAAAACATAATTTTTATCTCAGTCCTCCATTTTTATCAAAGACAAATCATAGTAGGACTAATTTATTTGTAGAAAAGCTTTAGTTGTATTATACTTCACCTGATTCTTTGTATAAAGTGCAGCAAGAATAATTATTTTCTATTTAGGCTTTTTTAAAATTGACTTTGCTGGAAACTTTTTTATTTAAGGAATCTTAGTTTAGACTTTTTAAAGGCCCCAAGCCCAGTCAAGAATTTATTTGTGCCTGCAGATATCTGTATGAACTGGGCGAATGCCTCTCTTCTTAATCCCAAGATAACTTGGGGTTCCCGGGCCTGCCAGAAAGTAACGTTCTTTACTTATCACAGGTTGGGAACCCTGTAAAAGAATTGTGTAGGCAAGGTACAAGGCCAGTTTTTTTAAGGATCTTTTATTGGCTCTATAAGTCAATGGCAATTCCTTAAAACAGTTTGTTGTTTTGTTTATAGCTTAAAATATTTCATTCTAGTCAAAGCTTTAGTAAAATAATAGTCTCCAATTGTGTCCTGTTACAAAAGAAAGCAGATTCTTATTGAGCTCATACAAATAACTATATTGTTATAAATTAAGAATACTCAAAAATAGTTTTCAAATTCTGGAGAAATCAGGTAGAGAGAAAGAAATATGCTTTAAATTTTGCTCACAAGAGCATATTTTACTCAATTGTTAAAAGCTGTAAACAACCCAAAAAATGAAAAGAATCACCAATGTTTCAGACAAAAAGATCACACAAAAAATTATTTTAGTCTTCTATTAGCTCAGTTCATGCAATTAACCTCTGTTCTATTTGATATTGGGTCAACAATCCTCATGAATACATCAGATCTCCAGGAGTGTCCTGGAAGATTTTTTTCCTCTATTTTAATGGCACAATCTCCAAAGCTGTCAGAAACCTGCATTTAAAAGTATCCATCTGATACAGTTTGGCTTTGTGTCCCCACCCAAATCTCATCTTGAATTGTAATCCCATAATCCCCACATGTGGTGGGAGGGACCCAGTGAAAGGTAATTGAATCATGGGGGGCAGTTCCCCCCATGTTGTTCTCATGCTAGTGAGTTCTAATGAGAACTCACTCATTCAGTGAGTTGCCCACTGTACTCTAGCATGGGCAACAGATGGTTTTATATGGGGCTACCCACTTTGCTTGGCACTTATTCTCTCTCCTGGCACCCTGTGAAGAGGTGATTCTCCAGTGATTCTAAGTTTCCTGAGGCTTCCCCAGTCATGCAGAACTGTGAATCAATTAAACTTTTCTTTATAATTTACCCAGTCTCAAGTATCTCTTCATAGCAGCATGGGAATGAACTAATACACCATCAGAGTCCTATAACTGATTATAAGCAACTTTTTGAAAAGGAACAAAGTAAAATAATAATTGTGAATGACAAAAGATATCCACAGTCAAAGATATAATTGACAAGGAAATCTGGTTATTTCTGTGGCACACAATAATTTACCATAATTATAATTATTACTGATCACATATACCAAGACATATTAAAATTATAAGAATATTATACAATTTTGGAACACATAACAATAGCACATTTATATAAATATATTTCAAAGAAAGTTACACACCATTTTATACTTGGCAATGCCTCCTGTATGATTTTAACATATCAAATAAGCCAAATATGCCTCTGTTGGACATTTAAAAGTCAGTTTGAGGTTAAAAGACTGCATTTAGAATTTAATCTTGGAAAGTTAGTCCAACATTAAAAGTTTAAAGCACTTGATATCGCAAAATGAGATTACAGGTCATTATAATCATTTAGCTAAAGTGATAACTCACCAATTTTAAAAAAAAGCAGAAATCTTTACTCCTTGATAAAGAAGACCTCAGTTTTCTAAAAAATAGGACCTAATAGAGACAGTGTGAAGCCAACTGAATCTGTCTCTCCTCTCCTTCTTCTTTAATTTTTTTGGCAGTTTATTCAAAGGGCAAATGAAAATCTTTTACTATCTCTTAATATTATACAAAAATCTTATTTAAAAGAGAAAACCAAATTTTATTTTTGTATTACTGTATTGTTAATTCTAAAGCTTTAATAGAATCTTATAAGCAAATCTACCAAATTTTAATTAGTTTGATTGTAAGGTAAGATTTCCATGAGGCTTTTATAAACTTTACAAATTTGTGTTAAAGAACACATCAATATTCCAAGAAAATCCTGCCTCACACAGGTGCTCAGATTCTGACCCTGCATCAATGTGCTATTTATATGAATGTTCAATTTGTATAATATCTAAATAATCCCCTTAAAATTTTAGCCAAACTTGATCACACACAAAATTCCTTTTACAAGATCAATCTTCCACAAACCTTCTACGACTTGCTTAAACCTTCAGTTTTGTCGTTTCTGTTAACTTGAAACAGTCCTTAAAATCCTCTAAACTAGAAAAAAACACTTTCTCTTAAAAAAGAACCACACTCCCATGACTTATTTTAACATTTGTTCTCCAAAAAAAAACACAGCCTACCTGTTTAATACACATTGTATGTACCTAGTAGTTTTAATTACATTCATTAATTTATAATGTTAACTCTTAGTAATTCTTATTTTAGTGAAAAACCTAGGCAGTAAGCAATTTTAATTACATACCAGGTGCACAAGCCAGGACAAAGGACAATACCTGGGGGCAGGCCAAGGGCTCAAATCAAAAGACATATAAGTTTATAGACAAGTTAAGCAAGTATTAAAAAGATTACAGGGCTAGTGCAGTGGCTCATGCTGTAATCCCAGCACTGTGGGAGGTCGAGGCAGGTGGATTGCTTGAGACCAGGAGTTCAAGACTAGCCATGGGCAACATGGCAAAACCCCATCTCTAAAAAAAATACAAAAATTAGCTGGGTGTGGTGGTGCACACCTGTAGTGCCACCTACTTGGGAGGCTGATGGGGGAAGATTACTTGAGCCCAGGAGGTCGAAGCTGCAGTAAGCAGTGATCACACCACTGTACTTCAGCATGGGCAACAGAGCAAGACCCTGTCTCAAGAAAAAAAAAAAAGGACTACAGAAGCAGAATTTTAAAGTGCTTCTACTATGAAGAGAATAAAGAAGAATGATGGTGACTGAGCAGTTTTACATACCCTGCCACCACTGTGTCCCAGTGTGTGCGGGCGTGTGTATACACATTGTGCAATCCCTCACTGCTGGGCACTCAGCCCTGGGCTGGTGTATCTGAATTAACTGTCTGTGGTTTCACAAATACCACTTACTTCTTTGTTATCCCAGACCACAGTCCTTTGAAAAGCTGACATGGCTTTTTGCTAAGGGTGATGATGGGGCTGGGATTAGAAGTATAGTGCTGGAGACACAAGAGAGGCTGACCATGAGCACCTATAATGGGTGCCCTGGACACATGATTCCTAATTTCCCTCCTGGAGAGGGATGACCCTTCCTCTATTGTTGCTGTTCCTTTCACAACTCAGTGTGGGGCAAAGGGAGATGGGAATGGAGGATGGCTATGTCAGGAGAACAAGCAGGAGCCTGTTGCCTCCAGGCACAAGGATGATTAGCTGCTAGGGACAGAGCAGGAGGGTCCTGGAAAAGAAATGATTAGGCCATTCAAATATAGGCCTAATTTACCATACATTCTTAAAAACACACCAGGATGCAAACACTTCAGACTGTGAGCCTCAAAAAGCAAAGATAAGGCAATTCAACAACAACAAAAACCTAATTCGAAAATGGACAAATAAACTGAAAAGACATTTCTCCAAAGAAGGTATATAAACATCCAATAAATAGGTGTATAAAAACGTGCTCAGTATCATTAGTCATTAGGGAAAGGCAAATCAAAACTACAATGTGAAGCCACTTCACACCCATTAGAAGGGAATGTAAAATGGTGAAAGCTATTGTGAAAACCAGTATGGCAGTTCCTCATAAAACTAAACATAAGAATTGTCTAGCAATTCCATTTTTAGGTGTATGCCCAAAGTATCTGAAAATAGAAACTAGAACAGATATTTGTATACCATATTGATAGCAGCATTATTCACAACGGCCAAAAGGTAGAAAAAACTCAAATGTCCATTGGTAGATGAATAAATAAACAAACTGTGTCAAATTTTGGACTAAGATTGCAGAATCCCACTTACATAAGATACCTAGAATAGTTAAATTCATAGACAGAAAGCAGAATATTGGTTATCAGGGACCAGGGCAGAGAGATAGCTGGAGAGTTATTGTTCAATGGGGATTAGAGTTTCAGTTCCGAATGATGAAAAAGTTCCATAAATGAATAATGGTGATGGTTACACAACAATGTGAATGTACTTAATGCCACTGAATGGCACATCTGAAAATGGATAATATGGTAAATTTTATGTGACATGTATTGTGCCACAGTAAAAAATTAAAGAAGGCAAGAATAAGGAGACTTTTTTATTGCAGTTGGTGTTTGCTTGCTAAGTGGAGAGAGAGACCTACAGGAGGCTGGGAAAAAAAGAAGGGCCACAACCTCTATGCCATGCCTGGCTCTTCCCACGTAAGCCCTGGGGAGCCAGAAAAGCCTCACAGCTTACTACTTTCTAGGGGCTGCGTGGGGCAGAAGAGAAATGGTCCTGACATTAATCTAGCATCCCTGCCTCATGTCTTTAGTTGCCAACCTCCTTTTTCCTGAGATGGGTGACTTGCAAGAGCCCAGAAAATACGTGAGACAATCGATGACCATTGCCCATTGCCAGAAATTCTGATGTGAAGTGTGAGGCATGACCCTTTAGGGATTGTTCTGTCTCACCCTCCCATGATTAACAGGCACAGAAGTTAGACACTTGCATAGGCAGAGGTCTCCGTCTCTGTCCCCGCCCCCAGGCCAACCGGGAGTAAGGTCAAGAGTGATAGCGATGTTAATCAAAAATGGTAGACCTCCTCTCCATCCCCCTCACTAAGGTTCAGTCCAAGATTCAAGTGCCCCAGGGTGTTTTGACGAAGGATCTCCCAGCCTCGGTGACTGCTGCTCTGGGACGCGGTCCGGGACAGGGAGGAAGTTGGAAGAGCCAAAGAGGCTCTGGCTAGAGTCCCACTCTCAGCCCCAGAGGGCTGTTTCTCAGATGGATGCTCCTGGTCATCCTCCTTGTCTGAGTTCTTGAACACTTCCACATAGCGAAGCACTCGCAGAGGATTCTGATCATTGTGGTTCTCAACCCTGATAAGGGGAAAGGGGAAAGGACTCAATCCAGGTGGGGAGACATGGGCAGGGGAGAAGTAGAGGTGACCATTTAGAAAGCAGGGTCAAGAGGGAAGCAGAAATAAGGCAGCAGAGTTGAAACAGGAAGAGTATCTGGGATCAAGTGAAGGGAGGTGATGGAGGGCAGGCTAACCTGGGATAGAGATAATGGAGGCTGAGCAATCAGGGCTTGCAGGGTGGTAGGACGCACACAGGTGTGTGTGTGTTTGTGTGTTACTAATACGTAGGAATGTGAAAGAGAAAACAGAGCCAACTAATAGATAAGCGTGTCACAAGGATGACGAGATGCAATTCAGGAAGTAAATTTGAGGAGAGAGGAGAGTCACGCCGGGAGATGAGGGCAGAATATGAAGGAGGAAGTTAGATCCAAGCCAAAAGTACACTGGAGATGAAGGTCAGCTCAGAACAAGGTTACAGCAAGTCTGGTAACCCATGCTGACGTCTGAGCATGGACACATGCACACAACCTTTTACACGTGGCTGCCCTGAGGTACACACAGCATTCTTCGTACCCCTCCACTTCAGCTCCAGCCCCCTCCCCTAGACAGGCTAATGTAGGCTCCAGGACGCCTGTCGGTCACCCTTGCTTCCGTGGCCTTATACACATCTGCAGTTTTGCATGTGCACACCATCACTCACCGCAGGAACCAGCGGTCCCCCAGCCCGAATTCGCACCCACAGATCCCGGAGCGAGGCCACAGGCAGCGAGGCAGCTTCCGCTCCAGCATCACTGTGGTGGCCACGACCTGGAAGGAGGCAGGAGATACAGGAAGAACTCTGAAAGAGCCATGAGGTTCAAAGAGGCACTGAGGCCACTGATAAAGGGAACCAAAGGCAATCTGTGAGATAGGACACTAGAGGTCAGTGGTGAGAACAGCCACCTATTCACCCCACAGCCTGTGCCAGGCACCATGCAACCAGCTTCACTCATCAAGAAATGAGAGAGGATTTTTTGTGAGTGTTTTGAATAAAATAGTTGCCCTTACATTACTATTCACTCATGGAGAATGAGTCACTCCAAACTAATCTCAACTTCTTTTTCATATAAAAGCCACAGACCAATTATCTCGATTTAAATAAAATGATTAAAGAGAATCTCTACGATCTTGGGGATGAATTGATACTGTTACTGTTCAGGGAATTTTCAGCAAATTAAATATCCACATCTTAGGAAGGAAAAGGGTTGATTAATGACTGCAAGTTGGCAGGGAAATTTCTGGTAGCAAGTCCACCACACGTTCTGTCCTTTGCTCAGCCCTCATTAATTACTTAGATGAAACATGGGAAACAAGCTTATCAAATATGCCTGTGACACAAAACTGGGAGGGATATGTAATATGTGGGGCAACAGAAGCAATATAAAATTATCTCGCTAGATTGGAATGCTGGTGTAAAATCATTAACAAGAAATTTAAGTAAACCAAATCTAAGGTCCTATATTTACATTTAGGAAGCTTAGATAAGTGAGTCATAGAACAAAGGTGTGGGAGTGCTAGCTGATCACAAGCTTAATAAGGGCCATTTGTATATTTGCTAAAAGACCTGACTCAGCTTTAGGTACCCTTAGCATTATGTCCAAGTAAGGAAAGGCATAGTCCCGCTTTGTACCGCATTGCCCTAATCATACTGGGGACTATTCTAGTTTCAAAGAAACCATGATCTATTAGAGCATGGACAAAAGGGTGCAATCAGAATAGATCAGAACCAGGAAGGCTTCCTAATTGAAGGAGTGCAATCTTCAAAATAGCAAATTCTTCACCTCATGTTTTTCTACTCCCTATCTTCCTCATTACTCCACACTTCTTTCAGTTTCTTAATTGCACCAAGTTCCCTCCTAGCTCAGGACTTCCAGTCATTCTGTGCTCTTACCCTGGATAGCTGTTCTTCTTTGCCTTGAAAGAAATGTTTATTGTTCCTCCTGAGCCATCATGCAGCCCCGTCCTTCCTCGGGTAACAGCACCCATTTTTCATTTAGGGAATTGCTCCCTCATCACTTTTAGTGCATTGGTTTGAGTGGACTGGGCTTCACACAGTTGTGCTTAATTAATCTATTTTCCCCCAAACCTCCCCTCCACCACCATCACCAACACCTCCACTATCTAGTCCTTGGTCTTTCCTTAGATTCAACGATGTGCCTATGACCCGAATGTGTTCCCATGAGATGGAACATGGAAGGAATTGGCAGGGGGAAAGATGTTCTTTTAAAGCCTGCAGTTTTGCCTGGCACCAGGAGCCTCACAGAATACAACGTGAGTGGGGCCCTCGGAGCTGCGTGTTGCATTGCACATCCTCATTCTTTTTGGAGTTTGGAGCTTCTAGAAATGATCTCACAAACACGATGGGAGAGCTTGCCTTAGAAGAGAGGTCAAAAGAGAGCCGAACAGAGGAATGGATGTAATGTATAAGATGTGGATCTGCATTCTGGCCAGATACCTCTAAAGTTAGTTTAATTCTCTAAACTTCCCATTTATGAGGACTAACACATCCTCTTCCCCCTGTTTAAAAATCTGCAAGTCTGTTTGAGTTTGGTTTTCTGTCCCTGTAGCCAAGAGTCCTAATTGCTACTAACCTTGACCTTCATCCTTTTCCCTCCTTCCTTTTAACTACCTAGTTCTTGCTCACCTTTGGGTTCTCATCTTAAATGTTGCTCCCTCAGGAAAGCATGTCTTCACTTCCCAGTCCGATTCCTCTGTTGTATCCTCCTCTTAGCACCTTACATTCTCTATAGCACTTTTGCTGCTGTAATTTTACAGCTTTTTGTGAAGTCATTCACTTCATGCCCGTCTTTCCAACTAAACCGTCAGCTCCATGAGGGCACATATGGTGTCTGTTGTGTTTATGCTCATGTCCCTAGCTCCTAGGCATTTGTCAACACATAGCAGGGTCTAAATGATCATCATTAAATGAATGAAAAGTCTAAGGGAAAAATGATGGCTATATTCAAATATTTGAATGGTGCTTATATGGAAGAATGTGTTCTGTGATATATGAGAGGGAAAGACTGGCGCCAAAGAATGAAATTTTAAGAAGATAGGTTTTAGCTCAATGCGACATAAATGTCTAATAACAAAATCTTTAAAAATATGGGAAAACTCCCTTCCTCCCAACCTCTACCTGAATTTGCAAGATAATAAGGTACTAATCAGCATTAGAGAAGATATTGAATGACATTCTGACCAATAAATGATTATTATGTTAAGTAGGAGGTCAACTTGAGGGCCATTGAGGGTCACTTCTAATTCTAATATTTATCAGTCTATGGTGATATAAAGAAAAGATCATAGAGAAACAGGGATTTACAGAAGCAAATAGAAGATAAGATCCAAATTGAAAACTGGAATATACCAGAACAAGGTCACTTCTAGTTCCCACTGGACTCAAGGATCAATCCTAGGTCTACTTTTCCCCTGTGAGCAACAACCCCACCTCTTGCCACTATCGTCCATTTAATCCTCCTTCTGTCCCTTCCATTTATCCACATGTACCTCAGGTTTACACAAACCTCTTCTGAGGTGACAGCCTCACTGGGTTTTTCTGTGACTCTTTTAAGAATGATCCACCATAACATTTTCCACTTTGATTTTTCTCTCCAACCCCTGCTTCTTAGCAAGACTAACACAAATAAACTCACCTGGGCCCTCCAGAGCTCATCCCTCTCCTGGGCCACCCTCCAGTGGGTGTCGCCCATCATGGCGATGAACAAGTTGAGCATGAGCAGTGTGGCAATGATGGTGAAGGCGAAGTTGACAATGCTGAACATGAAGGGCAAGTCCACGTCGTAGTTGGCAGGTGCATCAATAACAGTGAGAAAAAGCTCAAAGGTGGTGAACAGTGCCATGGGGTAGTCATAGAATTGCCCCAGACTGGTTGGGTCCTCTGTCTGGAAAATGATATAGAACGCTGCTCCGCCCAGGAAGAGGACATGGAGATGGGATAATGGAGTTATCACAATAAGCATGGACATGGTTAGCACTTATTCTATCTCTGATCTATCTATCTATCTATCTATCTATCTATCTATCTATCTATCTAAATACACTTGCACACATGCACAGATAATTACATACTAATAAATGTAGTTTCCTGTGGAACTGTCTAACCCTAAGATGTCCTATGATTAAGTTCACCACTCTGGGTAATGGTCATGGTAATAGTCATTTAACAACAACAAAATTGTGTGTGCAGCGTGTGTGTTTGTATGGATAATGGATAATAGGTCACCTAACTGGTTTTTGCATTTTAGAAAACCAAATACTTAAAAGGCAAGTTATTACAAGAATGTATGGAATCCTCAACAATTTTTAAAGAACAGAACACATGAACAGGCTAAAAGAAGAGCCCCTTTTTTAATCTTGATGGCCTCTAGATAACCCTCCATCACTCTGACCTTCCCTGAGTGAACCTGAACCAACATAGGAAACGGATTCCTGCTTAGGGTGGAGCCTACTGGATAGCAGTGAGCGTAAGGGAACTTCAGGACAGCGCTGGACTGCTTGAAAGCCTCCTCACTGCATAGGGAGCTGAAGCACATTCTGAGAGCAGAAACAGGGTCTATGACAAAGCATTGCCTCCTTATTTATTTAAGAGAAAAGCAAGTGCAATGGCCAAGAAGTGAACATTTAGAGAGTTCTGGATAGAGGACATCTACAGAAAGCCACTCTGGGACCATCACCTCATTTTGTAATCTGTGTTATGTATAGATGTAGATGGCCAGGGAGTGGGAGGAAAGGGTACATAAGGGCTTGGGGTGGAAAACTCCAAACAGGCAGAACGCCATGGTTTTACTCTTTCACATTTCAGATTTTGGTGGGGGTTTTGTTGTTGTTGTTTTGTTTTGTTTGTTTTTTGTTTTGGTCTGTTGTTTTGTGGGAATCCCCATTGAACGGGAAATCCCTGAGGACAGTAATAGAGTCCTCTGCACTGAGTCATTGCTTTTTAGAGATGGGGGGATCCTTCTAGTGCCTCTTCTTGTCTAATAGATGGTCAGTTGCAGACACTGAGGACTGAATTTGAGCTACTGGCCTTTTGCTTTTCAGACCTGGGCCTTCCTCTTTCTGCCCCTCCCTAAGGACTTTCTTCTGCTCCTCCACCCACCCTCTCCTTCCCTCTGGCTGTTTCCACCTGCCTGTGTTTTCCTGCTGTGCCGTTCCTTTCTTTTGCTCCCTGGCACTTTCACTGGCTGTGCCTTGACTGGGTGCCTGTGTGTTCCTGTTCTCCCAGTCTCTCTTCACAACTCTTCTTTTTTGTTTTCTCTGTCATCTTCAAACTGTCCAAGCTGTTTTTCTGCACCTCCTTTTTCTAATTCTTTCATATTTTTCTCAGCTTTAAATGACCACATATAGAAAAAAAGCAAGTTATATGTTGTTGAGTGCTTTAGGTTTCCTCTTCTGAATTGTAAACATAGGAGAGTTAAGCATGGCACTATCTCTGTTTGTCCACATGGTTTTCTGAGATCCATGACTGGCCAGTCTTTCCTGTTTAATGCCCTGTTCTCACCAAAAGTCTTTTCCTGTCTCTCCTTTAAAGATCTTGCAAGGCAGTTAGTGAACATAAATCTTATTGGCCCTGAACACATGGCTTTACGTTCCAGGCCAACCTGAGTGGCCCCTGGTCCTATAAATATGGGTGTGCTTTTAGACTTACCTTCCAACAGGAAAAAACAAAACAAAAAACAAACAAAAAAAAAGAAAGCAAAATGAAGTGCAAATGAGAACTGAGAGCAAGAATGAGAGTGAACTTTCTGGAGAACTAGATCTGCTGATCTAGTAGAGGAGTGTATGGTGCCTTACCGGAGGCAAATCCCAAGATGACCACAGCCATCAGCCAGCAGAAACGCATTAGGTCTCCAAAAATCATCTGCAGGAAACAGAAGGAAGAAAGGGTGGGATGATTCCTTTTCCACTGCTTTTGAGCAGCTAACGCTAACAGATCAAGAGGCCCCCATAGTTCTACCAGCTCCATTCTACCTCCATCCCTCTGTCTGTGAAGGTCTTGTGCCTGAGGCGGAGGAAGCTTCGGGAAAGCACTGACCTTCTGGATCATGATGGTGAAGGGACCCAGCATCTGGAATCCTCGAGTGAAATACATGACACTGCACCAGCCCAGCACCAGGGCAAAGGACATGGGCACCACCTCCCCATTGGTGTTGGTGAGCCGCATCACCATGGTCACCAGCACCAGGGAGGCATAGGTGATGCTGGGGGAGCAGAAAGCAGAGAGTGAGAGACAAGCTGGAACTATTTTAGGTCCCTACAGCATAGTGGTGACCGGGGTGGTATCCACACACTCAGGCTTAGTCTTTACACCTAAAACGCACATACAGTTACACCTACAAGTCCACTGGAGAGAAGTCCTTGGAGTGAGAGTGACCTGAGGCCTAGAACTCAGAGAGTGAGCTGGAGACAGGAAAAGATTCTGGTAAGGAAAGGCAGGGGGCTGGAATGAGGGGATACTCACATGATGACATGGAATGGCCCCCCAAGAATCGTCTTTCCAAAATAGCGAGAGGCACCAACCCTGAAGATGTCTGGAATCTGGGGAGAGGACGGCAAAGCAAAAATACAATGTGGACTGCGGTACAGTCTGGGCCTTAGATGGGATGGGATTAGCCTGGACCCCGCCTGCCCCTCACCTCTAGGAGCAGGATGATCACAGCCCCAACGATGCTCACCAGCTCCCCCACCAGCCTGATGATATCTTCACGTGTCTCATAGGCCTCCTATGTGGGGAAATTCAGAAGAAGTGCTTTCTGATGGGCAGAGTCAAATCCTTTTGTGCAAATGATCGAAAGCTGCTAAAGCCCATCCAAAATAAAGGAAACTCCCCTTCCCACCAGCATCACCCCACCCCCATTGTACTTGCCATTGTGGGTAACTCTGTGACCAGGACAGGAGTCTATGTATCCAAGGTTTAATAGACGTCACATATGCTAATGTCTTGAGCTACCATCTAGCAAAATCGCCTTTTCTATAGATGCTGTAAGCAGAAATTTATGATGTATATACTGAGCAGCTGAGAACACATTTCAGCGCATCAAGTGAGCTAACAGGAAGAGGTATTAGTGGCTTGGGATGGTTTCAGCTATGTGGAAAGTCCACCTTTTCCAACCTCATCATGGCTTCTAGTGGGAAGAATACACTGTAAACATATCACAGAATTCAGGTTCCCTCACGGATCCGGAATCTACTACCTCTAGTGAGACCTTGAACCATTCATGGAAAATCTCTGAACTTGAGTTTTCTCATCTGTAAAATGGAGGCTACAGTGCTTACCTCCCAGAGTCATTGTGAAGCTTACATTAATGATATATTTACATGAACTTTATAAATCATAAATCACTATAGATATATTCACTGTGGTTTTATGATGATTTGACATTACAGAAAAGAGCAGAGAAGGGGCTAGAGACACTATGAGGAAGGGTCCCTGCCTATCCTGAGCAGTAGTTGTAGAAGGTATAGTCCAAGGGTCAAGGTGGAATGAAGACCACCCTACTTCAATGCATGTTACTTCACGGTGAAACTTATGCAATATCACAGATGTAGTGCTAGAATCCTACATTAATTATCCTTATGTTTTTGAAGTTATGAGCTCACTTGAAAACATAATAAAAACTGTATATCTTCTTTCTACAAAACTGTGTTCCCATGTAGACAATTCCCACATGATATTGCACAAATAATTTCAACACATGCAAGCAGCCTTTTGACTTTTGGGAGCTCTGTTGTCCAAGGTCACATCTCCAAATAGTGCACCCAAGAAAGGAGTTGAGAGTCCCCTGGGGCCAGCAGGAAAGCTGATGATTTGAGCCAGGGAGAATGTGGTCCCTAGTTAGCATAAGGAACGGCAATTATCCCTGCTCTGCTAATCAGCTGGAACCTGTAAGCATCTCTCCAGACTCTACTGCAGCAGCACACTCACCTGCCCGGTGAGAGGCAGTGCTTTTAACACAGGGAACCAAGAGAGACTAGGAGAGAAGCTTCTGTCTGTGTGTCTGGAGAACTCTGTGGTCTAACAACCTGTGACCAGACATCAGTCAACACTTTTTTTTTTCTTTTTTGGCTTAAAAAATGGTATGCTCTGTAAACTTTTCTGACATTTATCTCTTGAGAAACTGGTAAATTTTATTTTATCATATAATAGCAAATTTCTTTTTTTACTTGCTTCCAAAGAATTTCAGAGTTTTTGTTTTGTTTTGTTCTATTTTTTTGTGTGTCTGGTTTTTTTTTGTGCGTTTTTTTTGTTTTGTTTTGTTTTGTTTTTTTGTCCTCAGCTCTAGCAGCTATCTTTGAATTCCTTCTCTTCTCTCCTGAAATTCAGTTCACGGACTGTGTTCTTTTTCTTTATCTTAATGTTTCTATAGCATCTGTCTTTTATTGTAAAACATGCCAACTCCTTCACAGAGTCAGGTAGTGAGTAGGAGGATAAATAACAAATACATTACTTCAGAAACAAAATAACATTAAATATAGAAATAACTGCATCTATGCCATATATGTGTCTATAAAAATATTTTTATTTTAAAAATGTCGTGTCTTGATTTAATATGTCTGAAAAGATGCTACCAATCTTTTCTTGGCTCAAGAAGAAAAGGACTACACATAAGTTGGCGAGGATGGCTGTGAAGATCAGGGTGCCCCTAGAATCCAGCCAGGGAGTCACAGCAGCCATTCCTTCAGGAGATGAAAATGTGAAACCCCTCTAATGCTGGGGACAGTTTTGGTCACCAAATTCTCCTGCTGGGGCTTCCTCTCACCAGTTCAACAGATTTCTTTACAAGTACGCATTACTCTGCACAAATTCACTAATGAGTAATGGAGGTGTTCAGAAACCCCAATTTTTTGCCTCTGCACTGCCTGGGATCTGACTGACCTAGAGTAGCTGCCTCCAGCACTCTGTCCCCGGGGTCCTTACCCTTAAACCAGGCTGCAAAGTGCCACAGACTCCTGAGAGCCCCCTTCCTTGCTGCTCTACAAGACCAGAATACAAACCCTTCTGTAGGGTTTTGTTTGCTTTGTTTTATAAACTAATCTCTCTGGAAAACAAAAACAATATATGTATGTAAAAGTTGCAATAGAAGTAATGATAATATTGGGCTTTTAAAGCACTTTGATTTTCTTTAGACTTTCTGGGGAACTCCAGTGTTTCACACTGATATAAAATGTTAGCTCTTGCTTTAGAATAGATACTCTTTGCAAAGGTAAGGAAGATTTCAGTATTTCAGAAATGGAAAGGGGCATTAAATTGAAGTGCTAATAGGCTTCCCTTTTAATTAACCACCCTTGCACCCCTAGAATTAAACCCTAAGCCCAAACTGTAATGGATGTTTCTTTTAATTTTAAAAATTTTATTCTTTGGGAATTGCATTCAAGATTTTTTTTTCTAGATTGAGATGCTGATTCACAACTCTCTAGATTTAGGGTCCTTATGAAAATATTGTTGCCTGGTTATGTTTGGCAAAGTAAATTATCAGGGCACCCATTCTCCAGCCTTACTCATTCAGTTCCCAATTCTCTCTGACATGTTTTCCTTTCCCTTGGTTAACAGAACTTATGCCTTAGGGCAAACCCATGCCATCTACCATCTAGTTTACCCTACATCTATTTCCGCTCATTCAACCCACCCCGCACAATGCTTCTGAATTGACCTTTCTAAAACACAGATATCATCCTGAGACTTATCTGTTTAACATCATTCCTAGCTCCCCAATGCCTTCAGAATAGAAATGCAGGAGAGGTGGCAGTGGAGAGTGTTCTTTAATCTTTATCGTCACAGAAATTCACTAGATAATGTCTAAATTTGATTAGCAAGTAGAGATAGAAGGATTTGATTCCAGGGATGTGGAGGTGATGACAGGAAGGAAGAGCTAAAAGAAAGAAAAACTGGTTGTCCCCTGTGAGTAAGACATGGGTGAGAAAGAGGGGCTGTCCAGGACGCAGTTGCTCTCTATCAGATCTGCCACTTGATTTGTAAGTCATGAGCACGATGTACGTCATTTTCTTTTAATTAGGAAAGCTCACTGTGAGATAAGAATTTAAAAAATAAAACCAGAGTACCAAACGGGATGTACAAAACCCTCCCTGCTATGGCCCCTGCCTTGTGTCCTCATACCCTGTGTGAGCTCTGGCCACATTGAGCTATTGGGGTTCTGGGTTGCTAAGTTGGGTCTCTGCACAGGCTATGCCACTTTGTCAGAATGCCTTCCTCCACCATGTTGACCTGGCTCACCCTCACCGATGCCTCAAGACTCAGGTCAGGCCAACACTCCTCCTGGGCCTCCTTTCCTGCCCCTCCATGCCCAGGTCATGTGTCTCTCCTGGGACATGTGGGGCTGCTGTGTATTGACAGCCCTCTCCCAGCACACTGAAAGTGTCTGGGTACCCCATGTCTCACCAGTAGTCTTAGAGCTTCCTGAGGGCAGGGATGCCTCCCTCCTACTTTTTATCCACAAATGCACACAATGTGGTAGGCACTCAGTTGGTAAGAAAGGAAAGAAGGAAGGAGAAAAAGGAGAGAGGAGACAGCAGGTGCAAGTTAAGCATTGCCTAAGAGACGCAGAAGGGTGGTAAGGAGGACAGGAAGCGGGGATGGAGAGACCTATCTGGAGGCCTAAGAGGAAAAGAATGACAACTAATCGTGCTTTTCTGAAATTTTCAGATTCCTAGATCAAGGTCACCTAAGCAGGCCTGGCTAACAACGCACAGAGAAGGTACTCCAATACATCCCTTTAAAAATAAATATCATCTAACAATGACTGGAATTTTTTACTCCACAACATGGCTTGCAATTTAATGAGCTTTCAACAACCAAATCCCCTATGCAGGCTGGCATTTATACGTCACTGAGAATTGGCCTAATGAGATTTGCTCTCACTTCCCAGCCAGCTGAGTTCATTGCCTGGAAGGAAATGCCCAGAAGGAGTGGGCAAAGCAGTGCCTGGGGCACTACTGGGTCGTAAGGGCCAGGGATGTACTATGTGGAAAGGATGGGGAACATAGGCCACCACAGTGGGAAGTGGGTAGGCCCCAGAACCAGTTGTCCAGCCCAGCTCTAGACCTTTTTCCCCCCCATGATCCCAGACTTGCAAAGGAATGAAGTTTTCAGAGAAAGCTCTGCTAGCTCTTACAAAGAGCTTCTCCGATTCCCTAACTGGGCATGAGTTCCTAACCAAGACTGCCCATCAGAATCAAGTGTTAAGTCTTTGTCACAACACACATGTCCAGGCCAACCCTGGGTTAATTTGGATCAAGAACCTGGCATTTACTTGAAAAGTTCTGTAGGCGTTTTGGACGTGTATCCCAAGTTGAGAACCGCTGGGCCATAAAGAGAGAGAGAGAGATCTGGTTCCCATGTAAGTCAAGCTGCCTTCCAAAGGTTAATTTCATGTCCCAGTCTCTGCATTTTCTCAGGGGTATTGGCTTGGGAGATTACCCCTTTCTTCTGAAGAGTCTCCACCCATTCCCACAGAATTATGACTTGCCCTATATGCCAGTAGGTTAACCCCATCAAAAAACAGTGCCAATTATCAAAACTGGAGAGGAGTATCTGGGGGTATGAATCAGTATCTGGGGGTATGAATCTTTCTATATCTGATCCTCTCCCACAGCACTTCTCAAGCGCCTCTCCTCTTGACAGGGAAAGATGAGATGTGTAGATACACGTGAGTGTGGCAAGCCCTGGCTAGCCAATAGAGAAGACTGGGACCTAGCACATCACTCTGGAGGGAGAAATGGCCTTGTCTGGTGTTTAAAGGTGAGGATTCTGAAGGGAGGCAGACTTGCAGCCCAATCCTAGTGCTGTCCTTGCTAGCTCAGTGTCTTTGCCAAATTATTCAACCTCTCTTGACATCAGATTCACCATCTTTAAAGTGGTGATGATTGCATTTATTTGTTAGGATTTCTACAAAGATTAAATGAAAGAATAATGCTTTGTCACTCAAAACGCGGTGCACAGAATCACAACATTGGCCTCACCTGGCAGCTTGCTGGAAATGCCAAGTCTCAGGTCCCACCCAGCCTTACTGTCAGAATCCACAGTTTAATAAGGCCTCAAAAACACTGATGAATGCATGTGTTCATGATCAGTGCTCAGTGGATGTTATTTTTACCTACCGGGCTCCCTGGTTCTCCTCATCTCTTTCCCTGTCTATAATGTGCTGTGCTTGTTCCACCATGAGTTGGTTAGGACCCCTCAACAAAGTTGTATAGAGTTGGCAATCAGTTGCTTTTCAAATAGCAGTGGTGCTTTGGATTGTTCAGAACTTACGAGGGATGATGATGTGTGGACAAATAGATCCCACGGACTGTGATAGGTAGAAGATGATTTTTAAAAGATGGAAACACAGTAGGGATGATTTTGCCTTCAATAAGTCTCCTGATGCCAATCCCTTCCCTCTATCTCCCCACTACATTCCTAGGCCAATCCACCATTTTTTTAAATTTATTTATTTTGAGACGGAGTCTCATACTGTCGCCTGGCCTGGAGTGCAATGGCGTGATCTCGGCTCACTGCAACCTCTGACTCCCACGTTCAAGCGATTCTCCTCTCTCAGCCTCCCGAATAGCTGGGATTACAGGTGCTCACCACCATGCCTGGCTAATTTTTTGTATTTTTAGGAGAGATGGGGTTTCACTATGTTGGCCAGGCTGGTCTCAAACTCCTGACCTCGTGATCCGCCGCCTCAGCCTCCCAAAGTGCTGGGATTACAAGCCTGAGCCACCGTGCCCAGCCAACATTATCTTTTGCTTGCTAAACTGTAATAGCCTCCTGACTGGTCTCCCAATGTCCTTCCTACCACCCCCCACATCTGTTACTCACCATGCAAGCAGAGTAATTTTTCTAAAACAAAAATTACTCTGTACATCCCCCTGTTTAAAATCCTTCTGACTTCCCATCCCCCTGGGGATAAAGCGTAAAACCCTTTAAGACTATATAATTTGAGAAGGATCTGTCTGGACAACCTCACCTGGAGGTACCCAACCCAACTCTCTGTGCTCTAGTGAATCTTCTTTCAGTTCCTAGACTTTGGTGAGGTTATTCCTGCCTTGAGGCGTTTGAATATGCATTCTTTCTGTCTAGAACTCTCTTTTCACGTTGAATTCATACCTAGATCTCAGCTCAGTCATCTTTCTCAGAAGCAGGCTCTGGCCTCCCAGAGGGACCAGGCCCCTGTTATAAGTTTTTTCCCCACTCTGTGCTTTTCTCATCATAAGAAAAAAATAATATTGATGCCAACAGTCACAGATTATAATGAAGTATCTATTTGTATGATCGTTTGATTAATACAAACCAGTCTGTAGACTCCAAGAAAGCAGACATCATGTGTGTTTTGCTCAGACCATGGCTGTTGAATTTCCAACACCTGGAACAGCTGTTTAGCCTATATGAGGCTCTCAATAATAATTTATTTAATGAATGGATTAGCAAAATATTTCTGGGAAAGAGAAAATCAAAGGAGGGCTCAAGAGAATCTTTTTCAAAAGTCAAAAAGGAGATGTGACGAGAAATTTGAACTCCCTGCTGAACAGTAATCCGGGAATCTAAATGACCAGAGTGGTGGGCCTAAGACTGGAAAGGCAGAGCTGCACTTACCTCAAAGATGGAAGCCACGGGTTCTCAACCTTGGCAGAACATTTGGCTCACTCAAAGAGTTTCTTAAAAATACCAAGGCCAGAGCCTCAGCTTCAGACATTCCAACTTATTAGGTCTACTAAAGTGTAGCCTAGGAGCTAGTCATTTTACTAGCTTCCTAGGTTTCTAGTGTACAGTCTGGGTTAAAAATCACAGATCTGGCAGGAAGTAGGATTTTCCTAAGGTCAAACAAGTATTAAATTTCAGAGTTAGGGCTAAAACCCGAGCTGCTGGACTCCAGGACTTTGAGCTTTTTACTCACCTGGAAACCTAAGAGAACTAGTACTATAGTGCATGCTGCTCTGCCTAAACCAAGTAGAAATATATGGAGATAAGAAGTTAACTCAAATTAATAGAGTTCTGGGAAATCTCTAGTAAAGCAGAACTTTTATGGCTGAGCAATGAGGTGTCTTAGAGTCATTAAGATAGCCCCCAAATTGGATAGAAATAAACTAACTCCAGCTTTACAAACATCAGCTTTTGTGTAGTTTTTTGCTACCTTATACAGAGGAATTTGTTTTCTCTCATCTGTTCTGAGATGGTGCTGTTGCACTACTCTTATAAAATGCCAGATATTAAACTAGAAAGGATCTTAGGGGTGATGGAGCCCAGTGATTTCCACAGATCCCAAGAGATCTGCAGAGGAAGTCCTGAAGTGACTGAGATCCCTGTGATCCCAGAGTTATTAATATAATTGGACAGTAAAGTATTCATTCATCTAAGAAAAAGCTCCACCAGCTAACTAATATGTCAACAATTGCATGAGTCAAATCAAGACACTGTATTTGTGCGTTTTCATTTTTTCTAAGACTTTCAAGTAAGAAAACAGTAGGAAAAAAAAGGAATTTCCTATTATTTAAAAAATCTGGTGCACTGTGAAAACAGAATCTTTCAAATCATGATGATAAGTTTAGGAGCCCCTGATCTAATCCAAATGGGCTTACTACTGAATAAGAAGAACATAGTCATCCCATAAATCAGGGCCAGGGCTCAAAGCATAGGGACTTTTCATTAGCGTTCTTTGTTATCTAACCCCTTCCAGCAGCATTCTCAATCCTCTTACCCACCCACTTCTCCACCAAGAAAAGAATATCTGAAAGTCCAAAGTCTTCTCTTTGAGCTGAAGTGGCTTTCACTGAAGCAGAAGGCAGAAAGGGTAAAAATGCCAAGGAACAAGAAGGAAGGCAGAAGAGAGAAAGAAAGAAGGATGGGTCAGGTGTTCAGCTATAATTATGCTTCTGAGTCCTGAAGCAAAGGAGGCGGTCTTTTACATACAGACTATCTGGATCAAAGAAATGTGATTGTACATAACTAGCCCTGTCCCAAAGAGAAAGAGACACACAGGAAGGAGAGTTTTGGTTATCAGTGGCTCAGCATTGCCCACCTTTTAACCCAGAGTCCTGTCTACCTTCAAAATGCAGAAAATCTCCAAGTAAATTTGAGACAAAGGAAGGTTGGAGAAGACATATCTGAGGAAATAGGGCCAGGAGCATTGGAAAAGTCCAGTCATCCCCACCTTGTTTGTGTTTTCTCAATTTCTAATCACTCCTCCCTCCACTTGCCATCTCCTAACTGTCCTTATTTTCCTCATGTCTCCATGCCAGGGACAACTTTTGCGGCCAGACTGAGATGCATGCAGCACAACTGCTTCCAGTGTCTCTAACACATTCAGGCTTGTCCTCCCCAGGCAGCAAGACCTACTTGGTGAGAGGCAGTGTATCTGGACACATGACACACTGTATATATATACATATATATATATATACATATACATGTATATATATACATATATATATATATACATATACATGTATATATATACATATATATATACACACATATACATGTATATATATACATATATATATATATAGACATATACATGTATATATATACATATATATATATATATACATATACATGTATATATATAAAGGCAATTCTAAAAACAGGAGAGATGGAGTGTCTCTACCTAGCATAGGGTTCATTTGGGCTCTTTGCCCTGTTCTTTCTCTGTGCATATCGCTGTCTTTGGTCTAAACAAATTCAGGATTTTTGCTTCTTGGCTATAGAAAGTTTATATTCTCTTTCCGACTGAAACTACCCTGCTTCCTAGTCCAGGCTGAGCTATACCTATGGCTGCTCTCTCCTGCATTGAGATAAATCTCCAATCACTCAGTTCTCACTTGCTTTGCAAAATTCTTTTTCCTGGTCTTTTGCTTTCTGCTACATACCTACATCACCTTCTGTGTATTTTCAGCTCACCAGGACAAAAATTTTAGTAATCCACAAAGAGTCAACCCCTCAAATATAGCTACAGTTGTTAAATATATATATTCAGAAGTGCTCATTAGAGTCTACCCTTTCTGTTGCACAAAAAGGAGGTTTACTTTCTTCAACAGCAGATTTCTATATTTACTGTGTACCTCGAATCAGTCCTCTTCCTAACCCTAGTTTTCCCTTGGCCACCACAACACAGAATGGCAGGCCCACAACACTAAATGGAGCCTCAGAGAGTATTTACTTCAGCCTGATACCCAATCCAGACATCCTTCTGCAGAGTGTCTGACAGGCAGTCAGACAGCTGACACATTATTCCCATGGGCCCATATAGACAGCACACAGAAGAGGGTGCAGGCCAGCAGGGCTGTCTGTGTTGCCCAAATACAACAAAAATGGACTCAGAAATGGACTTGGAGCACAATTTTCCTCCTTTTGAGCAATAGAGTTTACCTTGAACATCCCACTAAAAAACCCTGATACTTTTTGTAAATTACCAAAAAATTTCACAAAAGCACAGGCTTACTCATGCCAAGCACTCTTTCAAAGTTTGTGTGAGAAAATCCACAGCTCCCTGGACAAATGCTCTTGTGCTCATTAAACCCCATCTGTGGCCTCCTGGTCTCATGTCTAATTTCTACCTGGGTGTTTAGGAGCCTACACCTGCTGGAACCCAGAGCGTGGCATCGTCCCTGAGTAGCATGGCTTCGTTTCCAGCACCATCACCCCTTGATGCAATTCTCTCTCATCCCCTTCTGAGGAGAATCACCTGTAGTAGTTTTTGCTGGAGGATGGTGATGTCTCGAGAATGAGTGCGGTTGCCACCACGAAACTTAAGGGGGCGGTAGACGCAGCACGTAGTAAAGCAGATCATGTAGAGCAGGTACAAGGCAGCCAGGATGCAGAAGTACGGCCGGCCATACTTGTTCCACTTGAAGCTCACCAGCTCCTTCACTGGGGTCTGTTCCAGAATTTGGCGAGCCTGGCATGGAAGTAGAGTGAAACTTGGGGTGACCAACACAGAAGGATGTTGTTTATCCCACTGGGGGCCAGAAGAGGCAGGGCAGCAACCATCACTCACTCAGCTCATCAGTCACTTATTTGACGGACAAATAGTATATTTCCTGCATATGGCTGGGCCTTGTGCTAGTGATACAGGTAAATGACTATAGCAGTAAACACAAGGCACCATAGCACCAAAGAGGATTTAAAGGATGAGTAGTAGTTAGATGAGTAAAGGGAGAGTTAGGAAAGATCATACCATAAGCTAACAGCAGTTGCCAGGTCAGGAAGGTCTGAGAAGCCATTGCCCATTTGCAGTTGAGATGTGGTTGGGGAGAGGGGAGAATCTATTGGGAGTGGTAGTCAGAAATGATAATGACTGAGGAAGAACAGGGCCAGGTCATCATGCATCATAAATGCCAAGGTAGGAAGTTTGCATTTTTTGTTTTTTCTAAATATAACAGAAAGCAACTGGGGAGTTCAAGCAGGGAAGTGGTCAGATTTGCTCTAGAAGTATTATTGGGCTGGAAAGAAGCAATGGAGGTTACAGGCAGTAGGATGTGGCAGGGTGGGATGGTGCTCTGAAATAAGCAGCCAGTGAGACGTTAAAGATACACAGGAGAGGGGATGATGGACGGGAGGAGGCATCTGAGAAATTAGAAAGAGACAGATTCAAAGCACAGTAGAGTGATTAGCCATTAACAGCATGAATATCTTTTCTACTGAAGCTGGAGGGGAGGAGAGAGACAGTGGGCAGTTTCCAGACATGCTCGGCAGTGTAGGGCAGGAAGCTGAAGGATCCCCAGCCAGAAAGCCTCTATTTTTGTCCTAAATCAGGAGTCTAGGTCTTCTGAACTGCAGCTGAAGGTAGTGAAGGATGTGAAAGGGGGCTAGAAAGGAAGATTTATGGAGGAAAAAAGCAACTGACCCAAGACACTTATGAAACCTGCTGGAGAATATTGAGAATAGCTTAAATCAAAGACCAAGGATATGTGGTGGCGAAATCCACACAGTGGGATTGTGCTTTTAATACCTAAGAAATCCTGCTCAAAGTGTATCTGTTTCCAGGGATATTCTCTGAGGAAGATCTCACAAACTAGCCACTCAACTTTTCTTCTATTCGTTAGTATTAATAATCATTCATGTTTTCTGGATCTATAAGGATTCCTGGGAAATTGTCACTGTGGCAGATACAAAACAGAAACTACATCTTGGCACTCTCATGGAACGTTCTGAAACCTGGAAGTCTTTTCTCCTCTCTACTGCAGTCTTCAACAAATTTTCGTTTCCCTCACATCACTCAACCCAGCATTGTTGAATGGTCTATACGTTGCTCCCTCTCTAAAAAGCTCTTTTTTTTCTCTCATCTTCCTGTGACTCCCAATTCTTCCTTGAAGATCCAGCCCCAGCATTTCCTCTGTGACATCTTCTCTGGTCTATCCAAGCCAAGTTAACTCTACCTCAATGTGGCTGTCTGCATGCATGGTACACACAACTATTACGGCATATGTCATGCTCTGTTGCAATTATTCAGGACAGGGACTGAGAATTGAGGAAGTTGATGAACAGGAACTGTGTTGTATTTATTTCTGTACTGTTTGTTTCTTGTGCAGTGCCTGACATACAGCGGGTGTTCAATATGCTTGTATTAGTCCATTCTCATATTACTATAAAGAACTACCTGGCACAGGGTAATTTATAAATAAAAAGGTTTAATTGGCTCATGGTTCTGCAGGCTGTACAGGTTCTGGAGAGGCCTGAGGAAACGTACAATCATGGCAAAAGGCCAAGAAGAAAGCAGGCACATCCTACATGGCCGGAGCAGGAGGAAGAGAGAGCAGGAGGAAGAGAGAGCAGGGGGAGGTGCCACACACTTTTAAACAACCGGATCTTGTGAAAACTCACTATCACGAGAACATCAAGAGGGAAGTCTGTCCCCATGATCCAATCACCTCCCACCAGGCCCCTTCTCCAACACTGTGGATTACAATTTGACATGAAATTTTTGCATTTGGACACAAATGCAAACCATATCAATGCTGAACCAATGAATGAATATGAGGAAACAGCTCTTATTTGGAGTTTCTCATCTGAAATGATAGAAGGCGAAAGGTAGGCAGAAGGGACTGGAGCTAAGCAGAGAGACAGGGGATTCAGGAGAGGAGTGTGCATTGGACTTTCCCCCATGTCCCAGGAGACTATTCTCATCTCCACCTATTATAAGGCTGGGAAGTGTCTCAGGCCCAGGATCTTAGTAAGTGGACAGACTCTGCACAAACACTAAATTCCCTCACATGACAGGCCTGATCCTCCTTGGCATCCATACCTCTCGTTTATCAGAGGAGACCACAAGCTCCAGGAAGGACAGCTCCTCTCCCCAGGAGTCGATCTCCGTGAGGTCGTAGAGAATGGAGGTCAGGGGTCCATACGTCCACTGGATGTGCCTCCGCTTCTGCATCAGGTGCTGGAACATCTGAGAGACCACCAGGATGAGTCAGGGGGCCAACGTGTGAGAAGGTGGTCGAGGAGAACAACTCCATTGGATGGAGCCAGTTGCCCACCCCTTGAGACAGACAGACAGTGGGAACCAGCAAACCTCTGCATCTACAAGCTTTCCCTTTTTTGTCATCTTTCCTGCTCCAAAACCCCAGAAAGTGCAGAAAGAAGAAAATAGGCAAAGGAAGCTAGAGCTTTGGGTTATCACAGCACATGCATTAAGGTAAGGTTCTCAAATCCTCTTGAGTCAAGGACCATGAAGCTGAAGATTTCAGTGATGGAATAGGAAGCAAGGGACCACCATCCCTTTGGGGAGTTTGGGGAAAAGGGATTTTAGAGAAAGGTGGGCCCTTCACCTCTATTTCTCCCAGGGCCAGCAGGATAGGTTGAGGGTCATTAGAAAGACACCTCAGGGATGGGGAGCGTCTCTTACCACAGTGTTACCCTCCACTCCAGCCAGCTTGAAGGGGGTGAGACCCTGGTGATTGGGCACAAGGTCCAGGGGCTGCAGGTGGTCCCCATGTCCATCATAGGACAGCAGCAGGTTGTACATCTGGCAGGCAAAGGTTTTGTTGGGCTGGAGGATGAGGATGTGTAATACTGTGTTTCCTGGGGAGGACGCAGGGTATCATGTGGCCACTGGCCTAAAGTCCCTGATGTCCCCATCCCCACTCTGGGGTCTTCCTAAAGGTCCCAGCTCCACTCCTTACCCTGTCCCTCGCTCCCCACAGCATCCCAGCTCCCCTCCCCATCCCAGCTCTTACCCAGGGAGTCCTGGGCCCTGATGTCAGCTCCATGCTCAATGAGCAGCCGCACGATCTCCTCGCTGTTCACACAGGCAGCAAAGGACAAAGGGTGCTCCCCTGTGGACACAGAGAGATCCATGGCAGGAGAACGCAGGATGGCAGGATGGGGTGGGCAGTCTCCCCCAAATAAGGGCCTCCTCCTCATCCCCCATATCTCAGTTCTAGGCTGAGGGACACTCGTCCAGCAGAACCAGAGGAAGGAACCATCAGGGGAATGGGCCTCTGGCTTAATTAAGCCCTAGAAGGGCTGCCCCTCTCAACTGCCCAACAGATGGAGCTGAAGGCAGGACCCTCATGCCCTGGCCTCCCTCTGCCTTGCCCGCCTCTCCAGCCAACCATCCTTCAAGCCCAACCCTGCTCTCACCAAAGTAGATGAGGTTGCGGGGACTATGGCGGAAGGCAGTGCCTGTGGCTCTGGCAGAGACACTGGCCCTGCGGGTGAGCAGGGCACGCACCAGGTTCACATTCTGGTTCACAACAGCGATGTGCAGTGCAGTCTGACCTGGCCCAGAGACAGCCATCATCAGGGTCTCCCTCTGTCCCCAGTTCTCTCAGGGACACAGCATCCCCCACCATCCCTCTCAGGAGGTTCCTGATAGATCTTTGCTAGACTTCTGCCCTGGGCTTGGCAGGGTGGCCTGGGACTAAGAGCAATTCATCCCTCAGGCTGCCCTGCTCATTGACCTACCCTTCAGTTATTGGGAGCCAGCAGGGGATTGCTATGAATATAATCATTCTCATGTTGCTATGAGAGAAAGAAATTGAGATAGGTCCTACAGGGACTATGGGAGGTTTGAAAGGAAATGCTGAAGGAAGCCACAGATTGGTAAAAGCCAAGACCAGGACCTTTGCATTTCTCCCAACTCAACGGAGCCCATCCTCCTGACCCTCCATCACCCCACCCCAACCCATCCTTCAGAGGCCAATTTTAAGAGACAACAGCACACCCTCCATCTCAAAGTTTCCACCTTGAATTACCATGTAGGCTCCTTACCTGCAAAAGCCTCACATGTGGTGGGCTCAAAGACCAGCTCTGGGGCAGCCTCCATCAGCACCAAGGCCGCCTCCAAGTTGTCATAGAGGGCTGCTATGTGCAGCGCCGTCTCCCCCAGGGCTCCTGGATTGGAGTAAGACAGAGATGTTAGACACTTTTCAGATTCCCTTGAGGAAGGGGCCTCAGGCTCCAGAGACACCCTCCAAGGCCCTATTTCACAAACTCGAAGTCTTGGGGAGGAGGAGTAGGTTCTTCTGCCCCCACCTCCATCCCATTAAATCCAGATCCCACCTCTTTGTCGAACGTCACAGGTGCAGTCCAGTAGAAGTTGCCTAAGAACAGACAGGTCATTTTCCTTGGATGCTCGAAGCAGTGGAGACTCTAGAATCCTGGGGAAAGGTGAACGTGAGTTTGGAAGAGACAGTCATAGCAGAATGAGGCCAAGAGCAAAGGGGATCTAAGACATTCTTTAAGACCAACGTGACTCACACAGCGTGCAGTGACAAATTGGAAAGAAGTGCCTACTGGACTCGAATGACCGAGGGTGGACTTGGGCAAGGGTCAGCCCCAGGGCCTTCCTTGCAATTCACATCATGGTGATTCTCCTGTGAGGATGGCCCTTGAAGCTCTGCTGGAGGGGAAGAGTTAATAGGAAGAGAACCTGTAGTCTGGAAAGAGTGGTCTGAGAGTCTCTAAGAAGAGGACCCTAGGCTTGGCTGAATTCATCTAACCTGAGTAACTGTCTCAGATCCTGGATAGTTGGAGAGCGGGACAGAGGGCACTTCCATCTGCGGTCCCCCTGCTCCTGGGCCTGCTGAATCTACTGTCTTTAACCAAGGGGAGTTTGGGAGACCAAAACACAGAGGGAGGAGGAATGGATCGACTGCTAGATCTTTCCTAGGCATTTTGAAATTTGTGAAATTTGTGAGGCACTAAAGTTCTGACTACTCCCTCAGGCTATTTTTTTTTTTTTTTTTTTTTTTGAGACAGAGTCTTGCTCTGTTGCCTAGGCTGGAGTGCAGTGGTACAATCTCAGCTTACCGCAGCCTCTGCCTCCCAGGTTCAAGCAATTCTTGTGCCTCAGTCTCCCGAGTAGCTGGGATTACAGGCACGCACCACCACGCCCAGCTAATTTTTTGTATTTTTAGTAGAGATGGGGTTTTGCCATGTTGGCCAGGCTGATCTCGAACTCCTGAGCTCAGGCAATCCGCCTGCCTTGGCCTCCCAAAGTGCTGGGATTACATTGCGCCCAGCATCCTCAGGTTATTTAGATACAGGTCCCTGCAGGGGGTGGAGAGTTGTGGGGTGAGTTACAGGGTGCCTCTTTCTTCTGCATTATACCCTTAGATGCAAAGGTCTAAACAGCTTGTTTATGTGGGTGTCTCAAGGCAAAACAGGTTGAGATACTCATTCTACAGGACCTCTGTTAATCTTTGCTTCTACCATACCCAGATTTGAACCCAGAAAGAGATAAAGCTGGAGCCTCTCCAACTAGACATATGTGTATTGGCCCCAAAGGCAAGCACATGGTGTAGGGGGAAGAACAGAAAGGACAGGCCGATGAGTGGCTCCTCTGAGGTCCCCACCTCCAAATCCCTCTCTTCCAATAGCCCCAGGAGCCAGGGCGAAAAAGTGTTTTTATTTTATTTATTTATTTTTTTTGAGACGAAGTCTCACTCTATTGCCCAGACTGGAGTGCAGTGGTGCGATCTCGGCTCACTGCAACTTCCGCCTCCTGGGTTCAAGTGATTCTCCTGCCTCAGCCTCCCGAGTAGCTGGGACTACAGGTGCCCACCACCATGCCTGACTAGTTTTTTTATTTTTGGTAGAGACGGGGTTTCAGCATGTTGGCCAGGCTGCTCTCGAACTCCTGACCTCAGGTGATCCACCCATCTCGGCCTCCCAAAGTGCTGGGATTACAGGTGTGAGCCACCACGCCCAGCCAAAGTGTTTTCATTTAAAGAAGAAGCTTTTAATCTAAAGGTGGGGCCTGGTTTTACCTGTTAAGGCAGTGCTCCTAGGAGGGGCCTTTGTGAGGAGTCAGTTCCCTGCCCCGTCTCACCCAGGGAATCAGTCCCAGGGAGCCTGGTGTCCCTGACCAGCCTAGAGTGGTCAGGGCTGAGATTGCAAATTCACCCCCATCCTGAGGCCACTGCACAAACAAAGTCCTTGCCTCCCTGGCCCTCTATCCCCACTGCCCCTCTGCAGAGGGTCCAAGTTGGGGCTGGAAGCTCACTTTCTCAGAGACCCAGGGGTCCCACTCTAAAGCAGGAAGGTGAGATTCCACTGGAGGTATTGGGTGGGGAGATGAGGAAGCAGAGGGCTTGACAGTATGAGGGCTCAGAGGTACTTGGGACCAGGCCCAGTGTAAACTGCAAATGCAGGACCCCTTGTTCAAAATTATTAAGAACTTGAAGATGAGGACAGCAGGGCATTGAACAAAGCACAGGAATCTTCTGGAGTACAGGGGAGCCCTTTGTGACTGCTAATGTCTGCTCAACAACCTCACCCCTCAGGCAGCTGTTGGGTGGGAGGCAAGCCCCAAAACACTTGGAGGAAGAAGCAGCCCACAGGATTCGTCCCTGCCCCAGCTGCTCTTCCTGGGACTGGACCTCAGGGCTAAGCCATGAAATGATTTACCTGCAGGTGTGCTAGCCCTGCCCGAACTAAGAGCTCTCCAGGAGCAGGCACAAGTCTCATTCAATCTTTATGTCATTGGGATCTAACACCCCTCTGCACACAGTAGACTCAATAAAAGGCAGATGGACTGAACTCAGAGCCCTCCAGTGTCACCTGAGCTGCCCTCCTCCACTGGTCAGCACCCAGTGTTACACCAAACAAAGCGCTCCTCCCCTTTCCCACACAGTCCACTTTCATTCAAATGAATGGCGTTTCCTTATCGTGCTTCCACCACCCACAGGAGTGCATCCCTTCTTCAGCAGCCTGCTTCTGCCTTCCCTCCCCATCCCACACAACCTGGCTTCTTCCCTCTGGTCCTTTTTGGTCCTTTCACTCCCCCTTGGCTGTCATTCTGCCTCTGTCCTTAGGTCTACCCTCAAGATTTTCCTGTGTGGCCCAAAGCCACATCCTCCACCGCCACTAAAAGGGGCCAGCTGGGATTCTGTAATTAGGTGGGCTGGAAGGAAAGGGTATGTCTGAGTGACTGGCACTGACAATACACTTCTAGGGTGCTGTATTCGGAAAGCAGGCCCAGGTGGGTCAGAGGGTCTGAGGATCACGGCGGTAGGGCCACGGATCGTTCTAGGAAGCCTACCTCTTCTGCTGCAGCATATGAAGCTTGTCCAGGTGCTGGTCCCAGTCTTGTTCTCTGACCAGAAAGGAGGGCAGAAGTTTCTGGAGTTGGCTCCCGGGCCCTTCTGCCTTAGGTAGAAAACCCCCCATGTCTTCTCCTTGCAGACACTGGCAGATTATAGAAATGTGGCGAAAGAAACAGGTCTAGGATGACAGCAACTGAGCAAGAGATGGGGTCTATTTGGGGCTGGGACTCTGAGTTTATCTCCTGTATGACTTGTGTATGCAGCATGCAGCTTGTAGGTGTGTGTGTGTGCATGCAGTATGTGGGTTGTGGGGTGTGCGTGTATGCACAGTGTGTGGCTGTGGTGTATGTGTGTGCATGCAGTGTGTGGTTGTGAGGTGGTGTGTGTGCATGCAGGTGCGCTGAGGGGACTGACCGCCCTGCCTGGGGAGAAGTGCTTTTCCTGGAGGGGGAGGAGCTCTTTGCAGAGCTGAGCCCCACAGCCACAGAACCACCCTGGGGAAGAAAAGGAGGAGGGGAAGGAAGGTTCCTAACTGTGGGCTGGGATGGCTGAGACCCGAGAAGCTAAGAGGTGGGGCAGAGGAATTTGGAAAAAGAAAAGGGATGGAAGGTGGGTCCACAAACAAGGTGCACAGTTAGTTGCATGAGGGAGAGGAGGAAATAAAGACTTCCAGCTCAAGAGTCAGGCAGAGCCTGGTTCAAATCCTGACTCTTATCCCTTACAGTTAGGTGAGCTTTCTGAGCCTCAGTTCCTAACCTGTGAAATTGGGGTAACGGCTATGCCGTCTCACGGGAGCATCTGTAAAGCATGTGTCACAAGTACTCAATCACTGCCGATCCTCCTTCCACAAGAGGGCTCAAGAGACCCCCGGGCTGCTTCTCAGAGCTTCCCATTTATGTGTCTTGTGGTCATCTCTGTCCTCAACCCTGTACCTCAAAGGAGGGTTTCTGACCCCCACTTCCCAGGCCAATCCCTCTCTGTGAGAAGTCCTCATGACCGTGACCGGCCAGCTTCCTGGAGCGTCGCCGAGCAGGCTCTGGTACCTGGGGACGCAGGTCAGAGGAGCCCCCAGGGGCCTCGAGTTATTATGGAGGTTGAACAGCAGAAACTGAGCAAAGGTAGACGACAAATAAATCGTGATTCCATGTTTGGGACTCTTTCCAGGAATGAAACACCAGGAGGAATAAGTAATGTTGCACTATTTTATATATTTTATATTATATTTTATATATTAAGTAGTTTCCCTTATCCACAGTTTCACTCTCTGATGGTTCAGTTACCTAAGGTCAGCCACAGTTGGAAAATAGGTGAGTACAGTACTATAACATATTTTGAGAGACAGAGAGAAAGAGAACATTCACATAACTTTATATTATTATAATTTTCATTTTATTGTTGTTAAACTCTTTTTTTTTTTTTTTTGAGACAGAGTTTCACTTTCGTTGCCCAGGCTGGAGAGCAATGGTGTGATCTTGGCTCACTGCAACATCCACCTTCCAGGTTCAAGTTATTCTCCTGCCGCAGCCTCCCTAGTAGCTGGGATTACAGGTGCCCACCACCACGCCTGGCTAATTTTTGTATTTTTAGTAGAGACAGGGTTTTACCATGTTGGCCAGGCTAGTCTCGAACTCCTGACCTCAGGTGATCTGCTTGCCTCGGCCTCCTGAAGTGCTGGGATTACAGGCGTGAGTCACTATGCCCGGCCTAAACTCTTCACTGTGCCTAATGTATAAATTAAACTTCATCATATGTATGTATGTATGTATGTATGTATGTATGTATGTATGTATGTATGTACGTGTAGGAAAAAAGATAGTATATACAGGGTTTGGTGCTATCTAAGGTTCCTGGCATCCACTGGGGCGTCTTGGAATGTATCCCCTGAGGATAAAAGGTGACTACTGTATATGATAGCTTGTATTTATGTTCTCATTTTTTTTATTATTATACTTTAAGTTCTAGGGTACATGTGCACAATATGCAGGTTTGTTACATATGTATACATGTGCCATGTTGGTGTGCTGCACCCATTAACTGTCATTTACATTAGGTATATCTCCTAATGTATCCCTCCCCCCTCCCCCAACCCCACGACAGGTCCTGGTGTGTGATGTTCCCCTTCCTGTGTCCAAGTGTTCTCATTGTTCAATTCTGTTCTCATTGTTTTCAAAGAGGTACATCAATATTATTGAATTGCATTCACTCAATAGACCTATCAGGTAAATGAGAACAAGGAAGAATTCCGTCTGTGAGAATTCTTGGGTGTGCTGGCCCCAAGTCCCATGGCTAGTGGCGAGACTGTAACTGGCCATGAACTTGGGATCTCAGCTCCAAACCACTCTCCAGACCTTGTTGCTTCTTGGGAATCTTTTGGCTGTAAAGGTGTGAGAGACCAGCGTGAGGATACGCTGGGACTCTCCCTCTGGGGGTCTTGAGGAGTGGGGACTGCCCCCTTCTTTTGTTGTAAGAAAGAGAGATCTGCTCCCAAGATTGAGGGATGGACAAAATAACCTTTAGAGAAGGACAAGAATTGAAAGGAAAATAAATAAGGAAACTAAGAGGAGCTAGTGTTCATTGATGTTTCAAAAGGGGGAAAATTTGGATCTTTTTCTTATTAAAAGCCAAAAGGAAAAGTTAAGTAAAAAAAAAAAAAGATACAGTGGAATTATGTTCTCACTGGGAGTGGGGAGGGCTCAACTTGTGGGACATTTTTCTGCCTCGCTGGGGGTGACGCCCTTGTGGAGTGACTTCCAGTCTAAGGAGATGGAGGGAGCGATAAGGGTGAGGTGGGGGTTGTAGATGCCTTGATAAGCGAGGCAGGTCAGGAAAGGAGCACCTGCCAAGGAAACTACAACCCATAAAGCTGGTCCTGGGGCGGGGGGGTTGGGACATGGGGGGCCGGCAGGGGAGGAGGCTGGCCCAGTCTGAGCTGCACAGAGCAGGTGTGCAGGGACTTGCCGCCAAGGGCATGTCCAGGGGTCTGGGGAAGAGAAAGGGGAGGCCCAATGCTCAGGCCCCCCCACCCGCCATCCCTGGGCCTTCGCCCTCTCACTTGCCCTTCTCTGCCTACCTCGTCCTCTCCAGTGGGAAGGGCATGGACAAGTAACCTGGGTGAGGACCATGGTGTCCCCCGGCAGTCCCAGCTGGTAGACCAGAGATTTGGAGTCTCTCCTGTTCTCTCCTTGCCTTCTCTCCAGACTGTTTCTTCCTCTTGTGATATTCGACATCACCATTCTATTTTTCCTTTTCTCTCCTTTCTTTTCATGCCTCTCTCAGCTTTCTGCAAGTGAGGACATCTGCAAACTCTCGCCTTCAGAGAGCAGCTTCCCTGCCACTGATGAATGGTCAGTAATGCCTCCAGGCACTCGGGAGAACTGGGCTGGGGGCACCAAACTACACCGTCAAGTCCCAGAACCCTTCACGCCAAAGCAGCCTGACCTCTTATTCTAACATAATAAAGAGGAGGAGGAACCATAATACCTAGATTTCCATTTTTAAAAATTACACTCCCACCCTACGTGGCCACAGCCATCTACGAAAAGGATTCAGGGCCGGATGCGGTGGCTCATGCCTGTAATCCCAGCACTTTGGGAGGCCGAGGCGGGCGCCTCACGAGGTCAGGAGTTCGAGACCAGCCTGGCCAACATAGTGAAACTCCGTCTCTACAAAAAAAAATTAGCTGGGCCTGGTGGCAGGCACATGCAATCCCAGCTACTCAGAAGGCTGAGGCAGGAGAATCACTTGAACCCGGGAGGTGGAGGTTGCAGTGAGCTGAAATTGCGCCTTTGCACTCCAGCCCAGGCAACAGTATGAGAGACTCCATCTCAAAAAAAAAAAAATAGAAAGAAAGAAAAGGATTCAAATACCATACCTTAAAACTAACTGTGGCCAGGCGCAGTGGCTCACACCGGTAATCCCAGCACTTTGGGAGGCCGAGGCGGGCAGATCACCTGAGGTAGGGAGTTCGAGACCTTCCTGACCAACAGAAAGAAACCCTTTCTCTATTAAAAATACAAAATTAGCTGGGTGTGGTGGCACATGCCTGTAATTCCAGCTACTCGGGAGGCTGAGACAGGAGAATCACTTGAACCCAGGAGGTGGAGGTTGTAGGTGAGCTGAGATCGTGCCATTGCCCTCCCGTCTGGGCAACAAGAGTGAGACTCCATCTCAAAAAAAAAAAAGTGATTATCACTGGATGGTGGAATTATTAGCCTTTTTGGGGTTTTGTATTTTTCTATATTTTCTACTTTGTAATAAGAAAAAATATTTAAGGGATTCCCTGTTTTCTGCAAGAATTTATCTCTTTTAACACTGCGGAGGTCAGGCGGGTGGTGGTGGCAAGGAAATGGAAGTAATGGAAACAACTCAGTTATTTCCACTCAAGCCTGCCCGGGAGGCAATTCTCACCCCAGCCGCCCTCCCCATTCATTCCCACAGAGCTGGAGATGGCTTCTCTTTTTGCCAGGAAACCAAGAGGCTGCTCCCCCAAAATAGCCAGGAGGGAGGAGATTAGTGATGGTTTTTTCCATTCAAGCATCATTCTTTGGATCTCACGTCAATGGGTTCAAGGTGGGGTGAGCAGGGTCACCTGCCTACTTGAATCTTTCCTTACTCACCTTCAAGCGACCTCCGTACCACTCCCTAGTCCCTTGTCATCTGGCTTGGACCATCAGGAAGTGTGTAAGAGATGGTGTCTGCTGTATGTGAGACAGCATCCATGTGGGCATGTCTGCTAACACGAGTAAACTCTGTGGGAAAGCATCTCTTTGTGTGTTTCTGTCTGCAGTTCCCTCTTGCAGAAAGGGTGCCTGTCTCCGCAGTGTCCTTGGACCTGCATGTGGTATTTCATTCAGGTCTGGTATGCATGGATGAGCAGGAGCAGTGTGAACTGGTTATGAGAGTTCAGGAGTGACTAAAGTCTTCTCTTACCTGTCTTAGCAGCCATCCTGCATCTAATGGCCTATGTCTCTGTTGCTGGTTTTCGAAAAAAGGCCTTCATTCTGTCTCCCTAACTCACAACCCTCCAACCATCTCTGCCCAAGAAGCAGTTGGGGGTGATTACCCACAGCCGGTTACTGCCAACAGATCTGTGCTCACCAGGCTCATGGGCAGGAGGCGCATCCAAGTACTGAGGCAGGATTCTCCCAGATCTGTTATTTGGGATCCTAGACTCCCTGCCGCACTGCGGCTTCTCTGCAGACTCTAACTCCTTTTGCCAAGCAATGAGGTTGGAGATGAGCCTCTAACAACCTTTTCTTTCGTCTAAGAGTACAGAAAGGTGTAAAATGAAAGAAGAGGGTGTTTCAACCTGGTGGTACAAGAGGACAAAGGCTAGAAAAGTGGGAAAACCAGGGGAGGGTGAAGAGAGGGTGTGAATGGGCTCTACCAGCTGCAAGGCACCCTGCTCTTTGTCTCTCGCTCTCTCTCCGTTCACTCTCTCTTCATCTGTCTCTCTGTCTCTGCGTCTCTATCTCTCTGTCTCTACCCCTCAGTTTCTGCCTGTCTCGGTCTCTTTCTTTCTCTCTTTTTCTATGTCTCTGTCTGTCTCTGCCTGTCTATGCCTGTCTCTGTCTCTGTGTCTTTTATACACACACACAGCATGTGCTTTTACCCATCCTTACCCTATGCTCCTCCCCATCTTTATTTTCTGGCAGACCCATGCTTCATGTAGAGCAGCATGTTCATACCCACGACTTGAGAATCCTGTCCGGCTCATCTGTTCTGGGCCTCATCCTATGCAAACCACTCTTGTTACAGAAAGGCCACATAGAATAGTGGGAAGATATCATATTTAAAAGTAAAAGTTAATCAAGAGTCCTTTTCTGCCCCTTAGTATTTGGGCGATTTTGAGTGAGAGAGTCATTTTTTCTGTGAGCCTCAGTTTCCTCATGAATGTAATAGATATGAGAACACTATGATTTTGCAGTCCTGGTTTCTACGTGGATCTAATGGTGTAATGGATATGAATGTACATTGCAAGCTGTTAAGTCATTTCTGCTAAATACAGAATGACCCACTGTGGTCATCTTGGAAGCCTCGGCCATCCCTGCTGGCTGTGCTCCATTCTTGTGCCTCGCCATTGGAACGCTCTAGTGAGCCGGAATGAAGTTCAGGCCCATGGCTGTGATGTCACAGAACATGTGAAGTCAGAGGTCCTATGGAAGGTGAGGGGAGAAAATGCCCCTGGAAAGGGTTAAGGGCCAGGACAGGAATGGGGCAGGAGGTGCACGGATCCTGCTGGGCACTGGGAGCAGGGGGCGGCCAAAGGCAGTGGGTGGGCAGGTCCATGCCTCCCCTGGCCCCCCAGCTCTGCAGGGCAGTGTTCCTGGTTCCTATCTTGCTGCTGCTGCAGGTGAAGCCTCTGAACGGGAGCCCAGGCCCCAAAGATGGGAGCCAGACAGAGAAAACGCCCTCTGCAGGTAGGTGGAAAAAAAGACAGGAGCCATACAGAGAAAACACCCTCTTCAGGTAGGTAGAAAAAAAGACGGGAGAGTCTGGAGGCTCAGGGTGAGGTCTGTGTGAGGCCAGGCCCCAGGTCACTGATGAGGCTAGGGTGAGACCTGACATAGGTCTGGTTTATGGGGGGTAACTCCAGCCACTGATGGTTATCATGTGAAATAATAGTGTCGGCTCACCATGGGCCAGCTGAGCTTGCATGCAACTTCTGTGTGTGTAAGCATGGTGCATTTGGCTGGCTTTTGTCATGCTTCAAGGTGGCCCCTGACTCCCCCAGTGTTGAAACCCTAGAGGAGGCAGCTAACCTTAGGAATGGTGTGTGTGTGTGTGTGTGTGTGTGTGTGTGTGTGTGTGTGTGTGTGTGTGTTTGAGTTGGGGCTGTGATTGAACACAGACCAGAAAAAACCTCTAGAAAGAGCATCCCCTCTCTGGTGAAGGCTAAGGATATGGGCAATTGGGACTGCAGCCCTAGGCTTCAACGTGTTTTTCCTATTCTAACTTCTCCTTTCTGGTTCAGGCCAGGGTCAGGGCTCAGTCCTTGTCCTTTTCCCCTGTTCCAGACCAGAATCAAGAACAGTTCGAAGAGCACTTTGTGGCCTCCTCAGTGGGTGAGATGTGGCAGGTGGTGGACATGGCCCAGCAGGAAGAAGACCAGTCGTCCAAGACGGCAGCTGTTCACAAGCACTCTTTCCACCTCAGCTTCTGCTTTAGTCTGGCCAGTGTCATGGTTTTCTCAGGAGGGCCATTGAGGCGGACATTCCCAAATATCCAACTCTGCTTCATGCTCACTCACTGACCCTCCCTCCCTCCTGGGCTCCAGGTCACAACTCCCAAAGGAGATGCAGGCATGGCTCTCTGCCTCTGATCACCATCACTGTATCTCAAGGTTCAGCAGCAGAGATACCAGTTGCCATCAGTGCTAACTGACTGCCTCTCCAGGTTCGGAGTTTCATCTCCCAGGGCCAGAGACAGCAGACCCACATCCTTCTCTCCCACACCTCTCCTGGTTTTGTTCAGGACAGCAGATTAGAGGCAGGAGGCAATGACAATAAAATAACGATAAAATCCTGAGAACAATTGGGAGCAGCTTTCCGATACTTAATCCAAGCCCTTCTCGTCTCCAACTAGACTGCTTTATTGTCCAATCTTTGGTCCACTGGGTGGCCTTCAAACCCACCAGGTCACCAATTGTTGATTCTTTCCTTTTCTTGTGTCCATGAAACATTTTTGGCATTTCTCCCTCTTATCTTTTCTAACTTCAGGGTATTTTTCTCCCGTACAGTTAATGACTTCCAGGCATAGAACATAGCAGGAACAAGTCATTAAGAGACAAGCGGAAGCCAAGTGCCAGCTTTTATTTTTGGAACAGAAGCAGAAAGGAAATCTTGCTCTGATTCCATGGATGTGACCAGGGAGGTGTTGGTCGATATTTCTGTGCTGTGGCATCTTTGGTAACCAAGTTACCAGAGCTGGCAGCGGCTGGAGGGGTTCAAGAGAGCACCACGTGCACAGCGGAAATACCTGGCAAAGGCTGGGGTGCTGCTGAGGGGCCCGTGGACTCGGAGGTGTGGAGGGCTGTGAGTGTCGTGAGAGTCCTGGGGGCTGGGCTTCCTACACATCACCTGAGCAGGAAGAGAGGTCATTGAAGGGGGAGGGTCCACAGGACAAAGCTGACCCGGTGACAAGGGGTGATCAGGGACAGCAGACAAAGAGGGGAACCAGGGGATCAAGTGCCCCAAGGGCCACATGGAGCATTTGAAATGTATAGTTCATTTAATCTGGCAATAGGAGTCCAGGAGGAGGGCCTGGGCTGTGTAATGATACCATTTATCAATGACAGAGAGGCAGGGTCTAGCGCAGGAGCTCTGGGGTGAAGTCTAATCTAAGCGTGTTGAAGACCTGGCACCTGAGTCTGTTGAGGGAGTACAGGGTGCTTAAGGAGGTGATGTCAAGTGGGCGCCACACCTAAGGTCAGGTGTCTGAAGAGGAATGTGGCACACAGTCAGCCTGTCGCAGGCTTTTTTTTTTTTTTTGTGAGACTGAGTCTTGCTCTACCACCCAGCCTGGAGTGCAGTGGCATGATCTTGGCTCACTGCAACCTCCGCCTCCCAGGTTCAAGCGATTCTCGTGCCTCAGCCTCTCAAGTAGCTGGGATTACAGGCGCCCGCCACCAAGCCCAGCTAAGTTTTGTATTTTTAGTAGAGACGGGGTTTCACCATATTGGCCAGGCTGGTCTTAAACTCCTGATCTCAAGTGATCCGCCCACCTCGGCCTCCTAGAGTGCCAGGATTACAGGTGTGAGCCACTGTGCCCAACCACAGGCTCATTTTTAAGGCATCTGTATTTTGGGGGTATGAGAGGAAAAAAAAGTTGGTCTCCTCCTCTCCTGGAGGAACTTGGGAATAGAGTTTTTTCTACCTTTTGAGTTGTGGGGGTGCTGAACTAGGTAGAAGAACCTGTAGTCATCTGAGGGGTGATTCCAAGGGGTAGGGAGGGAAGAGAAAAGATAACAGTGAGGACATCTGCAGAAGAGGGTTTGGGGTATTTGACGGAGTGTCTGAAGAGGGGACTTCCATGAGCTTCAGTAATAAGGCGTTCAACTGACATAAAGCAAGCTGTGGCGGGAGGTGGCCGCTGCCTACCTGGGCATAGCTTCGAAAGAAGATCTGCTGGGGGCTGAGGTCCAGGCTGGGCAGGACAGTCTCCCCATGGTGCCGTAACAGCCTCTTGCTGTATGCCTGGGTAGGGGTGGGTAGAGAAGGGCCATCAGGCTCTAGACCTGTGGCCATTTGAAAGTCCCTCCACACAGTACCCAAAACCCATGGCCCTTGCTCACTGGTTCTGCACTGACTAGTTGATCTGAGCCAGAAGAAAGAGTACTTCCCAGAAGACCTATAGATGTCCTAAAATGGAGGATCTCTGGGGTAGGAGGGGGATCCCCAAGTTGCCGTCTATTCAGTGGGGATGCGAAGGGCAGAAAGCCATGCAACTGTACTTGTGTCAGGAATGGTGGAAGGAAAACTTGAGGACATGTTTTCTAGTCTGCCAGTACACATAAACTGTGGCCCTTGACACTTGCATACCTGCAGCGCGATGGCTAGCCCCCCAACGTCTGCAGCATTCTCTAAGAATGTGAGGGAGTCATTGAAGGAGGTTCTGCTAGGTAATGGAAAGGCAGCATAATGGCGCTTCAGGCACAGGTGAGCTTCCTGGAGGGCATGGTTGTCACAGGCGAGGCAGCCCCCAGGCAGTACTGTTGAAAATGGGACAAGAGAACATACAGCAAGAGAACATAGGGTTGGTGCTGCCTAGGTGAGGATGTGGGTGGTACCACAGACTGAATCAGCTCCCAGGAGCATGGCAAAGTTCCCAGGACTGCCCCACCTCAAACCCTCAAATAACCTCCCTTTCCCCTCCAGGCCTCCCTTGTGGTCTTCCCTTAGGTTCCCTATTATCCCACCTCCCAGTGGCCCCTGTTACCCACAGAGCTGGTAGAAGATGTGCAACAGCTCGTGGGCCATGATGCTGCCAGCAGCGCCAAAGTTCACGGCTCTAGGGAGACAAGGGCTTATTTGACCCCCAGAATCTCTCAGCATTTGTGACCCCAATTCTCCAACCGTAAGTCCCATCCATCATAACACCTGTCGGCCCCTCTTGGGAAACTCCCTACCTACCCTTACAGAGTGACCCATACCTGGGATAGCCAGGGTGGAAGAATGGGGGTTGGAGGAGTCCAGCTGGAAAGACTACCACATGGTCAGATACCGAATAGTAAGCATTGACGTCCCAAGGGGACACCTTCCACCTGTGGGAAGAGGACATGTGAACTCCAGCCCCCACCACGTATTGCCCTGCCACCCTGAGACCTACACAGTCCCTCCCAACTACCATTACTGTTCATGCTGCCTGCCCTGAGCCCTGGCTTCCTTTCCTGTGAATCATGGATGGGTCTCTCTGGGATGGAGTGCCTGTGTCTCCCCTGCTGTCATACCTGTGTTGGGGGTGAGGCTGCAAGAAGCTCTGGACAATTCTAGCTCGGAGGGACCGGACACAGCTCAGGACAGACTGCAGGAAGCTCGATCCAAGCTGTATCTGGGGAAGAGGCAGGAGGTGACTTGGGCACACAGAGACTTCTATAGATGCACGCTGACAAACACCAATGGGACCATTTGACCCCAAACAGGCAAGCCCTGACAGGCAGGCATCCAGGGATTAGGAGAGAGCAGCCCAATGGCATCACTACACAGCACACCCAGGCTTTACACATATCAGCACACAGATGAACACGCCCAGACAAGTCACAGGATGCATGCATGTGTGTTGGCACATGCGTTGGGACCTGAAAAGATTCTGTTCTTCTGCCAGCAAGACGTACAGTGTGGATATTTCCCCATCAACCCCAGCCAGCACCAGAGTAAGGACAGAGCTAAGTCACCCAGGGAAAACTGATTGTCCAACAAAGACTTAGGAGGGTCAGAGAAGTGACGAGAAGTCAAGGACTGAAAAGGAGCTGGAAAACACAGGGACCCACATCGTTGTATTCTTGTCGGGCCAGCTCTGGCTTCAGGGCCCATTCTGAAGCCCCCATCTCCACCTGCAGTTGAGCAACCTGGAGAGAGACACAGAAGAGGCTAGGAATACTCTCCGAGTCTACCAGAGGAAATTTCTCCCACTCGTTGCCCTGTCCCAGCCTCTCACATTGTTGCCAGTGTGAGTATACAGCCCAGTGGCTTCCCTACTTAGCATGTGCCTGGGGGGGCCTTTGGCATTTGCTTCCAATCCCCATCTCGCTTGTTCCAATACTCCATTCCCTGCACAGGCTCCCACACCAGCCAGGACGCCTGGCCTGACCTTGTCCTGGGCCATGTTCTGGGTCTCCTCATTCATCCAGGGAAGGTTTCTGAGGCGAGTGATGAGGGCATCCCGGATCGCAGTGAATAATTTCATGGCCTGTGGGAGTGAGGTCCAGGGACAGGGGGACAGGATCAGGAGAGGCCTCAGCCTGGCCCTGCCCACAGCTTCTGACCCTTGGAAAAGGGCTTGGCCCCAAGGAGCTGCCTGGGCTGGAGCTGCTGCTAGAGGAGCAGCTCAACTAAAGCAACTAAAGGATCTGTGGAGAAAGGAAGGCAGTGCCAAGCCCACAAAGGGAAGGTGGGGCCTGGCCATCCGTGAGGGCCATCAGGGAGATATAGTTCCTTTCCATGGGGAAATAGCCTGACACAGGAGAAAGACAGTGTCCTCACTCCTGGGGGCAGGAACACCTCTCAGAAATCAGAGGGAGGAGAGGGCTGTCATTTTCTCCTCTGGCTCAGGGCTCTTGTTCTCACACTGTCTTTTTTAAACCGTCCACTCCCTCTCCTCATCCTCCTGAGCTCTTCAGCTTCCCAGCAAGTCCCCCACAAGTCTCCCTGCCTTCACAACGTGAGTGTGTACTCACTGCTTCCCCAGCCACCTGCCATCTCATGTAAATCCTTTCCTGGAGGAAAATGAAAGGCAATATCGAGAGCCTGGGCTCTGGCATCAGAATGCCTGAGTTCAAACCCTGTCTCTGCTTTTTGGTAACTGTGTGACTTTGGGCAAGTCACTTAACCTCTCTTTGCTTCAGTTCCCTCTTGTATAAAATCAGGATCATAATAGGAACTAAATGACGTAGTTCATGCAAAGTTCTTGAAGGAGTCCCAGGCATGTGGTAGGTACTCAGAAAGTATTCAGTGGTGATTTATTTGATTTATTTGCCCTCTTCAAGATTATGTCATCTGTTCTGATGTCACGTCATGTGTTGTTAAAAAAATCTTAGCTACAACAGGGAGGAGACTTAGAGATGATAGTGTTCAATTTTCCTTTTTTTTTTTTGGAGATGGAGTTTCACTCTTGTCACCCAGGCTAGAGTACAATGGCGTGATCTCGGCTCACTGCAACCTCTGCCGCCCAGGTTCAAGCGATTCGCCTGCCTCGGCCTCCCGAGTAGCTGGGATTACAGGCATGCACCACCACGCCCAGCTAATTTTGTATTTTTAGTAGAGATGGGGTTTCTCCATGTTGGTCAGGCTGGTCTTGAACTCCTGACCTCAGGTGATCCGCCCACCTCAGCCTCCCAAAGTGCTGGGATTACAGGTGTGAGCCACCGAGCCTGGCTCGATTTTCTCATTTGATGGTTGAAGAAACACAAGACCAGGAAAGTTGGGTGACTTGTCCAAGTGAGAGCATGTCATGGAGAATTTGTGGCCTGAAGCTGAACTGTTTCCACACCAGGGATGGAGCAGGCCTTTGGGTTCCCTCTCTCAGTGGCCCTTCTCTGACTGCCCAATTCCCCAATCACACACACCACTGAGAAAGTCAAAGTTAATAGAAGAGGGAAGGCTGCTTTGGGTAGGAAGGGGTGGAGGGATGTGGGCTGGGAAGAGCTCTCACATACAGCACTTCGGGTGCTCGGGCCAAAGGCCTCACGAACAAACAAAGCCGCCAGCGTGGGCTCGAAGAACGTGCCTGTCTCCTCCACGCACTTCATCCATCGTGGGCGGGCAGGCTATGGAGACAAAGCTGGAATGAGTGGCTCCTGTTCAGGACTCTTTCCTCATCTGTCTCCCCAGTCTTCACTAGATCTTCATTCCCAGAGGGTGCTCTTTTGACTGGACTTTCTGGGTTTCATCTGTTTACTATCCCTTAGGGTGATGCACATCACCGATCAGTACAAGAAAAGCACAGCTTCCTCAGAGCTGGTCTCATGAGCCTGGCTGAGTAAATCCTTCATGTTATTGCCTATTGAATTTGACAGCAAGGCCTCTAGGAGGCATCATCCTGGGGTTTCAAAAGCCTCCTGGGAAGAAGATGAGAACCCAAACTCATACCTCGGCAGTCTGATGTTCCCCCTGTTCCCCCACCACCACTCTACTCCGGGGTCCCAGCAATGACTTCCATCCTCCATGCTTCTTTGCTCAAAACGGAGATTGCGGATGGAAATTCTGTCCTACCACCATCACCTTTATCCTCTCTCCAGGTGGGCATGGTGTATCATACTGTAGCATCTTGTAAAGAAAAAATTATCAGAGTAGAACTGGGTTTTAGATGCCATATTGTTTGCTAGGAAAAGAGGACACAAGACAAGACTCAGTGTATAAATTCATAGAGCTGGAAGACTTCCAGCCAAGTCAGAGAGGAGAGAATAGAACAGGAAGGTGGAGGGCTTTCACTGCAGAGGCAGGAGGCCATGGACAAACATCCAAGAGGGCAGTGCCAGCTGAGGACCTCAAGAATGAGAAACAGAAGAGACAGATGCTGAGAAGGTCTTGGCGGTGGGCTTGCATGGCTTTAAAAACTTGACCAAGGCATAAACCCAGAGATGACACGGTAAATGGAGACACACACTCAAGGAACCCAGGGACAGGAGGAGGTAGCTGGCCTGAGGGAAAGCTGAGCTGGAACTGATAAATACCAGCTAATATGCTAATTTGGGTTAGGCAGGATGAAGCCTCAAAACTTTATTCCTGTGATTTTTTTACTTCCCAAAGACCTGCCCACGGGGAAGGTAGGAAGGCTGCCACTAATACTCTCCCCGCAGGAGCTAGGCTGGTCCTGGGAATGGAGGGGGTTTATGTACATCCCACTACAGGAAACAGACCAAAGAGGCCAGTCTGGTAGTCACTGAAGAAAAAACTCCCGAACCCACCAGTTAAAGAGGTTATCATTTTGGAGGTTGCTGCAGGCCTGGCTGTCCACATCTGTGTTCTATTGAACCTTGAGGTCTGCTAACCTTGAGTCTTATTTTTATTTTTATTTTGTAACAGAGTCTCACTCTGTGACCCAGGCTGGAGTGCAGTGGTGCAATCTCGGCTCACTGCAACTTTCACCTCCCGGGTTCAAGTGAGTCTTCTGCTTCAGTCTCCCAAGTAGCTGGGATTACAGGTGGCTACCACCAGAGATGAAGTTTTGCCATGTTGGCCAGGCTGGTCTCAAACTCCTGGGCTCAAGTGGTCCATCTGCCTTGGCCTCCCAAAGTGCTGGGATTGCAGGCAAGAGCCACCGCACCTGGCCAACCTTGTCTCTGATAAAGAGAAGAGGCTCAGATTCTTCTCATGCTGCATGAGTTGGAGCTCTGAAACAACAGGAACTAAAAAGAAGTCCGGGTCTGAAAGCAATTATAGGCCAAGTTGAGAATCTGCCAGCCACATTCTGCTGGACAAGCTTGGCTCCAGGAATACCTCTTACCAGACAGTTGCTACATGTGGAGCAGCAACCAGCATCAGCAGGGAGACCACTTGAGCTTGGAAGTGTAGATCTGCCTATTCTTCTCACCCCTTCTCATTCTTGATTTGTTTCCTGATGCCCTTTGCTGGAGCCTGATCATTTCTCCAACATGCTTTGCCGTGGGACCTGACTACTGGATAATACAATCGCCACCTCAGACCACTACTACAGCTCTCTCTCAAGATGTGGAATGGTAGTGTATACCACATTGACTGCAAAGGGAGAGTCAGAGAGAGAAAGAGAGGGAGAGAAATAGAATTCGAGAAAAAAAAGTCTCCAAAATATAAACAATAGAAGAAATACTTCAAACCCAAGATAATGAAACTCAGTGGACTAATTTTAGGGCACCAGAAAAAAAAAGTTCCATATACAACCTCAGAACCACAGATAGTATTTGAGAAATGATAGAAATCAGGACAGATTCTAAGAGTCCGGAGGGAAGCAAAAATTTGACCAATCTTCTATAGGATGAAAGGAAATTTTAGGGATTACGAGCCAACCAGGAATCCTTAATGTTAATTTCTAAACAAAATTGTGGAACGAATCATTAAACAGTTTTTTAACACTTGGAAAATAATGTGTAACTACTAAGGGCTATGATAGGATCACTGAAGAAAAATAATGCCAAAATGATAAAAATTCTTCTGGCTAAAAGGCTTATGTAACTGAGGCATATGAAAGACCGGAAGCCGCAAACTCCAATAGGGGCCATGCAGAGGCATAACAGAGAACAGCAGTGCAACATCAGAGCTACAGGCTGTGGTGGGGCTTCAGAGAGCGCACCCAGCCCTGAGCTGCATCATGTAGCGACAGTCAGTTGTTGCCACAGGAGAAGGGTAGCCCAGTGTTTCCCAAGCTTCACAGACACACACACACACACACACACACACACACACTAGAAACCTGAATGCTGGCATGCCATATCCTAGTTTTTGAATGTTGGTGATTAATTCAAAGTTTGCAAAAGATTCTACAGGCTAACAAAACACATCTATAGACGAAATACATCCTCAAGCACCACTACCATCCTACCACTGAATAGAGTATTAGCACTTACTAAGTTTGAGTTATTAACTTAAACCCCTGTGGTTCAGTGACACCAGTTGTCGAAATGAAAACAATATCTAGTCTACCTTCCTCACAGGTTTGGGGATCAGGTGAAATAATACCTTTCAAGTACTCTAAGGCACTACCCCACTCTGTTGGCATTATCTTGATTTAGCCAGGCTTGAAAAACACAGATTGAGTCCTCGTGAATTAGATAGAGAAACTGATGTTGAATGATAGTGCAATTTGAGTGGAGTCTCATCTGGCTGAATCAAAAGTAAACATCAATGGTGAATGATTTCAAGTTAACTTGACCTCCAGTGACATTCCTACTAAGAATCCTAACTACCACTCACTTAGCATTTCCTTTCCTCATTTCCTGTTTTGCTTTTCTTCATAACACCTCCTAACATATTTTATTATTTTATTAGTTTGTTTATTGTCTTTCTTCTTTCACCAGGATATGTGGCTGAAGGCAGGATTATTTATTTGTCTTTTTTGTTCATTGCTGCATTCCAAGTGCCTGGAGAAGTACCTGAAGTACACTAGGTTCTCAATAAATGTTTGTTACATAAATGAATGCATAAATCCATATCTAGGTCTTCAATAACCTGACCCGATGCCCTTCTCCCTTCAGGATCTTAACAGTAGTCTGGACGAAGATACACTGAATAAAATTGCAAATGATCCAAAGCTGGAAGACCTGAATAAATTGAGATGTTGGGCTGAATATAAATCATTCACATTTAATCATCACAAATGTGAAGTTCTGCTTTTACTTCTCAAAACCCACCTTCCCAAGTTTCATAAAAGAAAACCTGACTTAACAGCCATTTTCATTGACTATAACTCTATTCAAAACTAATCATCCAAAGATGGGCCAATAATGAGATTTAGAAATCTTTCTGTATAAGGGCACTATAAATTATAATTCATTCAAAAGAATATGATCAGAAGTCGGTAATTAATGGCCACTGAATAAAACCAAACATTTTGATCATATCAAGGCCAAACTCTAGGTGATGTCTTTGATTCCATTCTCCTTCTCACATCACTCATCATCAGGACATCCCATTACTAACCTTAAAATATGTTCTTTTAAAACATAAATGAGATAAATCCCTCTGCATGTCTTTATTTCATACAGAGAGAAGCAAAAGTCCTTCAGCAACCTACCAGACCTTGTATGGTTCTCTCCTTCCTGCTCTGATTCCCTCCCCACTATTGTCCTAGTCACTCTGATCCAGGTGCCCTGGCTCCCTTGCTGATTCTCAAACACCTGGAGCATGCTCCAGGGGCATCAGTGGACACAGCAAGCCTAGTCTTCTCCTCTCAACCAGAGCCACCAGGAGGATCCCTCACCCTGCACCAAGTTTTAGCCAGCCTGCCTCCTGCCCTGTCCCCATGAGATGATACCCCTTTCTTCACCAGAAAACTCCTTCCTCTCTCTAGACATTTTGTCAGTTCTGCCTCCTGCACAGAGATGCCACTGATCCTTCAAATGCTCCCTGATCTCTCCCTCTTGGGAACTCCAAGAATATCTGCTGTCTCAACCAGGATCCCCTGGGAACACAGCATTTACTTAGTGTACAGTTGTTTTTGCACTACAGGGACAGAGTTGAGTAGTTTGTAACACCAACCATTTATGGATCACGAAGTCGATATTTACTATGTTGCCCTTTATAAAAAAGTTTTCTAACCTTTGTTTGTAGCACCTACTTGTTTCTCAATCCTGTATAGTGTGTGGTTAAAAACATGACTTTATGAGCCAAAACATCTGTTTTGGAGTCTGTTCACTTACTTGTGAGCTGTGTGGTCTTGAGAAAGTTTCTTGACCTTTCTGAGCCTATTTTTGCTTCTGCAAAATGGGGATTAAAAACCTCCAAGTGTTTCTGGAAGATTTAAATGAATAACCTGTCCCAAGTGCTGACAGACAGTGACTACTCCATGTATAGCAGCTATTATCATTATTATTAAGTGCCATCTTTTATACTATTGTTCCAGAAAGGTGAAGTGGCGTCCCCAAGGTCACACAACTATTTGTTGGCAGAGATTAGTTCAGCTTTTAAGCCCAAGGACAATTATGTGCCCTAGTGGAAAAGATAATGGCTTCAGGACATCTAAGCCTTCTGCATTCTTTAAGCCTAAGCCTCAACATTAGCACTCTTACAGCCTCCAAGAAGTGCCATGAGGCCATGGTGCTGGCATTTATAGGTAGCTGTTTGTTGCCAGGATTTTGTAGCAACCCCAATTAAGATAACTTGGGGCTCTGGTCTGCTTCATCTGAATCAAGAGAAAAGCTGGGCAGAAGCTTCTTGGCCACTCTCCAACCCAAGTGATGTTCCTCAGGAAGACTGCTTTTTTAGCACAATGAGTAAACAACACAGACCCTGGAGCCAGACTGCCAGGGTTCAAATCCTCACCCCACTAACTTACTGTCATACCTGAGCAACTTCCTTATCTTTCGTGCCTCTGTCTCCTCCTCTTTAAAATAGGAACCAAATGGCATCCATGGTACCTCATGGAATTGTAAAGATTAAATCTAAATCTAGATTTAGATCTAAAGGATTTCAGAGTGTCTAGCACACCATTAGCTCTTGATAAGCAATAACTACATTCCAGTCCCTGTGAATACATTTATCTTCTCTGAATTCCACAGCAATTTTAGGTTGCCAAAGCAGAGAGTTTCTCCAAGGCAGGGAAATGGACCACAAATTACTAAGAAAAAAAATCCAGTGATTTTTAAGACTAAACTGAGGCCTTCACTGAGGTTGGGATGTATCCAATGTACTAGACTCTTCTGCTTGCATTTGGATATATCCAACTTGGGATTTCAAGATTCTCAGCAAAGGAGCATCTCTGCATCTTATGTAATAAGTAGACTCTGGTTAGTGAAGTGCATTTTCTACCCAGGCCCCTCCTCAGATATATCCACATCTGTGCCACAAAGTCTACATGTGGCCCAGTGGATCCCACTGGATGTCAGAGATAAACTCTTTGTGAAGCACGTTTGAACATGGAATCAACTAGACATAAGGAAGGCCACTGCGTAACATATCTCTCTGTCATCCCAATAAATTGTAAGCTCTAAGTCCAAGTTATCCTGAGCAAATAGTGTAAGCATCATGACAAAGAAAGGGCAGTTTTGATAATATCAGAGTTTTATATTTGAGCTCAAACACCCAGCAAGAAGCCAGAGAGGTAGTCAGGCTGGGAGATGTGTGCCTGAAGGTCTGGCACGTGGCATCTTGGTTTTCAAGTTAAACTTTGTCTGTCCAACTTGCCTGCTTCTATGGAAAGCCAAGACATGGAGGGGCATCTACCATCACGGCCCCCTCCCTGAGAGAGAGATGCCGACATTTACCCCTCAAAAGAGTAGATACTCCTTTCGAGTATCTGGGCAAATACACCCGCTCCTCTCCTCACCATGGGTGGTTGCTCTGTCAGTTCCCGCAGTTTCTGGCTGAGCTTTCTGCGTGCCTCCTGGAATTGACTGTCCAGGGCTGGAGAAAGGGTCACCACCAGCCCTAAGATCATGTGGCTCTGCAGAAAGTCCCTATGGAGACAAAAGAGACCCACACATATACCCCAGGAATCTGGGGATGCTTCAAGAAGAGCCTCTCCTTGTGTAAGTCACCTTGATACTCGTGAAGGCAGCTCCTTCTCCTCTGTATTAATAAGTGTTTTAACATGCACCCAAGTCAAAAAGAGCTTTTCATGATGTAGGTTGGGGTGGGATCTAGCTCCTTAGTAAAAGAAACTAGATGAAGAGGCAGCCTTCAAAGTCACAGGGAAAGAAAGTTCTGGGCTAGATGGAGTCTGGACTCATGTCATGAAACAGATTCTGCTTCCACAGTCAAGATATCTCTGGTTATCCTCAGATGTATCTCATAAGCATAAGTAAGCTGGTCTCTGTGACTGCTCTCTCCTCCACCAGCAATGCTCCTGCCAGGGCTGCATTGCACCCTTATGTAAGCCTGCTCACTGCCATGTGAATGGGCAGCTACCTCCCTCAAAAAGGATTTCCAGATGCTGCTGCCACCATGAAGAAGGCCCTTAGGTCCAAGCCCCTGGAAGAAAGCCACTGCTTTCAGGTGGTAGCCACCCAGGTATCAGGGGAGGCAGAGAGCCCAACAAAGAGCCACTCTTTCATGTCCCCAACCCCAACACCCCCTTGATTTCCTGACACCAGCAGAAATGCTCTTAGACATTGTTTCCCATAAGAGCTCCAGCATCTTCACACCACACCTGAGGAATGGCCCCTCCTCTTCCTTTCTTCCCCTAAGCATCCCCAGCCTTCACCATGTTCATCTCCTCATCTCATGTGCCTCCTCCTCCTGCCCACAGTCCTCAGCTGCTAAAAAGACATACATACACTTAACTGTCTTCTGTGTCTGGGTCTTCCAGCATCTTCTACAGCTCAGAGGCTCTTGACTGGCTGGTGTTCTACTCTCAGGAAACCCCGTGTCTTGGCTGACCCTGCGTTCCTCATGTCGTGTGTATCCTCCCTTACTCGTGCTCCCAAGACACATCCTTCTTGATCCCTCCATCCTCTCTGTGCCACCCACCCCACGCTTCTCTGCCCGCACAGGTGGCAGGTTCCTCTTATCCTCCTGGGAGGCCCTTACCAGCCTGCCTTCCCCAAGGTTTCCTTTGCCCCCAAGATCTACGGTGCTCAGGCTCTCCTCCATTTCCATGATCTCCCCAATCCCACCTGCGGCGAACCTCTGCTTTAGCAGCATCTCCTCCACCAGTTGTGACATGTTTTTCAAATATTCCACGTCATGGACCACGAGGGACTGAGAAGGGCTCAGGGACATCGGTGTGAATGTCGCTTGCAAGCAGGACAACCAGTCGATGGCGGGGGCCATTTCCTTAGAGGAGGGACACAAAGCTGAGGGGGAAAAGGAAAAGAGAAGGAAGGGGAAAGGGCTTCCCCTTGGGTGTGAGAAAAAGAAGAGAACAGGCTAACTGGGGGAGGGGATGGAGTCAGAGACAGAATGAAAAGGTATTAAGGGCACTAGGAGGAAGAAGGAAAGGAGGTAATGTTTGAGAGGAAGATCCCCATGCCCACAGTCTTCTGGCCCCCAGTTCCAGGCACCTTGAGCTGGTCGATAGTGACCATCTGGAAGAGCTTGCCCTGTGCCCGCCGCTGCTCCAGGGGCCTCAGAAACTGGAACAGCCGTGAAGTGATGGAGATTGACAAGGAAGAGTGTTCTTGCACCTTGCTTGGGTCTCCTCCCAGCAAGGTTCCCAGCTGATTCAGGTAAGTCAGGTATTCCCGAAAGATCTGGAGGAAGGAAATGTCAGTCACAGGTGCCAGAGGTCCCTGCTTTTCTCCTGGCCTCAGAGGGCAGGGCCTTTGTCCATGTGCCATCTTACCTGGGCATAGATCTTCTGTTCTTGATCTTGCTTGAGGGGAACATCAAACTCTGGCTGGTCTATCTGGGCACAAGAGAGACTGGAGAGAAGCAGGGAGCATGGCGGATGGAGAGGGCAGGTGTGGGGAGGTGGGGAATATACCATGGGAGATGGCCTTGGGAGATGGACACAAAGATTGGACAGAAGAGAAGCAAGAGTACAAAGAAAGGGAGGGATTAAGGGTTGAGGGGCATGAGAAGAAGAGTCCAGATGTGAAAATGGGAAGAGATGGTGAGTATTACAACCAGTGTGGGTGTGCCCAGCAAGGCAGAAGCATGATAATCAGCATCTTAAAAGGAGCTATTCCTTGTCTCAGGAACAGGGCCAGGGTGAGTGAGGTGAGGAACCTGTCCCAGGTACAAAATCTAAGAGGTACCAAAAACTCAGTAATCAAACTGCAACCTAACTTAGGAGTATATTCTTGCAACAGGTAGCTCCATCTCAGCCAGCCATACCAGCTGATCTTCAGGCAACCACAGGCTGTCAAGTGATCAGACCATGCCCATTAAAGACAATTGCTAAGCTGTAACCAATCAAGCTGTTTCTGGGTGTCACTTCCTCTTTCTGTAAATACTGCCTGCCTGCATTGTTGGGTGGAGCTCTCTGAACCTCTACTGCTTCAGGATGCTGCCCAATTCATAAATCAGTCTTTGCTCAAATAAACTCTTTTTTAAAAAAACTCAGTAATCAAGATAAATAATTAACATTTTAAAAAATCAAAATTACTACCAAAAATGTATGATAAATAAAATCTCAAAACTTTGCTTATCATGGACTTTTTTTCCCCAAAAAAACATACTTTTAGTCAATTTTGAAAAGAATCATGATGTGTTCAAGAAAAGTCCTCAATGTATTTTTGATTCATTTTGAATAAAAAAATTAGTATTTTCAAAAAGATTCACACAGAATTTTGTCCCATTTTTTGGGAAAAAAAGCATAATCTTTTTTCAAAAAAATTCATAATGAAGAAAAGTTTGATATTTTGTTCCATCATGTATTGTTGCATTGATTTTGATTTTTTAGGAATATTTAATAAAATACTATTTATCATGATACTGAGTTTTGGGGACCTTCTTAAATTAGCACCCCAGGTAAGCACCATGTATATTTCACCTTAGTCTGGCCCTGATGAACCCTTGTTTCTATTCTGAAGATCTTTGCTTCTACTCTTTCCCTTTTCTTCTCCAATTTCAATATCCCACTCTTATCTTGAGCCATATACTTTTCCTTCTGTCTCGAAAAAAACTTTCACTTGACCCTTTTGCTACATTGTATGTCCACAGTTCAAAGAACAAAAAAGCATCTATGCCCATTGTTTCCACTTTCTTATCTTCCTCCTAAGCTCTGTGCAGTCTGTGTCCACTGCCATAACTGTTTGGAAAGTATCTCTAGGTATCCAAGGGTGTCTTCTCATTCCTTCTTCTCTGAGCTGACCCCTCCTTCCTGAAGCTCCTTTTCTTTCCTTTGTGGCCCACCATACTGGTCTAGCTCCCATCTCTCCAATAGTACTCTCTCTTCCCTGGCTCCCTTCTGCCCTCAGTCTTTGGACTTCTCTTTCTGTAGTCCATTCTTCCTACCTGCTTTTAACCCAAGAGACTATCCAGGCTCACACTGATGATAATCACCCTCCTCCCACTCACACTAAATCAAAACAATGGGATCACTGTGTAATCCCCCACTTTCTTTCTTTATATCCAATCAGTCACCAAATCCTCTAGAAACAGCATGAACTATCATCACTAGGGTGAAGTTGCCTAAATCCTTGTGCCTGGCTCTTCCTTTCCATTTCTACCTCTATCTCAGGGCCTCAAAAATGCTCATTTAGTTTCCTCAACACCCCCAGACTGACCTTCAAAACTGCTGACTCTACGCACAACCATCAAAATACTTGCTCTATGCACAATTGTCATAAGAGTTGGATGGCCTCAGTAGCTCTTTTTTTTTTTTCTATTATGTCAAATGTTTCACCTTCGCCTGGCTTCTTAGAAATAATCAGGCTCAACCTTATGTCTTCAGTCTCACTTTTACCTCCCACTGCACCCCACCTTGCCTCCCAAATCCTCAATTAAATAGATCAGCCTCCTCACTGACTCCACGAAGGAATCACACCATTCCAGGTCCTCCCCCTGGCTCAGCATTTCCAACGCCCCATAGCTTCACCTCCACTTGTGTGAATTAACCATGTTTCAAGGCTGGCTTAGCTCACCTTCTCTCATTCTCTCCTCTCTGAGCCTCTCCTTAACCAGATCTTAACCGGCCCCTAAAGGCCACATCAGTTAAACTCCTGAGCAGACTGTTTAAAACTAAATTTTAGAACACCTCATAATGATAATCAATTCTTCTTTTGTACTTATCCTTTGGTAATTTTGTGGCTCTTTTGACAGTAGGGCCCAAATATGCAGATAGCATTACATTGTTTAACCACAAGAGTGATAGCTCCAGTGTTTTTATTTAGTTACTCACTCACTACAAATACCTGGCAAAACTTCTAGCTGCCTGGCCCTGTGATAGGTCCTGAGAAACAAAGGTGAATAAAGCATGGTCCTGTTCTAAAGAGGCTCACAATCTTCAACACAGAGTGATAAATGCTGAGAGCATGAGGAAACGAAAGTAGGGAGAGCAGGGCTTCACCTAACTCATAACTAGGGTGTCGGTGAAGACTTCCTGGAAGAGATAATAAAGCCAACATTTGAAAAACATGTAAGTTTTCCAGGTTCAGTGTGGGGGATGGTTGCAGGCACAGGGAGCAGCATAGGCAAAGAACTGAGGAATATTCCTGGAAGCAGCAGTGAGTCAGCATGGCTTGGGGGTAAGGGAGAGAAGGAATGTACGGGAGATAAGGCTGGAGAAGTGTGTAGGGGTCAGATCACAAGGTGCTTGCAAAGCTTTACTAAAGATTAGGGACTAGATTCTGATGACCTGGCAAGCCACTGGGTCACTGACAAGCATTTAAATACAGACAGTAGCATAGTTAGTTAGCCCTTGGTTTAGAAAAGTTCCCTCTAGTAAAAATAAAGAGTAAATAAAATGAGGGCAATCCTAGAGATAGGAGGACTGGTTAAGGGGCTCTGAGACTAATCCAGATTAACAGTAAGAAAGACCAGGCCTACTTCTGTCTTCCCAGCACTGGCTCTGCTGCTCCATTTCCCACCCCCAGCTAATGTCCCTGACTTTCACATCAATAATTTTCCCTTAAGGTAGGGTTGTTTCCTATATCACACAGGTGTCCTCTCTTCCCAACCTGCAACCTTCCTCTAAGGGATGATTGGCTAGAGTTGGAGGCAGGCCAGGTCCAACTGTGTCTTCGCCAGTGCATCCCTCACCTGGATGACTGGTGTGTGTGGAGAGGCAGGATGAGGTCCTAGGTAGGCTCTGAAGAAAGGGAAATGGCCATACTGACTCATCAGAAGTCTCAGCGTTCGGTTAAAGTTTAAGGAAGTCCATTTACCAGAGATGCGCCAGCCTCCAAGCTTTAAAGGAGAGAGAGGGGGCTGAGCATAAGGATCCGTGGAGCCCATCCCCCATTGTCTGGATCGGCTCTTACACAGCTGCTACTGCCTGACCTCTGCCCTGCGCCCTTCGATTCCTCTAGGAAGCCACATCTATCCTTTTTTATCTGCCTTCTCCCAAGGTCCTGATACTTTCATAGGGCATAACCATTTCCATCTCCATCTCCCTCCTAGAAATTGGGGGGCCCTAGGAAGAAGACCCACCCTCTAGAAAAAAAAATGGCAGCCCTAAGCATGCATTGGTCCCATATGTTATGTATCCAGAAAAGTTAATATCCCAACTTTTCTCACCTCCTCAATAACTTGTCTGAGGGGACCAGTCCCTGCAGCTTCAATGGCAAGTGTATCCATGCAGGAGTTGTAGAACTGGAAGGCTTTCTCCTCCCCAGAGCCTGGGTGCCAGGAATTCTGGACCTCTAGAAAGGAAGCATGGGAGTGAGGACTAAACTCTGATTTTTTTTATCTTGCCCCAAATTCCTATCAAAGGGGTCTGGGGAGTCATGCCCTATATCATAAGTTCTCATCAGATGGGTTTTATTTAACCCATGTAACATGATTTACTTTCTAACCTGATTCTGGCATAACATTACGAGACAAAGAAGAAAACAAAAATATTTTACCCCAAAACATGTTTCTTTGCCACATTTTGAAATGGCCCTGCAAAGCTGTTCTTTGTGGAGGAAAATTTGCATCTGTAAAGCATCTCTATTAGCTATTAACATATCTCATTAACATAGCTAGATCTTTTGATTAACTAAGATCTGAATAGGAAACATTTGTCACCTATTGTCTCTAAGGGCAGCCACTATAAGACTTCAAAAGAACTTCGGTCTCCGCAATCTTTATCTTACCCTGAACATTCCCTTTCTATCTATCCCAGATCTTTAGACAAACTCAAGCAACTGTCAATCCGGAAATGTTTAAATTCACCTGTACCCTGGAAGCCACCCCCACCCCTTTGAGTTGTTCCACCTTTCTGGACCAAACCAATGTATTTCTTAAATGTATTTGATTGATGTCTCATGACTCTCTAAAATGTATAAAACCAAGCTGTGCCCCAGCCACCTTGGGCACATGTTCTCAGGATCTCCTGAGGACTGTATCATGGGCCATGGTCACTCATATTTGGCTCAAAATAAATCTTTTCAAATATTTTACAGAGTTTGACTCTTTTTGTCGGCAGGAGAATTAAAGGAGTGGCAACTGGTATAGAGGCAAAGAGGGAGGGTGGGAGACAGGGAGCTTACAGGAAAGAAAGACTCCCACAGAATATGGAAGGAGGGGGAGGAATAGAGATGAGGAAAATAAGAAAGATGAGAGGACTGCCCAATTTGGAATGGATCAACTTGATGAAATGATGAAAGCAGGGAAAGAGAATGAGGAGAAGAAGACAATATGGAAAATAAAAGAAATGTGGGGAAGAAACCAAGAAGGAAAAGACAGGGAAGAAAGGAGAAAGGTAGCAATAAGTGGGATATGGGCAAAGGAGAAAAGAGAGAAATGAAAGACAAAAGAAATGATTGAAGAAATTAGACAAATTCAGGGAACTAGAGAACTTTAAGGATTTGGAGAGAAGAAAACTCATAAGGAAAGGTTTAGCAAAGAGAAGAAACAGGGGAAGACTCTTCTAGTCCAGACTCCTCATCCATTGATCCCAGGAAACAAACACACTACAATAATCAAATGCAAGTCTCTCTGAATCATCCACCCTCTAATATCTAACACTCTTTTCACCCTCAGTCCCCCTGATATCTATTCATCCCATTGTAGGCAATATAATTTATCCTGAGCATATTTTTTCTTTTTATCTCTGTGCCTTCCCTGAAAGTATCCATTTACCCAAAGAGAGGCCCCCTCCCACTCTTTCCCCATCAAAAAAAGAGGGCAGAGGGGTGCATTTACTTTTCCCAGATTCTAATTGATAGTGTCAACACATTCTTTAGGTTCCCTTGCACTGGAAATGCATGTCTATCTTATATGTTCTTATTCCCAAATCCTCACCACCATCCACCAACTTCCTGGGACGCACTTCCAACCTCCTACTCAGTTTCAGCTCATCCTTCTGGTTTTCCTCTCAGTCCTGGCAGTTTTCCTCTCCAGCCTCCATCTGCAGGAACTTTACTTCCACTGCCAATTAACTCAGCTCTCCTCTTCTTCCAGCATATCCTTTGTACTTACCCACTTTTTCTCTTATGCACAGTGATGAAGCCCTCTCTCACTTCTCACCCCACCATCCTACCCCTTTCATTCCACCATCATCCATCATCTCCAATCATCCATCTCTAACATCCCACTTGTTCCAGGTCAACTTGCTTGCCATGGTTCAAGGTTTCAATGGAGAAGCAAGAAGCAAGAGATCATTGTGAGAGAGGGGAGCTCCGGCATGGTGAGAGGGAGAGGGTAATGTTGACAAGGAGTCATTGGGAGACTGAGGTTTTGGAGGTTAGAGAATGAGAGTGATGGACAAAAGAATTGAAATGCAGGAGATGCTGAAGAGATGCTTGTGGAGGAAAACACCATGCATAGGATAGAAACTGAACATTTGGAGGAAGCAACAAAGATGGAGCTTGCTAAAAGGGACAAGTTGGAGAGAATGGAGTAATTATGGATACATGGAGAAGCAAAGAAGATGGAAATTAGATAAAGAAAAAAATGCAGAAAGGGACCAAGAGAAACGGAAGAAGGGTACCCAAGGCAAGGCAACAGGAAACAGTGAGAGATGAGCAAACCCAGGCAGCTCCCGCCATCCTGCCTCTTTTACTCCCCCATCATCTCCAATCATCCACCCGTATAATCCCACCTGGGATGGTGCAAATCAGTTGTTCCACAACTACACAGGGTTTGGAGCAGTCATGGTCATTTTAGGCACAGAGTCACCCACTTGCACAGAGCATCTTCCACCCTGCTTTCCTCACCCAGTATTCTCCGAAGTCGGTTTTTGTTCTTTGTGGCAAGCTCCTGAAAAGAATTATTGGTCTCTTTGGCCCTTCCACAGGCAAAGCTGAAGAAGTCGGTGCAGGGGGCCACACTTGTGTTCCCAGAGGCCAGGTAATGATCCCGGAGATCCAAACACACAGATGTCTCACAGGGGCCTGTGGGGAAAAGCTCAGAGCTGGGAAAGAAGAGGCAAAAAGACAAGGGCTCCCCCAAGGGGCTAGGCAAAGAACATCAGGTGAGTAACTAAGTGGGGAGCTGATGAAAAAGAAATGGTTAGGATGCAGGGAGGAAGAAGAACCATGGGGACCCCAAGGGTCAGGGTGGGCAGAAGCCCCAGGAGCAGGGACTGGGCCTGGGCCCCAGGGCTGGGGGAGGGCTGACTAGGTTAGGGGGTCTGGGATCTTGCTTACGAGGGCCACAGTTCTGGAAGTTGTAGAACAAAAGCACAGAAAAACAAAGGAGCAGGCCCAAAATCAGGATAGCTGTCAGCACCCGCCTGGCCACTGCCCATGGCCTGCTCCCTTCCACGGGCAGCCTCTCTTCTGGAGTGCTCTGTGGGAGGAACCAAGAGGTGAAAGATACAAGATGGGGGTTGAGAGACAGGGATGGGAAGAAGAGGAGAGAGAATGAATCTGTTGGTGCTACAGTCCCTTTATACAGAAATAATTATCCCAATTCTTCCTAAACCCAGCCCTACTTTAACTCCTGGGAGATGAGAAAACAAGGAATGTCAACTGTTTTGGGTGAGGATGAAGCAGACAGTTAGTAGATGAGTGTTTGTGGGATTTTAGAGCCGAGAGTGACAACATCAGTGTATTCCAGACCCAGGAGAGGAGGCCACTTACCTCTTGGCTCCAGAGAGTTCCCATTCCACCTGCCTGGCTGCGTTCCCTCGGCTCTTCCTCACTTTGGTCCCCACCTTCCTGAAGTGAGTGGAGGGAGAAGGAGGAGAGAGAAGCTGGTTCAGGAAATGGTGCATTGAAGAGAGTTTTATCAGGCCATTTTGATACCCTCGCTGCCTGCCCTGCCCCCACACACATATTTTTATCTCGGAGCAGTGTTCCCAGATGGGCTTCAGAACGAACCTGTCCCCTGAATGTGCCATTTCTCGATCCCTCTCCCATTACCTCCCTCTCTCCCCACCTTTCTACTCTGTAAGCCTTACATTCCCTCCCCTCCAGTGGGGGCAGGACTTTTGCACACAGCCACCCTCACCCCTCCCCGCTAAGCCTCTGACTCCAAAAGGGGACTTACCATCTGTCTATCTTCTGTGGCTCCAGAATCCTTCCTGGTTCCACTCTAGGAGCTGATTCGGAGGACTGGGGTCCAGGAAACACCCCCCGCCCCAGTTCCTTGATCCTGGAGAAGGGGCACTTCTGCTGCTCTTTCGCCTTGTCCCCAGACACACAGGACTGGCCTCTGGGTGGAGCCTGCTTATCAGTGGGGGGCACCCAGGCTTCTCCTCCCCCTTTATCTCAGCTTCTCAGGGGAGAAGAGGGAGGGAGTCTTCACTCCCCAAGCAATCTTGCCCTTGGTCTGCTCCTTTTGTCTTGCACTGTGACTCTGCCCATGAAGTTCCTTTATTTCTAAAATATTCTTCCTTCTCTCATTTCTTCTGTATTAAAAAAAATATGAGGCACAGTAAAATTTTAAAGAGTTTATTTAAGTAAGAAGCAATTCATGAATTGGGGAGCACCAGACCGACAAAGGTTTAGTGTTGCGATGACAAAATGTCAGAGGCAAGCATTTATTGGGAAGTTATAGAAGCAAAATGAAACATTATTTGCTTAGTTTGCAGTTACATAATTGCATTTTTTAGGTAACTTTTTGGAAAGTCCCTAGTCACATAATCATATGTTAGTTGGCTGCTTATCATTGGCTGGGGTTAAGTTTTATTTGTTGTAAGCATTTATCAGAAATTGACCCAAGTTAAGTTTAATTTATGTTTGTAGTTTTAGCAAGAATATGGCTATTTTTAAGGTCTTTGGCTTTGTTTGCCTGGGAATTTTTCAGGCCCAGTCTCCATTTTAATTTTGTTTTCACACCTCTCTGATTGGCTTTTCTGGGATTCATCAATTCCCAGGTCAAATGCCACCTTTCCCAGGAGGCCTCCCAGCTCCATGCCCATTCACACTGTTCCCAAGCATGCTTAATTGTTTCTCTCGGTGTTTCATAGCTCTGCTGGCTGCTGGCAAAGTCATGCATTCAAAAGATCACCCAGCTAGGAGACCCTAATCTGCTAATTATTAGCTCTGTGACAATAAACAAGCCACTTAAACTCTGAGGCAGGTAAGCAAGTTTTGTCATCTGGAAAATGAGGGTAATACTTGCCTATGCCTACCTCATAGGATCTCATGCCTTCTACAAAAGAATAAGGCTTTACTGAGCCCCTCTTTCTTTCATTCTGCTTTCTGTTACACTGATAGCTTGCCTCTTCATCTCCTTAGTGATTGAAAACTATGTCATAGCATGTACAGTGTCTGGTTTTCATTCCTGCCCACCCAAGATGCTTTCTAAATGTTAATAGAAATGAATTGCATTCCAAGCCAGAAATCCTCTTTCTCACATCATATTAAGCCCTTACCTGTGGTCTGAGAGAGGCAAGCACATTTCTGGGGGAAGGTGTTTCAACTCTGTCCTTGTTTCCTCATCCCAGGAAAAAAATAATGTAATTTATTAGGTTAGTCTTGCAAATGATCCCCTGGCGATATTTCCAGATTCCATCAGCACTGTGCTAGGGCCATGGTGCACTTGCCAGGATGAGGGTGGGTGTGGAGAAGTGGAGTAAAGCCATTGTGCCCCCTGGGGCCAGCTGGTCGGGTATCATGAAAGTCATAAAGAAAAGTCAGAACTTCATACATTAGAAAAGAAAGCATTGGGAAAAATAAGGCTTTTGAGGAAAGGTGTGGCAAGATACAATAATATCTAAGAAACGCCGGTGTGGTATTGGGGATCTGGACTGATTGGATAAAAGACAAGAAACAGAGTGGTTAGTTTGGTGTTGCAGGAGTGATGAAGGGAGGGCCCGGCCCAAGGGGATGGCAGAGGGGAGGGAAGTGCGTAGAAAGAAAAATTGTATGGAATAAAGTCATGGCAATGGATTGAATGGAGGAGGGGTTTATGATAGAGCCACAGAGGAGCTCCAAGTTGCATTTCTGCATGACTAGGGGAATAGTGATGCCAGCGAACAATGGAATTTTGATTAAGGGGGGAGTAGGAATCAGAGTGAGGGGAAAAAGCTGACTCAGGATTCTAGAGGTGTTTGGTCTGTGTGGGTACACCCTGATGGTGCCTCCTCTTCAAACTTCCCTTCCACAGAAAGTCCAATACTCTCCCCATGGGCTTTTAGCTTCCTTCACACATATTCCCTTCCTCACTCCTTTTCTATCAATCAAAGCCCCTGAGCTGATGTTTCCCTAGGAAGATGATAATGGAGACCACTTAGATTTGATAAGAGAAAGTTGAAGATGGAGTGTGCTCTGTGACATTTGCCTATGGACAGCCACCACAGCCTGGACTTAGGTTCTCTCCCTGTCAGAGAAGCTGAGCCAGCCACAGGGATAGGGCAGCACAGCTGCCAGGTCCACCATTCCTACTCAGCCTCCTCCTGAAGGCCAAGCAACCTCCATCCTGGGAGCTGTCTCAGGAGCAGGACTTCTTCTTATCACCCATATCCTACTCCATGGTGAGTCATCACCAGCACAGCCATACCCAGTCACGGGAGTGCAGCAGCCTTCACTCAGATCTAAGCCCCGAGAAGAGGTGTGTTAACAGCTGTGGCACATGGACCACATTTATCTTTTCGGATGCTGCCTCCTTCTTGCCCTCAATTGTCCTGTCTGTTTATTTTAATTCCAGGAGGTTTTGTTTCATGCCATAATAGTATCAAAATAAAATATTGGTAATAATAAAAATAACCACTTTTTACGGAGCACCTTCTTTGTGCTAGGAATGTGCTAAATGTTTTGCTTGTACATTTTCCTTCAGTCTTCACAGCAACTTTCTGAGGGAAATAACAGCTTTTATTTTCCCCATTTTATAGATGAGCGGTCAGAGAGATATGAAAGTACAGTGAACTTACTCAAAGTTACAAAATTAATAATTAGCAGAACCGAGAATTGAACCAAAGCCTTAACCATTGAGCCTCTCAGTCACTAAGTATCTGTTTTTTGGAAGTTTCTTCATAGTAAACATCTTCCTTCATCTAAACTCTTCTTTTTAAACTATGTTTCACTGCTTGGCCTTGTGAGGTGACAGTTTTGGGGACTAGTATTCTCAAACTCTCTAACATCCAGTTTCATCATCTGAAGATCATGGCCTTTGCCACAATGTTCTATCCATAATCAGCTGCCATCTACAGTGGATGTGGTATCAAAATCAAGGACAGGACATTAATCTGTCTATTGTGACACTCTCAAGTGTGCACATGACTGGCAATTTGCTTCTAAGATCACTCGATTGCAGTGATAGCCACTAAGAAGCTACCCCCTAAAGAACAATAAACCCAGTTCTGAGTGAACCGAAGTAAGCCTTGACATCACAAGCAATGTTGAGGACTTTGCCCAGAAGATGATGGAGAAACAGATCATGGGGGGCAGGTTTTGGGGTGCACTGATTGCTCTTTCAAAGGAAGCAATACTTGAGAATTGGGGAGCTCCTTTGGGAAAGAGTAGCTTGTAAGTTCAGTATACCACAAAGTGGCTTTTGAAATAATTTAAGTGATAAGTAGATGGACCTCTTTCAATATGTGTGTGTGTGTGTGTGTGTGTGTGTGTGTGTATATATATAAATATATATTTATATTATATATATTATATATATATTTATATTTATATTATATATATTATATATATATTTATATTATATATATATTATATATATTATATATGTAATACATATTATACATATAATATATATAATATATATATATATTTTTTTGAGACTGAGTCTCGCCCTGTCAGCAGGCTGGAGTGCAGTGGCGTGATCTTGGCTCACTGCAACCTCCGCCTCCTGGGTTCAAGCGGTTCTCCTGCCTCAGCCTCCCGAGTAGCTGGGACTGCAGGTGCACGCCACCATGTCCAGCTAATTTTTGTATTTTTAGTAGAGACGGGGTTTCACCATGTTTGCTAGGATGGTCTCGATCTCTTGGCCTTGGCCTCCCAAAGTGTTGGGATTACAGGCATGAGCCACTGCACCTGGTCCAATATTTTCATTTTTATATACATTTTTCTTTTATAGATATATGACTCTAAGAAGACTAAAATACATAGCCTCTGTATTTTTATTAAATCAACTAAAATATACTAAACAAATAATAGCTGTATTGGTACTTGAATATGTCAAAAACTTGAAGAAAATGCTCAGAAGTCTGGAGTTTTAATTATGTATGGGTAGAAACAGCTCAAAAGGAGGATCTTTGTCCTTTTTTATTTTCTTTTTGGTATTTTCTACATGCCACCACATTTTTCTTCCTAATCCAACAGGTTTTGAAGATAGTACTCTGAATACAGAGACTCTAATAAGTTGTGTCAATTCAACATATGTTTCCTCAAGAAAATTTACATAAGTTCTTGCTAAAACCAAGGTCTTAGTCAACTACTACCATAATAATGCTTTGTTACAAACCACCCAAAACTCAATGGTTAGAGGAACAAGCATTTATTCTTTTTTTTTTTTTTTTTTTTTTTTTGAGACAGAGTTTTGCTGTTGTTGCCCAGGCTGGAGTGCAATGGTGCAATCTCGGCTTACCACAACCTCCGCCTCCCAGGTTCAAGCGATTCTCCTGCCTCAGCCTCCCGAGTAGCTGGGATTACAGGCATGTGTCATCACACCTGGCTAATTTTGTATTTTTAGTAGAGACGGGGTTTCTCCATGTTGGTCAGGCTGGTCTCGAACTGCTGACCTCAGGTGATCCGCCCGCCTCGGCCTCCCAAAGTGTTGGGATTACAGGCATGAGCCACCGTGCCCAGCAAGCATTTATTCTTATGTTTAAATGTCTCACTTGGAACAATGAGAAACAAAAGAATGGGACAAGCTGTGTGGTCTCCCTCTTAGCAAATGTACCAGTTACTTATTACTCCATAATAAACAACCCCTTATTTGGTGGCTTAAAAAAAATTGGCTCTCCATTCTATGGATTGGCAAATTAGGAAGAGCTGAAGTATCCTCTGTGCTCATTTGCATCTTTGGTTTCACATAGCAGGCCATTTCAGGGCTACCTAGTCCAGGATGGTCTCACACACATGGTTCTTGGTTGGCTGGGGCTGTTGGCCAAGGTGCCTCAGATCTCCTCCATGAGGCCCCTCTAGCAGGCTAGCTTGGGCTAGTTCCCATGGCAACTAGATTCTAAGAGAGCAAGAGTAAATGCTGCAAGGATCTGGAGACCTAGGCTTGGAGTTATACAATATCACTTCTGCCATATTCTATTTGTCAATTCAAGTCCCAAGGCCAGCTGAGATTAAAATAAACTCCACCACTTGAGGGGAGGATTTGCAAATAATTTGCAGTCATGTTTAATATGCCACAGGAGAAAGACAGTTTTCCTTTGAAGCAACCTATCATGAACAGATCACTGAACCCGGGAGTTGGAAAACTTGGTTTTCAGTCCTACATCAGTTTTAAAGTAGCTGGGTAATTTTTACCTACTTTTTTTCACCTCAATAAAATCTAGCACTGAAAACCTATGTTTCTAGGTTTCTAGTCTGGTCTCTGTTTCTTTTAAGGGGGACTTTAAGGTCCCAAGTCTTCTAAAGTCTCTTAGGTTTAAGGTCAAAGCATTAGATCAATGTATGGCAACTGATTCTCTCCCCCTTAAAGATGACCATAGATGAAAGAAGGAACTATCTAAACCCACTAAGCCAGTCCTGAAAGTGCTGGCCAAGGAGATTAAGTAGAGGGTCATATAGCAGCTATTGGGACTCTTCCTTAGGAGATACTTGGTATTTTTCCATTGCCTTGGCATGATTTGTTGTTGTTGTTGTTTTGTTTTGTTTGTCCCTTCTTCTATTCTGCTGCCTAGAAGGAAGATGTTTCCTTCTAGGAAGATAAGGATGACAGGAATGAGGTTCACACTTGGGGGAACTGTTAACCTCTTGAGCTAGAAGGAACCCAGCATCTGGGTGCTGTGGACGTTGTGGAGAAAAGTGGCCATGTCGGCTCTAGACTGCATCTCTACAAACTTTTACATGTGAGAAAATTACTATTTTCTTTAGGCTACTGTAGTTTCTTTCTATTACTTAAGACTAACTTTAATCCTACTAATAGATAAATATTAATACCTAAGATAAATGAGGTTTGACCATGTCTACCTATTCAGTGTTGTTAGATACAGATGACCATGTTGCGAACTGCACAATTTTAAGGATTGACAATTACATGAACTAAAACGTGCATGGTTTTCTATAGGGTTGAGCCACACAACAACCTTGTACCTAACAACTAGTATGATGTGGAAAGAGGAAGTTGATCTCATACTAACGTGTTGTTCCTATACTTCTTGTTGGTTCACTCAGAGACCTCAATATTCTTGCTCAAGTTGTTCAACTTGTGTTTTTTCTCTTTTCTTTCTTTTATACACAGGGTCTCGCTCTGTCACCCAGGGTGGAGTGCAGTGGTGCAATCTTGACTCACTGCAGCCTCAACCTCCCAGCTGTATGACCTTGAATTGAACACCTCTTTTTGAGATGGGGTCTCACCCTGTGACTCAGGCTGCAGTGCAGTGGCATGATCACAGCTCACTGCATCCTCTCCCGGGCTCAAGCAATCCTTCACCTCAGCCCCACCAAGCAACTGAGACTACAGGTACACACCACCACACCCGGCTAAATTTTTGTTTACTTTGTAGAGATAAGGTCTCACTATGTTGCCCAGGCTGATCTTGAACTCCTTGGCTCAAGTGATCCACCTACCTCAGCTTCACAAAGTGCTGAGATTACAGGTATGAGCCCCTGCACCTGGCCACTTTTATAAGTCTATAACTGTTGGAATCCTCCCAAGAAAATAGAAACAGCTCTAGGTATTTCAGAGAAAACTTAATACATCTAACTAGATACATAGGTAATAGAAGAATTGAGAAGTTAAATGGGTGGGGGAGAGAAAATGAGGCAGTCCTAAAATTATCAACAGAAGAAAACTACCACAAATCTTTAGTTTAGAGGAACAAAGAGGAGAAGGGGTGTTACCAGAGTCTGGGAGTTGTAGCACGTGCAGAAGATGGACCATTCTGGACCTTCTCAGCAAGCTGGGATCTTAGAAGAAAGAACTATTTGGTGGGAGATGGAGCCACTGTGGACATATGCCTGCCCTTGGAGGTGCCCCCTGAGGCAGAGAGAGAAAACAAGAAACATCCTGGTTTCATCTCTGCTTCCACCCTCTTCCCCTTGGCTGAATCTTTGCAGAAGTCAGAAAGAAAAGAGCCTGGGGAAACAGTTCCTCGTGATACAGAGCAGAACAGAGGAAGCCAGGAAACTGACCTGCAAACAGGCAAATGACTGGCACAGAGTATTTGTAGGAGTATTTGATTTGTGCGTAAAGGCACTGGGAACACGCAGTACTGCTTCATAGCCCAAGTTACCACGGGTGGCTCAAAGCTGAGCAGAAAATGCTCTTTTATGCAGAACTCCTCAGTATCTTGAAAATTAGATGTTTTTATTATCTGGAAACAGCATCCTTGAAATAGACATTGCTATTCTTATGATAGTCTGCAACAGCAGTAATAAAGGTAAGCCTCCTTCAAATACCTCTGTAGATAACAGACATTAACTCAGAGAAATAAGAGCAAAAGAAAAATAACACAGTGGATGCTGCATAGTAACCACAGCTGACTGGATGATTTATTTCCTGTGAAAACCTACCCCTCAGGGAATTCCAAAAACACTTGAAGTGAACTTTTTGGGAGAGGCAAGAACAGGATATTTGAGGTGCTGATGTTCATATGACATCATGTGTATCCCCAGATGAATGGATCAGGCATCATTTGAATTCTATGAATATTTACTTCAAGAGTGTAGTCTTTATTAATAAGCAAGCTTGGTCTATGGTTTTTCTTTTTAAAATGTCATTTTTATAGCCTGGGCAACATAACGAGATCTCATCTCTATGAAAAATTTTAAAAATTAGTCCTAGCTACTCAAAAGGCTGAGGCTGAGGTGGGAGGATAACTTGAGCACAAGAGTTCAAGGCTGCAGTGAGCTATGAAGGCAGTGACTTTGTGACTTGCAGAGTGAGATGACTTCCCCTGGGTTTTCATTTAGCCTCATATATCCCAGTCATGGAGGTGAATAATTCAGAAACCCAGAAATGAAATGGATGCAGACAATAAGAGCCCCAAGGAAAGCCTGCTCTCTCCAGCAAAAGGAGCAGGAAAAGGGCAGCCTACCAAGACAGAAAACATAATAGTCACTCTATTCAAGCCAATTACCACAGAAAAAATGGTGGCTCCTTTCCCATCCATGCCAGCAAAGGCTGACAGGAAAGCCTAGATTTCCACCTTTGAAAGGCATAGTGAGGCATGCAAACAACCTCCCACCACACACACACACACACACACACACACACACACACACACACACACACATGCGCACACACACACACACACGTGGTATCAGAGAAGGCCAAGTAGGGAGCCAGAAATTTCATCCTCACTGGACAATAAAGAGGCCCCCATCCCCTCCTGTCAGAGGTGCTGGTGGAGGGAGAGTCATGACTTTCATCATCAGTCAGTAGTAAGAAGAGCAAATCACCCCCCAGCCATAGTGTCATTGGAGGCCGTGTGGGAGTCACTCCTATCCCTCCAGACAGAAAGTCCTACCCCTTCACACAGAAAGGTATCAATAGACACCAAATGAGGGCTTGAAATCCTAACCTTGCCCAACAATAATGAAGAGTCTTAAACTGGGTTGTCAACAGAGGTCAACTGAGGAAACCGAATTTCTACTCTCACCAAAATGGTGCTCCCTACTGCCACCACTCTGCTGGAGAAGTGCCTGAAAAAGCCAGCTAAAATAGAAGGTTTAAATAAGATCTAGGTCCTCATAACATAGTACAAAGATGCCCAAGTTTCTATGAAAATCACTCATTATACCAACAACCCTGGAGATCTGAAACTGAAAGAAAAAGAAAAAGATAATCAATAGATATTAGCATAGAGGCCAGGCACGGTGGCTCACGCCTGTAATCCCAGCACTTTGGGTGGCCAAGGTGGGTGAATCAGCTGAGGTCAGGAGTTTGAGACCAGCCGGGGCAACATGGTGAAACCTCATCTCTACTAAAAATATAAAAATTAGCCGCTCTTGGTGGTGTGCACCTGTAATCCCAGCTACTCGGGAGGTGGAGGTAGGAGAATCGCTTGAACTTGGGAGGTAGAGGTTGCAGTGAGCTGAGATCACACCATTGCACTCCAGCCTGGGCAACAAGAGAGAAACTCCATCTCAAAAAAAAAATATATATATATATATATATCTGTATATATTTTAGCATAGGGATGATAGAAATGTTAGAATTCTGTGATAATGATTTTAAAGCAATCATAATACAATTGGTTAAATGAGCTGAAACAAATAAAAGAAAAGGAGTTTCAGCAAAGAAACAGAGGATGTAAAGAAGAGACAAACAAATTTTGGAACTCAAAAATGCAAAATTAGAACCCCAAAATAAATAAATAGCCCAAATTTAAAACTCAGTGGATGGACTCAACAGGGAACAGATGGGTAAAAAAAGCAATGTACTAGAAGACAAAACAACATAAATTACCCAGTCTGAATAACAGAGAGAAAAGGGACTGGGAAAAATTTGAACAGAGCCTCAGAGATCTGTGAGACTATAATAAAAGATCTAGACTGGGCACGATGGCTCACACCTGTAATCCCGCACTTTGGGAGGCCGAGGTGGGTGGATCATGAGGTCAGTAGATTGAGACCATCCTGGTCAACATGGTGAAACCCCCATCTCTACTAAAATAAAAAAAAATTAGCCAGATGTGGTGGCACACACCTGTAGTCCCAGCTACTTGGGAGGCTGAGGCAGGGGAATCGCATGAACCCGGGATGCAGAGGTTTCAGTGAGCCAAGATTGGGCTACTGCACTCCATCCTGGCCACAGAGTGAGACTCCGTCTCAAAAAATATATATAAATAAATAAAGATCTAACGTACATTTCATCAGAAAAAGGAGGGCTAAAAATGTGCTCAAATAAACGATAACTGAAAACTTCCCAAATTTGGCAAGAGACAAACACCTACAGATTCAAGAAGCTGAGCAAATCCCAAACAAGATCAACCCAAAAAAATCCACACTGAGACGCATCATAGTTAAACTTCTGAAAACTAGACACACAGAAAGATATTAAAAGCATCAAGAAAAAAATAAAGTCTATATTGGAAAAACAATTCAAAGGACAGTGGATTTCTCATCAGAAACCATGGAGGCCAAAAGGAAGTGACATAATGTTTTCCAAGTGCTGAGAAAAGACGACTGCAGCCCAGAATCCTATACTTAGAAAAAATATACTTCAGGAATGAAGAGGAAGTCAAGACATCTCAGATGAAGGAAAACTAAGAGAAGTTACCATTAGCAGAACCATCCTAAATGAATGACTGAAGAAAGTTCTCTAAACAGGAGTGAAATTACAAAAGAAAGAAGGAAACTTGGGGCCGGGCACAGTGGCTCATGCCTGTAATCCCAGCACTCTGAGAGGCTGGGATGGGCAGATCACCTGAGGTCAGGAGTTCAAGACCACCCTGGCCAACACGGTGAAACTCCATCTCTACTAAAAATACAAAAATTAGCCAGGTGTGGTGTTGCATGCCTGTAATCCCAGCTACTCGGGAGGCTGAGGCAGGAGAATCGCTTGAACCCAGGAGGCAGAGATTGCAGTGAGCTGAGATTGTGTCATTGTACCCCAGCCTGCGCAAAAAGAGTGAAACTCTGTCTTAAGGAAAAAAGACAAAAAAAAAAAAAAAAGGAAACTTGGAACATCAGAAAAAAACATAGTAAACCAGTATATAGGTAAATACAATAGACCTTCCTTTTTGTGAAGACTTTGAAATTGTGTTTGATGATTGAAGCAAAAATGAGACTATATCTGATATAAATGTAGAGAAAGACCATTACATTATAATTATGGGAGAAAATAAGATGACTATGATTAATTATGTACATGTAACATAATACTAAAGTAACCACTAAATTTATTAGGGCAAGGGCCAGGCATGGGGCTCACACCTGTAATCCCAGCACTTTGAGAGGCCAAGGTGGGTGGATTACTTGAGGTCAGGAGTTTGAGTCCATCCTGGCCAACATGGTGAAACCCTGTCTCTACTAAAAATACAAAATTAGCCAGGCATGGTGGTGTGTGCCTGTAATTCCAGCTGCTTGGGAGGCTGAGGCAGGAGAATCACATGAACCTGGGAGGCAGAGGTTGCAGTGAGCTGAGATCACACCACTACACTCCAGCCTGGGAGACACAGCAAGACTCTGTGTCCAAAAAAAAAAAATATATATATATATATATATATGCATGTGTGTATATATATATATGCAAGAAATACACCCAAAAAGACTACAAATAAATCAAAATAGTTTGAAAAATGTTCAAGTAGCCCACAGAAAGCCATGAAAAAATAGAGAAATAAAAGAGAGAATAAACATAAAACAAAAAATTAAATAAATGTTACACTTTAATGCACCAATAATTACATTAAATGTAAGTAGTCTGATAAACCAAGTTAAAGACAGAGACTGGCAGAGTAGGTTACATCCCCCCTTATATGCTCTCTACAAAAAATTCACTTAAAATATAATGATATAGACAGCTTAAAAGTAAAATATTGGAAAATGGTATATCATGCAAACATTAATCAAAAGAAAGGAGGGGACCAGGCGTGGTGGCTCACGCCTGTAATCCCAGCACTTTGGAAGGCGGAGGCAGGTGGATCACGAGGTCAGGAGATTGAGACCATCCTGGCTAACAGGGTGAAATCCCATCTCTACTAAAAATACAATAAAAATTAGCCGGGCGTGGTGGCGGGTGCCTGTAGTCCCAGCTACTCGGGAGGCTGAGGCAGGAGAATGGCGTGAACCTGGGAGGCAGAGCTTACAGTGAGCTGAGACCACGCCACTGCACTCCAGCCTGGGTGACAGTGCAAGACTCCATCTCAAAAAAAAAAAAAAAAAGAGAAAAAAGAAAGGAGTAGTTTTATTAATACCATGTGTAATAGACTTCACAGCAAAGAAAATCATCAGAGACAGAGATATTATATAAGATTAATCCACCAAAAAGACATAGCAATCCTAAAATTGTGTGCACCAAACAACAGAACTGAAAAATATGTGAAACAAAAACTGATAGAATGGGAGGAGAAATAGATAAAGTCACACTTACAGTTGGAGATTTTAACACCCCTTCTCAACAAATTATAAACTATGTAGACAAAAAATCCTCAAGGATATAAAAGAACTCAGTGTTCTAATTAACACGTATAGCACACTTCACCTAACAGCAGAATAGACATTCTCTTCATGCCCACAAAACATGTACCAAAGTAGACGATATCTTTTTTTAAAACTCAAAAATTTTAAGAGAATTGAAATCATACAGGGTGTGTTCTCCGGTTAGTGGAAATCAAAGAGCAGAAAGATAACAGGAAAGTTTCTGAACACTTGTAAACTAAGCAACAGACCTCTTAATAATCTGTGGGTCAAAAAGGAAGTCTCAAGGGATTTTTTCAATACAGTGAATTGAATGAAAATGAAAACACAACAATCAAAATTTGTGCCACACAGAAGGATTGAGAGGGAAACTTACAGTGCCAAATGCACACATTAGAAAAGAAGAATAGTCTCAGATCAACAATGTAAGTTCCCACTTTCAGAACCGAGTCAGAGGCTGCCTGCAGTGACTCACGCCTGTAATCCCAGTACTTTGTGGGGCTGAGGTGGGCAGATCACTTGAGGTCAGGAGTTTGAGACCAGCCTGGCCAACATGCCGAAACCTTGTCTCTACAAAATATAGAAAATTTAGTTGGGTGTGGTGGCACATGCCTGTAGTCCTAGCTACTTGGGAGGCTGAGGCAGGAGAATCACTTGAACCCAGGAGTTGGAGGTTCCCGTGAGCCAAGATCACACCACTGTGCTCCAGCCTGGGCCACAGAACGAGACTCTGTCTCAAAGAAAAAAAAAAAAAAAAGAACTGAACCCAGCCAGAAAGGAATGAAATGAACCCAAAACAATCAGAAAGAAGAAAATAATAAATATAAAGAATAGAAATCAATACAATTAAAAAACAGAAGAGAAAACTAATGAAAAAGAGCTGGATCTTTAAAAAGATAATGATTAAAACTGACAAATCTCTGGCAAGACTGACAAAATGAGAGAGTGAGAAAGAGAAGACACAAATTACCACATCATCAATATCAGAAATGAAACAGGGGATAACACTATAGTCCCTGCAAACATCAAAATTTCATGAACAATTCTACATGCATAATTTGACAACCTAGATAAAAATCAAATGATTTATTAAAAAAATACAAACTCTTACAATGCATTTAAGATAAAGTAGGTAATTTGAATAGCCTTAAAAGGAAATTTAACTTGTAATTTAAGAGCTCCCAAATGAGATATTGCCAGCCCCTAGTGATTTTATGGGAAAAACTAATAAACATTTACAGAAGAATTAACACCAATTCTATATACAATCTCTTCCAGAAAATATGAGAGGAAGAAATACTTTCCAATTCATTTTATGAAGCCATTTTCACCCTAATGCCAAAACCAGACCAAAAAAACACACAAAAAACCCTGCAGACCAATAATCCTCATATAGCTGAAAATTTCATAATAAAATATTATCAAATAGAATTCAGTAATATGTAAACATTATTCTCCATGGCCAAGTAGGATTTATTCTAGGAATGCAACATAGGTTTAACATTTGAAAATCAATCAATGTAATCTACCATATTAATGGGGTAAAGAAGAAAAATCATATAATCGTATCAGTTAATTCAGAAAAAATCATTAGACAAAATTCAACACCTATCCATAACAACTCTCAGAAAAATAGGAATAGATTTGACACAGTGCATCTACAAAAATCCCATAGCTGGCTAGGTACAGTGGCTCATGCATGTAATCCCAGCACTTTGGGAGGCTGAGGCAGGTGGATCACCTGAGGTCAGGAGTTTGAGACCAGCCTGACCCATACGGTGAAACTCTACTAAAAATACAAAAATTAACCTGGCATGGTGGCATGTGCCTGTAGTCCCGGCTACTCAAGAGGCTGAGACAGGAGACTTGACTGGACCCAGGAGGTGGAGATTGCAGTGAGCCAAGACCGCACCACTGCACTCCAGCCTGGGCTCCGTCTCAAAAAAAAAAAAAAAAAAAAAAATCCCATAGCTAACGTGATATGTGATAAGGGACTGAATGTTTCCCCCATAAGATCAGAAACAAGGTAAGCATGCCTAATCCACTCCAATCACTCTTATTAAATGTAGTGCTAGAAGCTGTAATAACTACAACAAAGTAAGAAAAAGAAATAGAGGGAATACAGATAAGAAAAAAAGAATTAAAATGGTTTCTGTTTGAAGATAACATGATTGCCTACATAGAAAATTCCAAAGAATATACAAAAAAAGTTTAGAACTCAAATGTGAGTTAATTAAGGTCACAGGATACAAGATAAACATACAAAAAACAGTTGTGTTTTTATTTGCTAGCCATGAACACGTAGACATTCAAATTAAAAATATAATAACGTTTACAGTCACTCAAAAAATACTTAGCAAACAAAGCGTGTAATAGTCAAGGTTCTTCAAAGAAGTAGACCCAACAGGATGTGTATATATATAGTCATGCATTGCCTAACAATGGGGATATGCTGAGAAATGTGACTATGCAGTCTCATCATGTGAACATCATAGAATGCATTTACACAAACCTAGATATTATAGCCTACTATACACGTAGGCTATGTGGTATGGCGTATTGCTCCTCGGCTATAAACCTGTACAGCATCTTACTGTACTGAACGGTGTAGGCAATTGTAACACAATGGTAAGTAGATATATATCTAAACATGGAAAAGGATTTTTTCAGCTCCATTATAATCTTATGAGACCACTGTTATATATGTGATCTGTCATTGACCAAAACGTCATTGTATGGTGCATGACTGTACATGTATGTAAGATTTTTTGTTGGTATAGACAAAGTTATTCTATAATTTATATGAAAAAGAAAAAGAATATATAAAACAATTTTGAAAAATAAGAATGAAGTAGGAGAAATCCATTTACCTGGTATCAGCAGTGATTACGTAGTTACAGTAATTAACAATGGTAGTGCTGGAGGGACATAGAGATCAGTGAAATAGAACAGAAGTCAGAACCCGTAAATCGGCCCACATAAACATATCAAGCTGATTTTTAATGAAGTGCAAAAGCAATTCATTGGAAGAAATCCTTTTCAACAAATGTTGCTAAAACAACTGGACATTCATAGGCAAATAAATGAGCCTTGACCTCAGTCTCCCATCTTATATGGAAAATAACCCCAAATAGATCATGGACTTAAGTGTAAAACATAAAAATATAAAATTGAGAGGAAAAAGCATAGGAGAAAATCTTTGCAACATAGGGCTAGACAAAGATTTCTGAGACTTGACACCAAAAGCACAATCCACAAAAGAAGAATAAGTAGGACTTCATCAAAATTAGCAATTTTGCTCTGCAATCAACCATGATAAGAGGATTAAAAGATAGACTACAGACTGGGGGAAAATATTTGCAATCATGAATCTGACAAAAGACTGGTATCTAAAATATATAAAAATGTTCCACAACTCAACATTAAAAAAACAAAAAATTCAATTTGAAATGGGCAATAGACATGAAGAGATATTTCATCAAAGATAATATAAATATGACAAGTAAGCTCATTGAAAAATGTTTAAAATTATTAACCATTAGGAAAATGCACTTTATATGGCAGTGAGATATCACTGCATATCTATCAGAATGGCTAAAATAAATTATGACAACCAAATACTAGAGAGTATGTGGAAAAACTGGATCACTCATATATTGGTGGTGAAACTGTAAGTAAAATGGTATAGTTTTGTAGAGACATAAAATGTTATATTCACATAAAATCTCTACGCAAATGTTTACGGTAACTTTATTCATAATAAACAATCCGGTCACATTCTGATGTCCTTCAATGAGTGAATGGTTAAACAAACTGTAGTAATTTATACCATGGAATATTACTCAGCAGTAAAAAGCAGTAAACTTTTTTTAAACTTTTATTTTAAGTTCAGGAGTAAATGTGCAGGTTTGTTATATAGGTAAACTTGTGTCATGAAGGTGTGTTCTACAAATTATTTCATCACTGAAGTATTAAACCTAGTACCCATTCGTTATTTTTCCAAATCCTCTCCTTTCTCCCACCCTCTACCCTCTGATAGGCCCCAGTGTGTGTTGTTCTCTCTATGTGTCCATGTGTTCTCATCACTTAGCTACCACTTATAAGTGAGAACGTGCATTATTTGGTTTTCTGTTCCTGCATTAATTTGCTAAGGATAATAGCCACCAGCTGCATACATGTTCCCGCAAAGGACATGATATCATTCTTTTTCATGGCTGCATAGTATTCCATGGTGTATATGTACCACATTTTCTTTATCCAGTCTATCATTGATTGGCATTTAGCTTGATTCCATGACTTTGCTATTGTGCATAGTGTTGTAATGAACATTCGTGTGCATGTGTCTTTAAAATAGAATGATTTATATTCCTTTGGGTATATAATCAGGAAAGGGATTGCCGGGTGAATGGCATTTCTGTTCTTAGGTCTTTAAGGAATTACCAATTACTGTCTTCCACAATGGATGAACTAATTTACACTCCCACCAACAATGTATAAGCATTTCTTTTTCTCTGCAACCTTGCCAGCCTGTTATTTTTTGACTTTTTAACAGTAGCCATTCTGACTGACGTGAGATGGTATCTCATTTTGGTTTTAATTTGCATTTCTCTAATGATCAGTGATATTGAGCTTTTTGTCATTTGATTCTTGGCCGCATGTATGTCTTCTTTTGAAAAATGTCTGTTCGTGTCCTTTGCCCACTTTTTTATGGGGCTGTTTTTTTTTTGTAAATTTGTTTACAAGTTCCTATAGATAATGCTAGATATTAGACCTTTGTCAGATGCATAGTTTGCAAAAACTTTTTCCCATTCTATGGGTTCTCTGTTCACTCTGTTGATAGTTTCCCTTGCTGTGTAGAAGCTCTTTAGTTTAATTAGATCCCATTTGTCAATTTTTACTTTTGTTGCAATTGCTTTTCGTGTCTTTGACATGAAATCTTTGCTCATTTATATCTCCTGAATGGTATTGTCTATGTTGCCTTCCAGGGTTTTTATAGTTTTGAGTTTTACATTTATGTCTTTAATCTATCTTGAGTTAATTTTGTATATGGCATAAGGAACTGGTTCAGTTTCAATCTTCTGCATATTGCTAGCCAGTTATCTCAGCACCATTTATTGAATAGGGAATCCTTTCCGTATTGCTTGTTATGGTCATATTTGTTGAAGATCAGATGGCTGTAGGTGTGCAGCCTTATTTCTGGCCTTCCTATTCTGTTCTGTTGATCTATGTGTCTGTTTTTGTACCATTGCCATGCTGTTCTGGTTATTGTAGCCCTGTAGTATACTTTGAAGTCAGGTAGTGTGATGCCTCCAGCTTTGTTCTTTTGGCTTAGCAGTGCCTTGGTGATTCAGCTCTTTTTTGGTTCCCTATGAATTTTAAAATAGTTTTTCCAGTTTTGTGAAGAATCTCAATGGTAGTTTAATAGGAATAGCCCTGAATCTATAAATTGTTTTGGGTAGTATGGCCATTTTCATGATATTGATTATTCCTATCCATGAGCATGGAATGATTTTTCATTTGTTTGTATCATCTCTGGCTTCTTTGAGCAGTGTTTTGTAGCTCTCCTTGTAGAGACCTTTCACTTCCCTGGTTAGCTGTAGTCCTAAGCATTTTATTCTTTTTGTGATAGTTGTAAATGGGATTGTGGTCCTGATTTGGCTCTCAGATTGACTGTTATTGGTGGAAAGGAATGTTAGTGAATTTTGCACATTGATTTTGCATCCTGAGGCTTTGCTGAAGTTGTTTATCAGCTCAAGAAACTTTTGGAGTGGGACTATAGGCTTTTCTAGATATAGAATCATGTCGTCAACAAATAGAGATAGTTTGACTTCCTGTCTTCCTATTTGGATGCTCTTCACTTCTTTCTCTTGCCTGATTGTTCTCCTGGTCAGGACATCCAATACTATGTTGAATAAGAGTGGTGAGAGAGGACATTCTTTTCTTGTGATGGTTTTCAAGGTGACTGCTTCCAGCTTTTGCCCATGCAGTAGGATGTTGGCTGTGGGTTTTCCATAGATGACTCTTATTATTTTGAAGTATGTTCCTTCAATGTCTATTTTATGGAGAGTTTCTAACATGAAGGGATGTTGAATTGTATCAAAAGCCTTTTCTGCCTTTATTGAGATAATCATGTGTTTTTTGTCTTTAGTTCTGTTTATGTGATGAATCACATTTATTGATTTGCATATGTTGAACCAACCTTGTATCCCAGGGATAAAGCCAACTTGATCATGGTGAATAAGTTTTTGATGTGCTGCTGGGTTTCATTTGCCAGTATTTTGTTGAGGATTTTTTGCATTGATGTTCATCAAGAATATTGGCCTGAAGTTTTCTTTTTTTGGTTGTGCCTCTTCTAGGTTTTGGTATCAGGATGATGCTAGCCTTGTAGATGAGTTAGGGAGGAGTCCCTCCTCCTCAATTTTTTGAAATTGTTTCAACAAGAATGGTACCAGCTCTTTTTTGTATATCTGGTAGAATTCGGCTGTGAATCTGTCTGGTCCTGGGCTTTTTTGTTTGTTTGTTTGTTTGTTTTGTTAGTAGGCTATTTATTACTGACTCATTTTCAGAGCTCATCATTGGTCTGTTCAGGGATTCTATTTCTTCCTGGTTCAGTCTTAGGAGGGTGTATGTCTCCAGGAATTTATCCATTTCTTCTAGATTTTCTAGTTTATGTGCATAACGGTGTTCATAATATTATCTGATGGTGTTTGTATTTCTGTGGGGTCAGTGTAATATCCCCTTTGTCATTTCTAATTGAGTTTATTTGAATCTTCTCTTTTTTCTTCCTTATTAGTCTAGCTAGTGGTCTATTTTATTAATTTTTTCAAAAAAACAGCTCCTGGTCAATCTCCTTCAGTTCAGCTCTGATTTTGGTTATTTCTTGTCTTCTGGTAGCTTTGAGATTTGTTTGCTCTTGGTTCTCTAGTGCTTTTAGTTGTGATGTTAGGTTGTTAACTTGAAATCTTTCTAACTTTTTGATGTGGGCATTTAGTGCTATAAATTTCCCTCTTAACACTTCCTTAGCTGTGTTTCAGAGATTCTGATATGTTGTATCTTTGTTCTCATTAGTTTCAGAGAACTTCTTGATTTCTGCCTTAATTTCATTATTTACCCAAAAGTCATTCAGAAGCAAGTTATTCAATTTCCAAGTAATTGTATGGTTTTGAGGGAATTTCTTAGTCTTGATTTCTAATTTGATTGCACTGTGGTCAAAGAAATTGTTTTTTATGAATTCAGTTATTTTGTATTTGCTGAGGAGTGTTTTACTTCCAATTATGTGATCAATTTTATAGTATGTGCCATGTGATGATGAGAAGAATATATATCCTGTTGCTTTTGGATGGAGAGTTCTGTAGATACCTATCAGGTCCATTTGATCCAGTGCTGCGTTCAGGTCCTAAATATCTTTGTCAATTTTCTGTCTCTATGAGCTGTCTGATATTGTCAATATGTTAGACAACAGGGTGTTAAAATCTCCCTCTACTATTGTGTGAGTCTAAGTCTCTCTTTGTAGGTCTCTAAGAACTCGCTTTATGAATCTGGATGCTCCTGTATTGGGTGCGTATATGTTTAAGAAAGATAGCTTTTCCTGTTGACTTGAACCCTTTACCATTATATAATGTCCTTCTTTGTCTTTTTTTGTTTTTGTTGGTTTAAAGTCTGTTTTGTCAGAAACAAGGATTGCAATCCCTGTTTTTTTCTGTTTTCCATTGTCTTGGTAGACTTTTCTCCATCCCTTTATTTTGAGCCTATGTATGTCATTGCATGTAAAATGGGTCTCTTGAAGACAGCATACCAATGGGTCATAGTTCTTTTATCCAGCTTCCAGTCTTTTAATTAGGGTATTTAGCCCATTTACTTTTAAGGTTAATGTTGATATGTATGAATTTGATCCTTCCATCATGATGTTAGTTGATTATTTTGCTGACTTGTTTATGTGGTTGCTTTATAGTGTCACTGGTCTGTGTACTTCATTGTGTTTTGTAGGGGCTGGCAACAGTCTTTCCTTTCCATATTTAGTGCTTCCTTCAGGAGCTCTTGTAAGTCACATCTGTTGGTAACAAATTCCCTCAGCATTTGCTTGTCTGGAAAGGATCTTATTTCTCTGCTTATGAAGCTTAGTTTAGCCAGATATGACATTCTGGTTTGGAATTTCTTGCCCCCAATCTCCTCTGGCTTGTAAAGTTTCTGCTGAGAGGTTCACTGTTTTGTTTTGTTTTGTTTTTGAGATGGAGTCTTGCTCTGTTGCCCAGGCTGGAGTGCAGTGGTGCAATCTCGGCTCACTGCAGCCTCTGCCCCCCCAGGTTCCAGTGATTCTCCTGCCTCAGCCTCTTGGGTAGCTAGGATTACAGGTGCACACCACCATGCCCAGCTAAATTTTATATTTTTAGTAGAGATGGGGTTTTGCCATGTTGGCCAGGCTGCTCTTGAACTCCGGACCTCAGGTAATCCACCTGCCTTGGCCTCCCAAAGTGCTGGGATTACAGGCATGAGCCACCGCACCCAGCCAAGAGGTCCACTGTTAGTCTGATGGGATTCACTTTGTAGGTGACCTGACCTTTCTCTATAGCTGCCTTTAACATTTTGACCTTGGAGAATCTGATGATTACACGTCTTGGGGATGTTCTTCTTGAGTAGCATCTTACTGGAGTTTTCTGCATTTCCTGAATTTGAATGTTGGCCTCTCTAGCTAGGTTGGAGAAGTTCTCAAGGATTATATCCTGAAATACATTGTCTAAGTTGGTTCCATTCTCCCCAGTGTCTTTCAGGGACAATGATGAGTTACTCAATCTCTTTACGTAATCTTATATTTCTCAGAGGTTTTGTTCATTCCTTTTCATTCTTTTTTCTCCATTTTTGTCTGACTATCTTATTTCAGAAAGCCAGTCTTCAAGTTCTGAGATTCTTTCTTCCACATGGTCTATTCTTCTACTAATACTTGTGATTACATTATGAAATTCTCATAGTGTGTTTTTCAGCTCTATCAGCTTAGTTATATTCTTTTCTATACTGGCTATTTTGTCTGTCAGCTCCTGCATTGTTTTATCATGGTTTTCAGCTTCCTTGAATTGGGTTTCAACATATTCTTGTATCTCAATGATCTTCATTTCTATCCATATTCTGAATTCTATTTCTGTCATTTCATCCATGGCAGCCCAGTTCAGAATGCTTGCTGGAGAGGTGATGTGGTCATTTGGAGGAAAGAAGGGACTGCAGTTTTTCTTTTATTTTTATTCAAGTTTTGAGTGTTCTTCCATCAGGTTTTTTTTCTCATCTTTGTGGGCTTATCTACCTTCAATCTTTGAGGTTGTTGACCTTTGGATTTTTTTTTTTTTAAAACCTATTTGATGACCTTGAGGGTCTGATTGTGGTATAAGGTGGGTTCAGTGAACTAGCTTCATTTCTGAAGGATTTTAGGAAGCCAATGCTTAGCTCCAACTCCTATACTGTGTTCTCTAACTGGAGGACTTGCATTAGGCCCCAGTTTTGTTCTCTGGCTCTTTGAGGCATGGCATGCAGTGTGCTGGTGGTGGGGGTAGTGCAGTGAGGTGCAGCAGCTGTGGCAGAGTGCTAGTGGGTGCCAAGTGCCTGCCTCCTTGCAGTTGTTCACCACAGTGACAGAGGCAATGCAGCTGGGGTGGGGGACAGTGGGGTGAGGCACCCTGCTGGACACTGTGTATAGTTGCACTGGAGGTAGTGTTGGGTCTGGTGTGGGGTGTTGGCTGGTGCAGGGTGCCTTCTCTATGCCCCACAAGCAGGAGTGATTGTTCAGGGTGGAGGAGGATGTGCTGTTCTCTGCACAGTGTTAGTTCGGGGCCAGGCACTGGCAGGGGTGGGGCTTCTGACTCTGTGCCCACCAAGGTTCCATCTGCAATGGCAGCCTGCAAAGGGAAGTAGAGCAGACTGCTCTCCCCTCCACTGACAGGGCAAAGAAAACAAACCCCTTCCACTCATGTTGGCATGTGCCAGCAAAGTGATGTGGGGAGTTGCTATGTGCCTGGAGGAAGCTTCAGTATGGGAGGGAATGGTAGGCTTGTGTGTGGCCATGGAGCCACCCAGCTGGAGCTGTCCACTGATGAGGCACAGTCCACCAGCACAGAAGCTATTGTGGTGGGCCCCCAGGGCACTGGAGATTGCCCTGCAAGAAGGTGTGGCCTGGCTAGGGCCCTAGGAGAGGCCAGTAGACCAAGGGGTGTTCAGGTTGGACCAGCCTGGTCTGATGGGCAAGACCATCCTGAAAGATCAGGTCCGACAGTTCCCCTAGGGTTAAAGTCTCCTATGGGAGCAAGTCAGGCCTGGGGGATGGCCATCCCTGGAGGTGCACCACTGCAGACACTCCCACATCAAACCCTCAGGCTCCACATCAGCTGGCTTGCTGCCTGTACCGCTTCTCTAAGTAGTGCTCCCTGCCAACTCGAGTGTCCATGGTGGTTGAGGAGTCTCCTCCTGCCAGGTTCCAGAGGCCTGTGGTGAAATCAGGTGGTCAGAGGCCCTGGCACTATATTTGCCAAAAGGTGATCCACACTATGTACTCTTTCTCCCATTTTTTACTTGGCAATTGAAGTCTGCTGCAGATGCATCTCATTAGCAAAGCTCTGGTAAAAGCCTGTGCGACTGCAAGGGAGTCTGGGAGAGCATGGTCTGATTTCTATCTTGGAGAAGAGGGATTTATAATATGGGAAATTCTCCAAACATAGAAAGACATTCAAAAGATACTTTTGAGTTACAAACACAACAAATGTCCACTACAGATAGAATACCATGTTTTGTAACTAAGAGACTATATTTGCTTTTTGAAGATCTAAAGACAATTTTCAAGTTCTGCTGGATAGAATAGGTAGGAGGGAGAAGGGAGTATGTTTCTTTGATAAATTATCCACTTTCTCCTTCAGTTCTTGGTGTTCTCTATTTCTTGATTCAATATTAATATATTGTATTTTTATAGAAACACATACATTTCACTTATTTAATTTTAGTAGCATATAACTGTGCCTAACCCTTCTTAGTTTTAATATTGTTCTCCATTGCTATATATCCTCTCTATTTCTAATTTTATTTTATTTTGTATTTCCTTTTTATTACAAAATATGTTTATTATAGCAAAATTGAAAATCATAAAAGCACACAGAAGAAAAAATCATTTTTACTTTAGTAAAAATAGCTGTAATACACCTAGTAATAGCTGTAATAAACAGCCCATTAGCCATTCCACCCATACCCCATTGTAAAACAGACATGAGGTTTAGATGGGATTCACTCTACCATTATATCTGGGATGGATCATATTTGACCTGAGCAAACCAGAGTGATTTTATTCCCCTGCCCAATGTGATTAGTTCAGGTAGAGTCATAGTTAAACCATTCAGTGTCTGGCACTCCTTGTCATAGTGATTGGTTCAGGAGTGGGCACATGACCTATGTCGGTCTAGTTTTAAAGAAGCCCAAGACATATGTTTGTTAGGATAAGACCACCATCCAGGCCTGACTAGCACAAGGGAGAAAACTTTTAGCTCCAGAGCTGCTTGAAACCTAACTGAAAATACATCTTATACTCAGGAGATGGAGTTAAAAAAAATTGTCTTAGTCCATACTGTGTTGTTGTAACAGAATATCTGAGACCGGGTACTTTATAAAGAAAAGAGGTTTATTTTGCTCATGGTTCTGCAGGCTGGAAAGCTCAAGGGGCATGGCACTGCTATCCATTCTGCTTTTGGTGAGGTCTTTATGCTGCCTCACAATATGGTGGAAAATCAAAAGGGAAGCAAATATGTGCAAAGAGGCAAAATCAAGGAGAGCCCTGGCTTTATAACAACCCATTCTCAGAGAACTAATCAATTCTCAAAAAAACTAGTCCATGCTCAGCAGAGCAAAAACTCACTCACTATCATAAGAACAGCACCAAGTTATTAATGAGGGATCCATCCCCATGACCCACACACTTCTCATTAGGCTCCACCTCCCAACACCACCACATTGGGGATCAGATTTTGGCATGAGTTTTGGTAGAGACAAACCCTACTGAAGCCGTAGGCTGAAACTATGTCTTCATCCCATTATTAGACTCTCTAGCATCGTAATCTCAGAGGTCTAGACCCAGGTTGTTGCTTTTACTTCTTAGTTGAACAAGATAAGATTTATACAGATTTATCATTTGACAAAGCAAAATGTGTATTTTGGCTCTAAACCTACTCTAGATCTACTTGTGTGGCTGTCTTAGTAAGGGGTCTCTATGATAATTCTCTTTTGGGGACCTGGAGTCTCCCTAGCAAATCCTATTTTGAAATAAAATTTTCTTACTTTGCTTTCCAGATTGTCCTCTAAATTTTCTAAAGCCTGTGGTCCATAAATATAGAACTGGCGGATGTAACTTGATTTTATTACAGCAGTCTGGGTTTTGGTGCCAATGCTATGTTGAAATGTAAGAGTGTTATTGGATTTGTACTATCTATATTTAAAAGACTGGTGGGTTACTTGAGCCTGGAATGCCTAACAACTTCTGAGAAGGGTCAGAACCACACTCTGTTCACTCAAAAAAGAGATGACCCAGAAGCTGGCTGGCTGTGAATGTCTAAAGCTACATGACATACACCCTGTCCTGGCTTCTACTGTGGAACCTACGGAAACCCACTTAAAACTGTTGTGCCTCCACTGACTAAACCTGAGGACAGCCAGTTGCCTTGAAGGCCTCCAGGCTGTCAGGAGAAGCCCCCCCTTACCCCCCCGCCACAATTTCTCTCTCAATATTTCCAAACACACTGTGCCTGGGGTAGTGAGAAGCCCTACAGTAATATTGTATACTTTATTTTATTTGAGATCCTCCTCTGTGAGCAGTGGTGGGGCAAAGCTAGCATGCTTCCTTCATACCTAGAGATTCACTCACTTAGGGAAATAATCCATTCTAGTTCCTCTATGTAAGTCAAAAGACAGTCTGTATAAAGTGACCACTGACTCCCATTCTCATATTTATAAATGGCAGGTCTTGTCTTCATTCCTGACAGGCTCTTCTCTTCTGATGTCTCAGTTGTCAGTTCTTCTCAATTGGGTGTGAAAACTCTAATCTCTAGTATGTCTTAAAACCTCTGTGTATTTTGTACCTGTCTCTGACCATGACATGGGATGGGGGAGTTCCACTGCCTCAGGCAATGCACTACCTTCTCTAGGTCTCCACTTCATCTTCTGGCCTAGGGAGTTTTGGGAGTTGCTGTTTCTGAAAAAAGACAGGTATTGGGAGTTGGGTAGGGCCAGGGTGAATGTGTGTTCTGACACCCAGAGGGAGAAAGAGGCAGACAACATACAAGTATACAAATGAATAGTATAATTTCAGGTCAAGATAACTGCTGTGAAGAAAAATAAAGCAGAAAAGGGGGACAGAGAGAAATGGTAGGGTGTAATGAGGTCATTTTTGATAAGGTGATCCAGCATTTGAGCAGAAGGAGTAAAGGAGTTGCCTATGTGAGGATCTGAGGGAACACGTTAAACTTTCCTTTACGTGTGGTGGGATGTCATTGGGCAGATTTTAAAGGCTTGTCCAGGCTCCTGGGGGAGGTGGTGTTAAATGGAATTACTGCAAGATCCAGGCAAGAAATGAAGATATGGATTAAAGTGATAGGAATGAAGGTGGCAAGAAGCAGCTGAAATCAACATATATATATACTTTCCTCAAAGGTAGCACCAGTAGGGCTAGTTGATTAATTCCGTGTGAGATGATAATGCTGAGGTTGATGCCTGAATAGTTGGATGAACGGTGGCGCCATTTTCTGAGGGAAAGACAATTGAGGGAGGAACCATATGTGAGTGGGTACATGTGGAGAGCTTACTTGGTTTTAGATGTTTAAATTAAGGGATGTTTATTAGACTTTGAAGAAAAGATTTTGAGTAAAATTTTAAAAAGTGATTAGAGCTTAAGGGAGAAATCAAGGCCAGGGATAACAACTAGGAAGTTTGAATTGAAATATATTATAATTACAGCCAAGGGACCATAGAAAATCACCCAGGGATGAAGTCAGAGCATGGGCCTCTCTAACATTGGACAGACAGAAGGAAAATCCAAGAAAAGAGATTTTTTTTTTTTATTGTAGATTCAGGAGGTACAGGTTTGTTACATGGATATATTGTGTAATAGTGAGATTTGGGCTTCAAGTGTACCCATCACCCAAATAGTGATCATTGCACCCAACAGGTAAGTTTTCAACTGTCACGCCCTCCCCATCTTTGAAGTCCTCAGTGTCTATTATTTCCATTTTTATGTCCAAAGTATACTCATTGTTTACCTCCCACTTATAAGTGAGAACACATGGTATTTGATTTTCTATTTCTGAGTTATTTCACCTAGGATAATAGCCTCCAGTTCCATATATGTTGCTACAAAAGACACAGTTTCATTATTTTTAATGGCTGCATAGCATTCCATCATATATTTATATATAATGTGTATATCACATTTTCTTTATCCAACGTCTGTAGATGGACACTTGGGTTGATTCCATATCATTGCTATTGTGAATAATGCTGCAATAAACACACAAGTTCAGGTGTCTTTTTGATGTAATAATTTCTTTACCACTAAGGAGATACCCAGTACTGGGATTGCTGGGTCAAATAGTAGTTCTATTTTTAGTTCTTTGAAACATTTCCATATTGTTTTCCATGGAGGCTGTACTAGTTTACATTCCCAACAACAGTATATAAGTGTTCCCTTTTCTCTGCACTTTTGCCAACATCTGTTGTCTTTTGACTTTTTATTAGCCATTCTGACTGGTGTAAGATGGTGTCTCATTGTGGTTGTAAGATGCATTTCTCTGACGATTAGTGGTGTTAAGCCTTTTTTCCTATGTTGGTTGGCTGCTTGTATGTGTTCTTGAGAAACATCTGTTCATATCCTTTGTCCTCTTTTTAATGGTTTTTTTTTTCTAATTGAGTTACTTGAGTTTTTTGTAGATTCTGTTTACTCTGTTGATTATTTCTTTTGCTATGCAGAAGGCTTTTAGTTTAGTTGAAGCTAATTTGTCTATTTTTGATTTTGTTGCATTTGCTTTTGGGGTCTTTATCATAAATTCTTTGCCTAGGCCAACGTCTAGAAGAATTTTTCCTAGATTTCCTTGTAGGATTTTTATAGCTTCAAGTCTTACATTTAAGTCTTTAATCCACCTTGAATTAACTTTGGTATGTGGTGACAGATAGGGGTCCAGTTTCATTCTTCTGCATATGGCGCTCCAATTTTCACAGCACCATTTATCTAATAGGGTGCCCAGGAAAGGAGATTAAGTTAGGGAATGTTAGGACTTTTTTCTCTCCCTCTAGGTGTGTATATTGATTTTTTATTTTTATTTTATTTTTTTTTGAGATGGTGTCTCCCTCTGTCACCCAGACTGGAGTGCAGTGGGGCGATCTCTGCTCACTGCAACCTCTGCCTCCCAGGTTCAAGTGATTCTCCTGCCTCAGCCTCTCGAGTAACTGGGATTACAGGATGCACCACCACACCCAGCTAATTTTTGTATTTTTAGTATAGACGGGCTTCACCATGTTGGCCGGGTTGGTCTCAAACCTGGACCTCAAGTGATCCACCCACCTCAGCCTCCCAAAGCGCTGGGATTTCAGACGTGAGCCACCACGCCCAGCCTGATGTTTTAAAATTGAATATGTCACATTGGGGTACCCATACAGATATATTTATGCGCTAGAATTATTCTGTTTTAAAAATTATATTTTTATCACAAGTTTATCCATTTTCTTCCTCTCATCAAATAACTAGCTTTTAATTTTGTATATAATTATGCCAGTTATTTTCCAGGTTATTAATTCATGCTTTTATATTCCTTCCCTATTTTGCTTTAAATTAATACTTTATTCTGTTCTAGAATTCTACAGTATAATCATTTTTTCATGAATATCTCTTTTTTATTTCTTCTTATTAAAGACCTTTAAATGAGTACATTTTCTTCTAAACACTGTTTTGGCCTACGTCCCAATACATTTTAATATGCAGAGCTGTGTATTATTACTTTAAAATATATTTTATTGCATTCTTAATTTGTTTCCTAAGCCAATTTTTACTTATAAAAAAGTATTTTTAATACTAAAAAAATTAAACAATTTGTTAAGATTCTCATTATTTACTTCTTTTTAAAATATGGTTAAAGCATGTAATGGGCAGAATTTCTGCCATTAAGAAGTTGGTGGTTAATATTTGTAAATATATCCTTATGGCTTATTTAAGATTTTTTTGGTAACAGCTATACACCGATATAGTTTTAATTTTCTCGTCTAAGTTTACAATTTATTGAAGTTGCCTGAGTAACTGGATTGACCAAGTATTCAATATTTTCATTAATTAGTTTTATTATCATCTTGATATTTTCAGTCCCTACCTTTCCCACCCCTAAGAATCACCATTCTTTTTTGAGGTAATCCTGACCAAGAAGAATTGCATCCAAGGTATTAGTACTGCCCATGCAAGGAGTCTGTGATGAGTCCTCTTTTTCCTAAGAGGTTATTTGTGATGACTGGGTGAGCCTCCAGAGTTACTGTTTTCTTACCATGACCTATATATCGACTGATGCAATAGAAATTCTGCCCTCATTTCTGGTTGTAAAAACTCTAGGACTGGATAACAGCTCCACCTTGACCATTGTTGTTCCCTGGGGAGCTTGATTTTGCTCCCTAAACCCTCAGTAGCTGGGTGAAGAGAGGAGTCAACCACAATTATGCATTCCCAGTTACTTCCTGGTGCTGATGCATCCTGCATTGGAGACCTACTACTACTTGGGATCTTCTCAAAACATTGACTTCTGCCAAAAGAAATCGTTGCCACTAGTATCTACCCCTCTTAGAAAGTCATTATATTGCTAAGACCAATTCTGACTTCCTTTTTCTGCCACACGTGAAATATTGAGTTCTAGTATGACTGCTACTTGAACTTGCTAACTTCAGTGATGTGCAACTCAGATCTTTCTCCACAAATGCATTATTTTGTGATTCTTTTTGTGTTATTCCATGTTCTCAGAGAAGCAGATGTCAAAACCAGATTAACCATGCAGGTGCTTATTAGGGGGAAATGTCTGTGAAGGAATATGGAGAAGGAACCAGAGAACATTGGGAAGAGTCATCAAGCCACAAAGCAAGTCTGACCTGGACTGAAGGATGCAGAGAGACAAGGTTAGTGGAAACTTTCTAGACATCCACATTGTCTAAGAAGGTTGGGAAAACCAATGGGGAGTCCTCAAGCGAAAGTTGCAGTCAGAGATAATCCTTGTCTCCAGGAATAGGTTGTGCCTTAAATCCCATGAGAGCAGTATGTAGGTGGCATAGCCTCCCATAGGGATGGATTCCAAAGCTGGCAGCTGGAACTCTCCTCAATTAGCTCCATATACTTGGAGGTTTGCAAAGAGAATTTTGATGGCTGCAACATTCTCCTCCATGTTAAACAATTGTGCATTAATGTTTTAATGATACATTGTTTAATTGAATGTAAAGTTGTTAAGTGTTCTTTTCTATTGTGCCTTTTCATTACATTATATAGTTACCCCTATGCTTAATAATTTATGTGTTGATTTCTACTTTTTTTTTTTTTGAGACAGAATCTCACTCTGTCACCCAGGCTGGAGTGCAGTGGCGCTATCTTGGCTCGCTGCAACCTCCGCCTCCCGGGTTCAAACAATTCTTTAGTAGAGATGGGGTTTCACCATGTTGGCCAGGCTGGTCTCGAACTCCTAGTCTTAACTGATCTGCCCACCTTGGCCTCCCACAAGGCTGGGATTACAGGCCTAAGCCACTATGCCACGCTATGATTTCTACCATTTTGAATATTATGTATACTTTCCCTGTAATTTAGAAATGTCATAGCTCATCTCCAATTTTTAAAATTGTATAAATTGACTTTGTTTTTCAATTTAGAATGATAGTTTTCTGAGAGATGGGTTTTATTTTTGTTTTTGTTTTCCAAAATAGTAATTATGGTTGAAATCCACTCAACGAAATTGTTTTGTCCCCTTCCTATACTTCTTATCCTGTTTTGCTTTAACAATTATGCCTTTTTATACATAGACAATATTTACATGTTCTTCTAAAATGAGTTGAAGATAGCTTTATTTAATTCAATTCCACAAAGTTAACTAATACAAAGATTTTTTACTTCCAGTTCCAAAATGGCAATATAGAAGCAAGATGGTTTCACTTTCCCCTGCAAAAAACTGAAAACAGTTATACAGTGCCAAGATTTTCACCAGCAACAACCCAGAAGTCAAATACGAGAATGAAATAGTTTCCAAGGCCACAGAGAAGTGAAAAAAACTAAGCAGATGGTAAGAGAATCGGACTTACACATCTGCAAAGCTCCTCCCCCACCATTCTGCCCAGCAACAAGTACATGGAAAATCGTCCCCCAACACAATCTACACTTGAAAAAGTATGATTGAGGGAGTTAACCAGCTTCCCCATCATCTTGGGTGCTCTGGCAGGAGACCTTTTCTTGCCTTAACCCAGAGAAAGCATAAAGACTGCCTAAAGGGAGAAATATCCCTAGGGAGAGGCAGAGACAAAGTGTGTAGGCATGACTAACATCCACAGCTGCGGAAATTGATCTATTAGCTAAAGAAGACGCCAAATCAGAGTGGTTGTTCAGCAGCACCATGCTTTAGAAGGTACATTCCACAGGTCCCCTGGGCACAAAGCCCTAGCCAGCCTTGATACCACCTAGATAATCCCTTTGGGATCTCCCCCATTCAGGATAGGCAGTGCTCTGATCATTTACTACAGCTGAGGTGAACCTGGCACCATCTTGAGCTGAAAAAAGGGCAGCAACCTAGCAGTAAAGATTCACTAAGCATATATGTCCAATAAAAACCAAAACAAGCTGGACAGAGAAGATTGAAATGAACAATCCTTTAATGCAAACATATAGACATATACCCACAAGAAACAACTGCAAACAGAGAACCATGACCTCCCTAAAAGAACAAAACAAAAATCCAGTGACTGACCCTAATGAGATGGCAATACGTGAGCTCTCTGACCAAGAATTCAAAGTTGCAGTTTTGGGTAGTGAAATAACCTGCATTTTACTCATGTGACAAACCTGCACATGTACCCCCTGAACCTAAAATAAAAGTTGGAAGGAAAATAAATAAATAATAAAACTTAAATCTCACTTTAAAAAGATGTTTTGATCAAAATAATTTTCAATTGTTTAACATAAAGACTAAAATAATCACCTGTAATGACGAGCTAGTGACATTATTCAGTACAAAGATGTTGTTATTAATGAGGAGGAATGTTATAATAGCACGTATCTGAGTTGGCATAGCTATTCATTGCAAAGGTAAAGGAGCATGTGGAAGTATTCTTGGAACCAACCCCAATGCCCATCAATGATAGACTGGATAAAGAAAATGTGGCACATATACACCATGGAATACTATGCAGCCATAAAAAAGAATGAGTTCATGTTCTTTGTAGGGACATGGATGAAGCTGGAAGCCATCATTCTTGGCAAACTAACACAGGAACAGAAAACCAAACATCACATGTTCTCACTCATAAGTGGGAGTTGAATAATGAGAACACATGGACACAGGGAGGGGAACATCATACACTGGAGCCTGTCAGAGGGTGGGGGGCAAGGGGAGGGAGAGCATTAGGACAAATACCTAATGCATGTGTGGCTTAAAAACTAGATGATGGTTTGATAGGTGCAGCAAACCACCATGGCACATATTGTATACCTATGTAACAAACCTGCACGTTCTGGACATGTATCCCAGAACTTGAAGTAAAATTTAAAAAAGAAGTACTCTAGGAGGTCAACTAAGAGAATGTAAATAAAAATTTAAAATTAGACAGCAACCTAGCAGTAAAGATTCAGTAAGCAAATGTATCCATTAAAAACCAAAATAAGCCAAACAGAGAAGATTGGAATAAATAATCCTCCCATGCAAAGATGTGGACATATTTCCACAAGAAACAACTGCAGAGAATCATGACCTCCCCGAAAGGACAAAGCAAAAATCCAGTGACTAACCCTAAGGAGTTCAGTTTAACAGAATCAAGAACAAAAAAAATATAATTATTTCAATAGATGCTGAAAAAGTATTTCATAAAATTCAACATCCCTTCATGATAAAATTTCTCATAAAAATACATATAGAAGGAACATATTTCAAAGCAATAAAGGCCATATATGACAAACTCACAGCTAACATCATACTGAACAGAGAAAAAATTGAAGGCCTCTCCTCTAAGGACTGGAACAAGATAAGGATGCATACTCTCACCACTGTTATTCAATAGAATACTGGAAGTCATGGCCAGAGCAATTAGGCAAGATAAAGAAATAAAGGGCATCCAAATTGGAAAGAAAGAAGTCATATTAGCCTTATTTGCAAATGACATGTCCTTATACCTAGAAAAACCTGAAGACTGTATCCCTCAAAAATAACTGTTAGAACTGATAAATGGGTTCAATAAAGTTGCAGGACACAAAAATCAACATACAAAATTTAGTGGCATTTATATGCACCAGCGTCAAACAATCTGAAAAAAATAATCAAGAAGACGATCCCACTTACAATAGCTACAAAAAATATAAAATACATAAGAATCAATCTAACTAAAGACATGAAAGATCTATACAAGGAAAACTGCAAAACTCTGATGGAAGAAAGTGAAGAGGACATGGAAAATGGAAAGATATTTCATGCTCATGAATTGGAAAAATTAATAATGTTAAAATGACAATATACCAAAAGCATCTTACAGATTCAATGCAATCTCTATCAAAATGTCAGTGACATTCTTCACAAAAAACAGAAAAAAAAATCCTAAATGTATACATAACCACAAAATATCCCAAATAGCCAGCTCAATCCTGAGCAAAAAGAACAAAGCTGGGGGCATTACACCACCTGACTTCAATATTTACTATGAAGCTATAGTAACTGAAACAGCATGGTACTGGCATCAAAGCAGACATATAGACAATGGAACATACTAGAGAACTGAGATATAAACCCATGCATTTATAGCCAACTCATCTTTGACAAAGACACCAAGAACATACACTGAGGAAAGGATAATCTTTTCAATACATGGTGCTGGGATATGCAGAAGAATGAAATTAGACCATTATCCCTCATCACATACACAAATCAAATCAAAATTGATTAAAGACTGAAATCTAAGACCTGAAACTATGAAACTGCTGGAAGAAAACTTTGAGGAAATGTTCTAGCACATTGATCTGGTGAAAGATTTCTTTGTCTAAGATCTCAAAATCACAGACAACCAAAGCAAAAATATGATGAGATTACAGCAAGCTAAAAACCTTCTGCACAGCAAAGGAAACAGTCAACAAAACGAGAAGACAACTCGCAGAATGGGATAAAATATTTGCAAAGTATCTACCTGACAAGTGATTAATAACAGCCAGAATACATAAGGTGCTCGAAGAACTCAATAGCAAAGTAAACAAACAAAAATAATTCAGTTTTAAAATGGGCAAAAGATCTGAACAGACATTTCTCAAAAGAAGACATACAAATGATCAACAGGTATTTGAAAACAATGTTCAACATCACTAATCATCTGAGAAATGCAAATCAAAACCAAAATAAGATATCATCTCATCCCAGCTAAAATGACTTGTATCAAAAAGACAGGCAATAACAGATGCTGGTGAGGATGTCTAGACAGGCGAGCCCTCATCCACTGCTGGTGGGAATGTAAATTATTGCGGCCCCTAAAAAGAATAGCATGGAGGTTCCTCACAAAACTAAAGATAGAACTGCCATGTCATCCAGCAATTTTACTACTAGGTACACATCCAAAACAAAGGAAAGCAATATATTAAACAGAGTGCAGAGTCTCTGCACTCTCATGTTTAATGCAGCACTATTCAAAATAGCCAAAATTTGGAATCAACCTAAGTGTCCATCAACAGATGAATGGATTAAAAAATGTGTTATATGTACACAATGAAATATTATTCAGCCATAAAAAAGAGTAAAATCCTGTCGTTTGCAGCAACATGGGTGGAACTAGATACCATTATGTTCAGTGAAATGAGCCATGCACAGAGAGATACATATTGCATGATCTCACTTATATAAGCTAAAAAAGTAAATCTCATGAAGACAGAGAATAAAATGGTGGTTACCTAGATGCCAGGACGGGTAAGAAGGAGGGAGGGATAAAGGGGAAAATAATAATATAAATGTATTTATTATTATGGTACGTTTAAAACGGTAAAGATTGTAAATTTTATACATATATTGTACCTCAATTTTTTTAAAGTGTAAACAAAATTTCTATTTCTAAACTGGAAAAAAAATGTTGGATTTCTTTCTTTAATGTGAAGTTTTGTACTAGTGGGTTTACGTCTAAATGTTTGTCTCCATTCTCTTTTTTGATCTCATCTAGGGTTTTAAATCCAGCATTATACTAGTCATGACATCAATCCATTAGCTGTCAGGGTTCTCAATGATAGCTTTCAACATGATTTTCCCACTCAGTAAGTTTCTTAGAAAAATAACTTTAAATGTTATTCAGAGATAATAAATGTGGTCAGCAAATCTCTCTCTGGCCTTTGAATCTGTGAGTAATTTTTCTACTTTTTGTTTTGTTTCCAAATAAATGATCACCTAACCAGAAAAAATGGTCTTTGGGGGAGTAGGTTTTCTTCAATAACTTACAAATATTGTCCTCTTCAAGGATTTTATGATATAGGTTCTAAAAGTTGTAGTCATCCTAGGCTAGGCACGGTGGCTCATGCCTGTAATCCCAACACTTTGGGAGGCCGAGGTGGGTGGATCATTTGAGGTCAGGAGTTTGAAACCAGCCTGGTTAATATGGTGAAATCCCATCTCTACTAAAAAAAATACAAAAATTAGCTGGGCATGGTGGCAGGCAATGGTAGTCCCAACTACTCAGGAGAATGAGGTGGGAGACTCGCTTGAACCCGGTAGGCAGAGGTTGGAACGAGCCGAGATCGCGCCACTGCACTCCAGCCTGGGCAACAAGAGCAAAACTCTGTCTCAAAAAGAAAAAAAAAAAAAGAATAAAGGTTGTAGTCTGCAATATTTTGAATATTATCAGTTTATTTTTAGATTCACGTATCATCATTACATTGCATTGAAATAAAAGGTGGAAGCAAGTAACTGTGTTGGCTTGTTTACCAGTTTTTTTTTTTCTATTATTGGTCAGTATGTTTCTGGATGTGAACGTCTGATACCCAACCCGAACTAATTTAGTCAAGAAGATAATTTTTTTCCTATGTAACCACAAGAAAGGAAGAGGAGCAGTGGTATAGCTGGACTATTTTGCCCTCAACTCCTTATCATAGCTTCTTTCTAACACTGGCTCCATTATCTCTTCTGCAACCTGGCTTCCTCCACGTGGGTGCTCTAGGAATGCACCTTTGAGTCCCAATATCAACAAAGGAATGACACTCCTTCTCCTCCAAGTCCAGTTTGGCATATGCTGAGGGAGAGCTGTGATTGGTCTTGCTTGAGTCAGGTAGACACCAACACCACCTCTTATCACTGGGGTGAAGTGGTGTCTAAATGGTTGGCCCAGTTTGAGTTATGTGTGCACCTTCAGGCCTATCATCACTTGTGGTCAGGTGCATAGACTGGGAAGGAAAATCACATATTCTTAAGCCAAATGTTTGCAAAGGTGAAAGGAGCATTTCCCAAGGGAAAAAGTTGCTCCCTCAGAGAAAGGAGGAAGGCATTCTAGGCAGATAAAACAATTCCTATTCATTATAATAACTTTTAATCATTTGACACCACCTATTCAGAAATTCTCTTTATATCCAAGACAGATTATTATACACCATTCTCAAGTTTTGTCATTTTTAATGCTTTATTTTAATCCAATTATAGTTTGGGTTTGATTTCCTAGTCTATCCCATCAATTAACTTTTCAAGGTTAACAACAATAATCTTCTTTATAGACACTTTAAAAATAACTTTACAAAATCAAGAACTACAGCTATGCATAAAGTAATGTGAACATTTCTGGCCCGTTGTCCATTCACCCCATATCTTCAGCCAAGTGATATAACAGGTCAATGGGTATCTTTCTAACCCTTTTCCTAATCATATCCTAAGACACACAGACACACACACACACACACACAGAAATGTTTTTAAACAAAATATATGATACCTTGTATGGTATTCTATAGCTTTCTTTTTATTTATTTTAAAGTAGTCAATTTTATATATCAATATATATAGTATTCCCCACTTCTATTTAATGGTTACGTAGTAAGTATTCCATTTAATAAATACAACAGAATTTATTTAATCAGTTCCCTTTCCTTAGACACTTAAGCTGCTTCCAGTTGCATTCTTTTATTTTATTTATTTTTATTTTTTTGAGACAAAGTCTTACTTAGTTGTTCAAGCTGGAGTGCAGTGGTGTGATCACACTTCACTGAAACCTTGACCTCCCAGGGTCGATCCTCCCACCTCAGCCTCCTGAGTAGCTGGGACTACAGGTGCCCGCCACCAAGCCCAGCCAATTTTTAAAATTATTTGTAGAGATGAGGTCTTCCTATGTTGTCCAGGCTGGCTTTAAACTCCTGAGCATAAGCATTCCTTCCGCCTCGGCCTCCCAAACTGCTGGAATTATAGGCGTGAGCCACTGCACCCAGCCAAGTTGAATTATTTTAAAGCAAAAGATATATATGTTTCCAACAAGGGATATATGTGTTTCCAACAAGGGTGTATGTGTCCTTTTGTACATATCTCCGCACCCTCGCATCCTCGTGTAAGTACATTTAGAAAAACAATTCCTGGAAATGGATAGCTGGGTCAAAGAGTATGCCAGCAATAGTCCTAATCACTCTGTTAAATGGTTAATCATTATGTTACCACCTCTTTTATTCTAACCTGTCCTAGATTAATGACTGCTACAATTCCTCTCATTTATTTGCTAAAACATATTACCCATTCTTTAAATTTTGACTGTGATTGTTGGAGTCATTCCACTGTAGAAAAGTTAGAAGTTTCTCCTGAGCTCTTATAAAGTTGTTTTCTTGTACAAGAATAATTTTCCTGACTCCCTTTTTGCATATCTACTGCCAATTTTTGATACTGATGTTTTCATTTGTGTTCAATAGAAAAAGAAATCTCTGACCAATTACTCTGGCATTTGGTGATATCTTCAGTTAAGCATTTAAAAATATACTCCAAAACACCACCAACCTGAAATGTGTTATTCCATTTTCCAGAGACTCTAAGTTTTAGACTTAATCATCAAAAGTTTTTATATTTTATTTAAATGTTAGGCATGAAAATCAGTCTTAATAGATTCTATTGAGCATACCTGAATGTCTTCTTGGTTTCTCAAGACGATCATTAGGATGCCACTGTCATATATACATGATCTCAGAGAAGGTTTGCTCCTGCACTAAATGAACAAAAATGTCTTAAGTCCTTTGGTCAGCTTTGTACAGTTGGTTTTTAATTTCTCTCAACATGTCTCTTGATTGAGAGCTAACACACTGCTTGTTGTTTTCAGTAGACCTGTCTTTTCTTATCTCCTTTCTATGAGTAAATCATTTTATCAAGCTTATTTCCAATAAATAAACAAACAGATAAAAGGGACTCTAACAGACTTCCTGTGAGTAAAGTGGCTAAGCTTTATGTGGTTCATGGACTTTGTAACATTTATTTTGTCTGCTTGCTGGTTTATTTTGCTATTTTCTGATTCCTAGCTATGTTCTAGAAAGACTACATAGTTGAGTTTTGGATTAATAAGATATATATGTTAATTATAACACTTAGAGAATCAGGATCATATAGTACCCCAAATACAGATGTTTTTAAAAGTGCCAGAATATCAAAAGAAGATATAACTATATTCAAATATTAAAGCATCAAAGCATAATATACTTCCATGGTTCAAAATTTTAAAGGATACTTTGAAACACTTTTCTATCTGATCCTCCTCCCTCAAGGCAACCAATGTTATCACTTTCTTCTGTGTCTTTACAGAGGTAATTTTAAGCATATACGTCTGCATAAGCAAATGCATACAAGCACATTTTCTTTTTGTACAAATGGTAGTATATCGAACATATGTCCTATGCAGTACAGATCATTGTATATTTATACATAAGACATTCTTGGTTCTTGTTTCCTTTTTTAATAACTCCAGATTATTCCACCAAATGGAATACATACATTATTTCCCTGTACACAATATCTAAATGACAATTTCTAGAAGAGGAATTGCTAGGCCAAAGCGTAAAAGCATTTGTCACTTTAATATATATTACATAATTGCCCTTCATGCAGGCTATTACATTTTACACTACCTATTTTCACGCAGTGTACTATAAAACTTTTTGACATTTGCCAGTTTAATAACTGAAAATAGTATCTTAATATGGCTTTAATTTTTATTGTTCTCCTTATGAATGAAGATGAAAATATTCTCACATGTGCTTATCTTTTGCCCATTTTTCTGCTGAGTAGTTTTATTTTTTTCTTATAGGAGCTTTTTACACATGATGCAAACTAACCTTTTGTGATATGAGTTGAAATTGTTTTCTGGTGTTTTCGTGTGTCTGTTTACCTTGGGGTAGTATTAACCATAGCAAATTTTTAAAAAATTCTTCATAAAGTCAATCTTCTATGACATCTGTGTTTTAAGTCATCCTAAGAAAGGTCTTACCCATTTTTATAAACATTCTTTTATTTCTTATGTTAAATCTATGTTTTTTTTTTACATTTAAATATTTGACCCATTTTAAACAGCCTGGTATGACATAGGCAGTAATGGAATTAACTTTTGTTTTTTAGGTAGCTGCTAGTTTGTTTGACCATTTATTGAATAATTCATTTTTTCCCAATGATAGTACTGTTTACATTATAGCTATATAGTCTGTTTTACAGATGTAGTTATTCCTCATTATGCTTCTATTTCAGAATGTTTTTGAAAATTTTTTGCTTGTTTATTTTTCCATAATAAAAAGTTTAATCTAAGCTGGGCACGATGGCTCACATGTGTAATCCCAGCTATTCAGGCGGCTGAGGTGGGAGGATCACTTGAGTCCAGCAGTTCAAGTCTGTAGTGAGCTATGATCATGCCACTACACTCCAGCCTGGCTGACAGAGCAAGACTCTGTCTCTAAAAATATAAATGAATGAAATAATGCATGAATAAAATGTAATCTGCTTCTCTAGATTTAAAAAATACTATTGATTTTTAAATTGTGATTGTATCATTTTTATGGATACACTTAGAGGAGAATTGATATCTTTGTATTGTTTACTCCACCTTTCCATTTGCTCAAATCTACTTTTGTGTCTTTCAGGAGCATTTTTTTAAATGTCAATCTAGTTTAAATGTAAATCTTTACTTGTTAAGCTTATTCCTAATAATGTTATATTTCTTTGCTTTTGCTTTTGTAAATGAGGTTCTTTCCTTCCATTATATTTTCTAACTTAATGTGTTTTATATGTGAAGTCTTTTGACTCTCAATATAAATTTTGTGCCCAGCCACATTGGTTTTTTACTTTATTTTGTTGAGATTTCCAGATAAACAAATTATTTAAAATTCATGTTAATCTTTTTTTCTCCTCCTTTTTAACATCTTGGCCCTGCATTTTTTTTCTCTTGTCTAATTGCATAGGCTAACATGCCAGAAATTTTAATTAGTTTACATAGAGATGCAGTACATAAATTTAAATTGAAGATCTGTCATTACATAAGACAAAGGGTATGTGTGTTATTATTTATTTTAGATTGGTCCATCCTCTCACCAGGAGCTCAGGCAGCTGTTAAACTCTGGAAAGAGGGCCTAAAAAAGATAGGGGTATGGATAATGGAAGCCCTGCATAAATTCTAAGCAAAGTGGCAGAAAGCACTTTCTAACCCACCATCCTGCCTCGAGGGAGGGCAAAGACTGATGTTAATGTCTTTGCTGACCTCTTCTGGCAAATCTGAAGTTAGCCAGAAGATGGAAGATTTGATTGGTTATTTTTTTCACTTCGATTTCATATGATCACAAAGTCCCTGGGTTTGCCTGATTCGCCTGTTTGAAAAGATTTTTCAATATCCCAGAAGTTGTTTTTAAAGTCCACACTTTCTTTAACCTCTCAGTATTCTTCTTTTCTTCCTCCTCTTTTATAAAATATTCAAAGCTTTATCTCCCTTCCTTCTCTCACATTTTTGGCTGTTCAAATATCTCTTATCCACCATTATCTTCCCCAATTGACTTTATTTCTGAGCTCCAAATTCATGCAGTCCTTGGAAACAGGGCAAATAAATGGGAAGTCAGTTTGCATGTGAAAACTGATCAGCTTGGCTGGAACAGTTTCAGTGGACAGTGGCAAGGAGAATCCAACTTGCTGCGGATTAAAAAAAAATGCATGGGAAGTATGGAAATAATAACAGTGGGTATGTACTTGTATTTCAAAAGCTTTGCAGGAAAGGAGATATAAGATTGGATGGTAACGTAATGGTTAAACAAGGATAAGAAAAGGGCATTCGTTCATTCATTCACTCATTGTTTAGGGTGTGCAGTGGCCCTGCAAATGCCCCTCTCACATCTCTAACGACAGGGAGCATAGCTGACTGGCAGCCCTAGCTGCTATGCTCCAAAATCCTTCTCATGTCTTAGTTAGGTCATGCTTCCCACAGACTGCTCCTAGCTAATGACTGTGGCTGGCAGGGAGCCACTCAGGTAAGCAATGTAAACTCAAGAAGAACTCGGTGCACTTGTTGGACTTTGTTAGAGCTGCACTGCAATCGCAGACTCTTCCACTCAGTCTTCCCACCTTGACTCTCTCCTTCATAATGCTCACGCCCCCATCACTATCTGATGGCTCTCGCTGCCTTCCCAATGCCAGGCTTCTTCCTTCTTCTCCCTCTGTATTTTCCCAAAGAAATTGCTCAGACTTCTGATCCTGCTGGGTGTCTCCTTCTTGGAAGACTCAGCCTACCACAGAGTGGAATAGCCTGGAGCAGGTTTGTAGGGTAAGAGTAGAGGTGAGAAAAGAGTGCTTTACTTCCCATTTCTCAATTGCAGATTTCTTCCCAAATTTTCTAGTCTTTGTCTGTCTGCCAGACTGGTGTGCTGCTGTCTTGCTACACCTTCCCGTCTTTGCATTTTCCTGATGTGACCCTTTACCTTGTCCCAATTCTGAACTTTCTATCTAGCTTTCAACCTAGGTAGACCAAAGGCATCTGAGCAACATCGGTGTACTCCGAGGAAGGCAGCCATCTTCTCCTAGGGTTTTGTTTCGGCTGCTGAAATATTGCCCTCTTGTGGTTGCCTCTATAATGACATATGAAAATTAACATTTTCATATGTCATAGAATTTCAAGGCCACAAGAAATAGGCATTTAGTACCAAAATAATTTAAAGAAGTGCCAGACACAGATCTGTAAGACATTAAAAATGCCATGACAATCCATTGGCCTTTGTTTCACCAGCAACCCATGCTATAAAGAAAAAGAGTGTTTACTAGAGGGAGGAAATTCACGGGAGTAGAGTTTTATAGCTCCTTCTCCCACATGCCCTAGGCAAGGAAAGGCCGTCTCCAAGAGGCTTAGGTCCTTTACTTATCCTATAGAAGTTAGGTCTGTTTCTTAGCCACTTCCTGGTTGAACACAAAGTCCCAGAAGACCCACCCTGGTGCCCCTAGGGGAGTGACATGGTGAGAGAAACTCAGGAAGCAATGTAGCCAAACCCAGGTTCAGCTGCTCACTGCTCAAAAGCCCAGCATGAGACACGAATTGGTGGGAGGAAAAGCATGTTCATTCGGAGAGCCAGCAAACCGAGACGATGATGGAATTGCATCTTAAAGTACCATCTTAAGTCGGTACAAATTGTACCCTTTTTATGTTAATGCTGGAGGAGGAGGAGGGGGTTGGGATGGAGAGGTGACCAATGACCTCAGACATCCGGGCACCAGCGAGGGTCTGAGGAGGCGGGGAACTTTCTTGTCTTCGGTCAGGTCATGATGCTCCTATAAATCTTTAACAAAACTTCATGCAATTGTTTACATAAGTCTCCTTTAATCCCAGAGTTAGTTTTTAAAACTACATGATTGCCGTTTTTGCGTAATATCTCAGTGCTCTAAAATTATCCTAGCCTACATGCAGGCATGGGTAAAGGTCCCTGAAACAAAAATGGAGTTAGTTATGTTAGTTCTCTTGCTGTTTCACTGTTACAGCAATGAACACCTACCTTCAGAGTCTGAGAGAGCAAAGAGTCCTCTTGCCTTATTAGTGGGAAGTTATGATAGCAAGCTGGTATTCCTATCATTGATAGGGCAAAAGGGGCCACGTGGATGCCATGGGAATGATGAACCTTGGTGAAGGTTCCTGGCCCAAAAGTGGTACCTCCTCAAATGAGACCCCAGCACTGAGAGGCTGTAAGTTTAACAAGCACAGGAATTGAAGGGGATCACAAGGCAATGTGAAATGCAGGTGTTCCTACAAGGTATCTAAAGAATCCACAAATGCACCCAGTAAGAAAGATACCGTTTGGATGCTTGCCCCGCAAAAGGGCATCAGCAGCTAGGGATGGGACAAACAGCTCCAGGCAAGTGAAGAGACATCATCCCCTTCCCCTTGACCTCCTCTTCCCTGTCTTAATACCATAGGATCCAGGCAAAGATGGGGGATTGGAGTAGATGAGTAAGGAGGAGTGAAAAGAGCAAACCATTTCTGCTCTCCACCTGCAGGTCTCTAAATAGCCAGTCAGCTCTGATCAGTGGAAAAGAAGTTCTTTAAATTGGATTCAATATTGAAGTTCTAATATAGATTGAAAAGCACAGTTTAACACCTGATAATGGGTCTTCATGAACACTATGAAGGCATTTTTAAGCAAAGCAAGGAAAATTACAGGATCTGCCCTAAATGTGACAGGGGAAGGACAGGGAGATCTGATGGAGCCTGTTGGAGGCAAAGAGAGAGGGAAAAATAAGGTTTTGTCCTATTTCTATCCCATTGAATTTAGCACATTTAATAAATCGACTACACACACCTTAAAACGTCCTTACATAATACAGGATGAATGAAAAGGTTCTGCCAATGAAGTGAATTGAAGTATTGTCAGGGCCCTTTAAGGGAACCCTATATCTTATTCCTAGTTCATGTCACTCCTCTTTAGGGACAAGGATCTTCCAGTGCCTGGGGCTTCTCTAATTTTGTGGACGTCAAATTGTGTAACCCTTATAACCCTTACAGATTCCTGTATTCCCTAAGGCCACTCTTAAGGAGCTCATACAGGGAACAGACAGATTTCTTCTTCTCTTGATCTCAAAAAGCATTGCTCGTGATCGTTTTTGATACTTCAAGACTGCCATATTCTTTCGGATCTGGCCAATGCTGTGTACGTTCAGGAGCATGAAAAGCATATTGTTGCATTTCAACATCACATATAATTTTAAAACTAGTTAGTTACAATAAATTAATGGTTGCTTGGCAACCAAAGAGCTGAGGTTTTGAAAGGAAGTACTCTATTACTGTTCAAATTAGAACAGCAAGACTTGTTGAAATATTCTGAGTTCTGTTGAATTCCTTATGATGGAACCAAACCCAGGGAAAAACAAGGGAACACTCACATTTTACAGCTCAGTTAATTTTAGGAGAGTAGAGAGGAAGTAAATTGCATCTCATCTCCTAGCTTGGGTTGGAACTGCCCAATTTAAGAACAAGTACTAATTAGCTGAAAGTAAAGCTCAGCTGTGACTTGGCTAAAAATGGGACCTCTTGCAAAAATGTACTTAAAACTGCGTGTGATAGATCTGATTCACTTTGCATGTGAAAACTGGACTCATACTGACAAAACAACGTGTGGGGGAAAGAGTTTGGGAGCATTTTTAAGACTTCAAGATGTTTGTTAGAGAAATGACCATCTAGTTTGCCCATAATGTAACCAGAAATAAAATCCAAACTGACATTTTGGCCCAGAGTCTTGATGAGTATCTCTAGCCAACATTCACTTGGTTGGCTAATGGTCAATCTAATAACCAAGAAATAGAACTGGATATCAGAACAACAGTTTTGATAAAATAAAGGAAAGGAAGACAGGCTGGATAATTCGGAGCTTTCTAACAGGGTTTTGGAAATGTGCATAAAGTTTTGGAGAAAATTTAACCAATCGTTTTGAAGCCTTCCATTAGTAGCAACTCAAAACTATTCAAAAGACTGAATGGTGAATTAACTCATTTTATTTTGAAACTCCTCTGTGCTTAGCTTTTGACTGAATTTAAATTTCTGTTGGAGCAAGCTAAGTTGTTTTAATTTTGATGTTCAAGTCAATTAACCTCTTATTGTGACTTTTTGCCTTAGTTATACAAATAAAATTTTATATAATGTTGGAGACTCAATCATTTTGATGCTGACATTTCTTAATCCTACACATGGTCACATACCCTGGAAAGATATACAAGGCTCTGAAAACACAGCTGCCACGGGGAAGTGAGATTGGATGGCTGGGAAAGAGATTGCTTTTCATGTTATTTGTTTTCACGTGGTCCTATACTTGTGTACTTTTTGAACTTTATGCCATATGAATTTATTAATAATTTGACAAATCAATTTAAAACCAACTTTAAAATCAAATTTCAAATGCATGTGGTTCAAAGAAAAGCACCATGATAGAATTGAAAGAACAGGATCTGGAATTAGGGACCTGAATTTGAATCTCCTCTTGGCGTTTGTGTAGTTAGGAGAACTCGGGCAAGTTACCTGACATCTCTGAATCCCTGTTTTCCTTATCCTTAACGTGGGACAGAGTATTTAATTTACATGGTTTGGTGAGGACAAGGCAGGTAATATCTCTCTGACAGACCTACTTCATGGCATGTGCTCCATGGACTGGTTATATTATTGGTAGCATTCAATATATTCAGTAAAAACAGTATAATGTGTGCCTTCTGTAATCCCCAAGGAGACAGTAAATGTGTTGGTAACATCCCAGTTAAATGCGTACCTGAGAACAGGATTTTCCCAGACATAGCAACATGGGTTTACAGTTTTAACCATTTCACCAACCTCTGCCCCAGGCTCTTCTGGAGGGAATCAACACAGCATTGAATCCCTTTCAATTAACCTTTCTTCTTAAGATCATAGTTCTATCAAACTTTTAAAAATTAGTTAAATTGGCCAGGAGCGGTGGCTCACGCCAGTAATCCCAGCACTTTGGGAGGCCGAGGCGGGTGGATGACCTGAGGTCAGGAGTTCGAGACCAGCCTGGCCAACATGGCGAAACCCCATCTCTACTAAAATAAAAAAAATTAACAGGGCCTATTGGCAGTTGCCTGTAATCCCAGCTACTCAGAAGTCGGAGGCAGGAGAATAGCTTAAACCCGGGAGGCGGAGGTTGCAGTGAGCCAAGATCGCGCCACTGCACTCCAGCCTGAGCAACGAGAGCGAAACTTCGTCTCAAAAAAAAAAAATAGTTAAATTGTGTTTCCCTATTCATGGAAATCATTCTGCTATTATTCTCAGTGAGTGTCTTGGTTCGTGGGTCTCCCTCAAACCATTTTTTAAAATTTGATTTGCTTCAGAATGTCTCTTATTTTTGTTTCAAGTTTTCAAAAAATTGTCCCCGATATTTTCGATCTTTTGTGTTTTTTACTCTCCCCCTCACTCTGGCAATAAGCACAGGCTCTGCCCCCTTTCTCCCTTCATCCTCCGGGGAACAGGCTTTGCAGTCGGAGGCCTGAGCGCCCCGGTACCTCCGCTGCACTACGTAGAGCTGCCACCAGGTGGAGCTGAATCCACACCTCTGAGACCGCACACGCCTCTGACACTTGGCATCGTGGCCTCTCTGGGTCCTGATTCTTTGGAAGGTAGGCGGTAACAACAAACTGTTAATAAAAATTAATTAACTTGGAAAATGAGAAAAATACAATGATAGCAGAAACTATCTCAAGCAAAAATCATTTCATATAATCTCGTCGCTGTAATTAGCAGCATCCACGGAAGACGGTGGCTTCCTCTCATATAGATCCAGTTTAATACCCCAGGCTCAGCCCATTAGTCTCTCCTTCACCTCATTCGTTCTGCAGTGTGTTCCTCTGAGCGCCTCATAGTCACACATCTGCAGGCAGTGCACAATGCCTTTTGCACACGGTCGAGGTCCTTGAACTGAGTACTTTGTGCATGCTATTGGCCTGGAGATTACACAGGCTGCAGAACATGGCTGGCTTGGGAAAGGCAGCACACGGTGGCTACCAAACTCCTTCAGCGGCAGAATTCCCCTAACAAATTGTGAGAATCCCCCACTTGACGCTAAAAGTTATTAAATGGATCCTTTTTATCCCTTCGTTGAGAAAATTCATGCAATACAAAAATTGCAAAATCAGCAATACTCTTCAATGGGTGGGCATTTTCTTTGTAAGAGCATCAGCTGCATACGCTTGAATGTAGCCAGTATTATTTAGTCAGCGCATTGGCAGTGGTTTGTGAGCACCTCACAATAGTGGCTGGGAAACCTCAGGGTAGCTCTTTGGCATCAGCTAGAACCAAGTTGAAATACAATTTCTGTCACTTTCAAGATGTTTCTTAACCTCTGTGGCCCTCACGCTCTTCACCTGTAAAGTGGAGATAATAACCTTTTCTTAGCAAGGCTATTGTATTATAAATAATGTGTGTGATGGATGAAACTGGAGGTCATTATCTTAAGTGAAACAACCAAGACACAGAAAGACAAATACTGCATGTTCTCATTTATAATTGGGAGTTAAATGATGTGCTCACAGAGTGTGGAATAATAGACAATGAAAACTCAGAAGAGTGGGGAGGAAAAGAAGGATGGATGATGGGAAATTACTTAATAGGTACAATAAACATTACTTGAGAGATGGATACCCTAAAAGCCCTAACTACTATGCAATCTATGCATTTAACAAAATTATCTCCTAAATTTAATACAATTTTTTAAAAAAAGCAATAATGTATGCAATGTCTTCATCATGACGGCTGGAAGTATGTTGTCAGTAATGGTAGTCATTATTGCTAAAAGCTAAGTTTCACTCCTAAGCAGCTTTGCTGTTTCTGTGGTATTTAGAGTCTCTCCCATCCTTGCCTACTGGACCCCAGCTTTTCTGCCCTAGTGTCAGCCAGCTGAGCTAGTGTCCCCCGGAATTTGCATGCATGAACTCTCCCTAGCTCCACCAGCCCCTGCCTCTGTTCCTTGTTCCCCAGCCCTGACTTTGTGAATCTTCCTTTCACGGCCTCAAGTCGTCTCCAGTTCTGCTCTAAGCTGAATCATCCTTTCTAATGTATAGTCCTTTCTTCCTTACTCAGTCCCCAAGTCTCCTTCCATCTGTCTCTGTCCCTCCACACATTGAATGGTCTTCAGTTACCTTGATATCTACTCACATGTCTCTCCATCTTCCCCATCTCTCCAATTTCCCACTCAAATTTATATCAACACATCATACATTTATTTTAGCTCAAGGGAAAAAAATATAAATATAATCCATATAAATAAGACACTGGCCCATTTACATCATTAGACAAGTCATTCTTTCTAATTATTTTTTTCATCTGAAACTTCTTCTAACACCTTAATTTTGCACGCTGACTTTAGAAGTGTTTACTTGTATATTTCAACTCGTAACGCCGCATGGTCTACGCATACAGCTTATACTCTCGCTCCCCCCATCACACACAACATTCTAGAAGCATTACTCACCATAATACCACCTTTCTTTCTAGAAAGGCCCAAAAATCACTGCTGCAACATTTTTGATCTGGGCCTCTTCTCTCTTAACATGGCCTGGGTCTCGAGCTTTCTGCAAAGCAGCAGATCTTCGTACACACAGGGGAACAGAGCGGCAGTCAAAAGGCTTGATCAGGCAGCTGTCCGCTGCACTGTGGCCCCTGCCTCACCCCAGGTTTCTGCTTCTGTCGTGCCCAGCCTGCCCTTGGAAGGGCTGGGTAATCTTACTTTGAGTTTGTAGTCTTGCTTATAGATTAATGAACAGACTCCTTCATTTATCAACATTCACTTATTTATGTTTCCTTCCTTTCATATTTTAGTTACACTTTCTGCACCCTGGGAAATTCTTTTTAGGATCTGACTATGAATCTTCCTCTATTTCCATTGGTTCCCTGAGCAATCTAACCAACTTGCAATCTTTGTTACTGTTAATTTGCCTATGACATATAGATATATATATTATTATATACATATTCTTTCCCTTGCACCTTTTCCTATTACATATATATTTTTATGTGTATCATATATAACACATATATATGTATTATATCTATAATATATGTTATATATAATATCCTATGAAAATATATATGGATCATATATATATAATAGGAAAAGGCGTAAGGGAAGGGAAAATAATCCATATATGTTTTCTTGGTTGGGCGCAGTGGCTCACACCTGTATCCCAGCACTTTGGGAGGCTGAGGCAGGTGGATCACGAGGTCAGGAGTTCGAGACCAGTCTGGCCAACGTGGTGAAACCCCGTCTCTACTAACAACATAAAAATTAGCCGGGTGCAGTGGTGCATGCCTGTATTCCCAGCTACTTGGGAGGTTGAGGCAGGAGAATCACTTGAACCCAGGAGGCGGAGGTTGTGGTGAGCCGAGATTGCACCACTGCACTCCAGCCTGGGCAACAGGGCGAGACTCCAACTCAAAGAAAAAAAAAAGAATAGATATGTGTGTTCTTTCCCTTGCACTGTTTCCTCCCTAGTCTACCTTCTGTTTTGTCATTCAGCAGACCCAAGCTCAATTCCTAGCACGGACATGACTAACCATGTAACCAATGATTTATTGTCCAAATTCAAAGAAAAAAGAAATCCAAAGATCAAAGAAAAGTGTAGATGATCTCAGATGGCTCTTCCACCTCTGAAGCTTATGGCCAGATGTGAACCTGCTCCTTTAAATGTGAACCTCCTCCTTATGGCCGGATGTGAACCTGCTCCTTAAATGTGAACCTCCTCTTTATGGCCGGATGTGAACCTGCTCCTTAAATGTGAACCTGCTCCTTAAATGTGAACCTGCTCCTTATGGCCAGATGTGAACCTGCTCCTTTAAATGTGAACCTCCTCCTTATGGCCGGATGTGAACCTGCTCCTTAAATGTGAACCTGCTCCTTAAATGTGAACCTGCTCCTTATGGCCAGATGTGATCCTGCTCCTTTAAATGTGAACCTCCTCTTTATGGCCGGATGTGAACCTGCTCCTTAAATGTGAACCTGCTCCTTAAACGTGAACCTGCTCCTTATGGCCAGATGTGAACCTGCTCCTTTAAATGTGAACCTCCTCCTTATGGCCGGATGTGAACTTGCTCCTTAAATGTGAACCTGCTCCTTATGGCCAGATGTGAACCTGCTCCTGTATTTTTTATGTTCTTCATCTCCTAAGAAGTGGTCCCTCTCATAGTCACAGGAGTGGATACCTGACCTAAGCTCATACAACTCAGAATGGGTAGAGCTGAGACTTGGGCCTAAGTCTGGCTGTAAATTCCATGTTTTTCCACGAATTGTTTTCCAATGATGAGACGAAATTCAGGGGAAAGAATCTGGGCCTCTGAGAAAGCTACTCTTCTGCACTTATAGCCTCTCCAGAGTAGTTTTCTGATCAAATTTTAAAGTGTTCTGGGAGGCTTCAGGAAAGTAGCTCATCCGTGAGAAAGAAAGAAAATAACCTGGCAGAAGCTGGTTACCTTCTGAAATCCCAACTCCTGAGCGGGGAGTTCTTGCTTGTAAGATCGCTTTCTGAATGTCCTCATGGTTGACTTAACATCAGCTGAGTCTTCTATGAAATGTCTATTTAACGTGACTAGAAATGCATGCCAAGAGATTAACGCTGAGCGGGGCCAAGTCCCAGCTGAAAACGGGTGTAAGACGCAGGGGACCCAAGATTTTCTGCCTGATGATACTTACTTTTCTTTCAAACATGAAATAAAACATACCCCCCACAGGGGATCCACCCTTCTTTTGCTCCCCCATCTAATTAGAAAGATTGACTTGTCTAATGATATAAATTGGCCAGTATCTTCTTTATATGGATTATCTTTATAATTTTTCCCTTGAGTTAAAATAAATGTATGATGTGTTGATATAAATTGGAGTGGGAAATTGGAGAGATGAGGAAGATGGAGAGAGTTATGAGTAGATATCTATCTAAGTTACTTATTTCCCCCTCCAGGCCCAGTTGGCTGTTCCTCCTCTGTGCTGCCATGCTCCCCTGCACACTCCTCTGTGGGGTGCTTGTGACCATGTGCTGTTCACTGACTCGTCCCTCTCCGTCACTGTACTGAGCTCTTGGATGGATGAGCTGGATTTCATCTCTGAGTTCTCAGTGCCTAGCATAAGGCCTGATGCTGAATGAGTATTCATTCAGAGTGTGTATGTGCGTGTGTGCGTGTGTGTGTGAGAGAGAGAGAGGAAGAAGGAGAGGGAGAATGGGGGGTGGAAGTGAAGGGGAAAAGAGAAAAGTAAAAAGGGGAAAAGGGAGAAGAAAAGAAGTAAAAAATGAAGGAACGAGGCCAGGCGCAGTGGCTCATGCCTGTAATCCCAGCACTTTGAGAGGCCACGGTGGGTGGAACACCTGAGGTCAGGAGTTCGAGACCAGCCTGGCCAACATGGTAAAACCCTGTCTTTACTAAAAATACAAAAAGTAGCCGGTCATGGTGGTGGGTGCCTATAATCCCAGCTACTCAGGAGACTGAGGCAGGAGAATAGCTTGAATCCAGGAGGCAGAGGTTGCAGTGAGCCGAGATCATGCCATTGAACTCCAGCCTGGGTGACAGAGTGAGACTCAGTCTCAAAAAAAAGAGGGAACGACTGTGAGATACGTCTGGATCAGCACTTCATTCCTTACCTGACTCCTGTAGATTTCTCTAATAAGAGGCCCATTCATGGTGCTTTGGATCTCTGGGAATAAGTTTTAACTCACATATTACTCTATACCACAGCCCTCGACATATCTGAATATTCCTCTGTCTCCAGTGATGGTTACTCATGTAGATGGCTGTAGGGGAAAAATCGGGGAACTGCTACTAGACATACTTGTCATGGTGTCGCAGGGCCCTACCTCTGGTGCCTCAGATTCCTTTTCGTTTGATAGATCGTGGGTCTGTGGACTAGCTCAAATCTGGAGATTTGGCAAAGGATCCTGACTTTCCAGTGGGGTGACTGTCCTTAGCCTTTTTCTTCTACATTCTTGATCTCTTTCAGTTATGTATATTCAGCAGAACTCTTGTTAGCTGCCCACACAGCCTGCCTCAAGAACACTATGTTCTGTGAGCCATCTCCAAAGATCCCTGCAATTCAGCCTGCTCCTATCTACCAGTTCAACCTTTCTGCCCAATAGGGTAAGTCCACCCGCTTTGCATCTGACAGTTAAGCACTGCCACCTGGCCTCTGCTGTTCTAGTTATCCATGTCCCCTTGCTACTAGAGAACTCAGTTCTGTAACAGCAGCTCCTAACATAATCCACCCCAGCTAATACTTTCTTTTACAGCACATTCTTTTTAATCATCTTGCTAGGCAGAGTGTCCTCCAGGTCTCCTTGGGAACATGATCAGCCGATAGGCTTTTCGGTCTTACATAGTAGATCCATTATAGCATTTCCACTCTTCTAAGCCTTTTGATCCTTTCCTTTATCGTCTTCCAAGGCAATTTTTGGCATCTCCGCTTAATTTAATGAAGGATGTTACTTTTTCCAAGCTTCCATGAGTCAGCAAATAGCATATATTTGACTCATTTTCCAAGCTCCTTGCCAGCGTATTAAATCCTGCATGATGGGAGAGTGGCTTCATGTTAACAAACTCTTCCTTATCCAGCTTTATCTTCCAGTCACCCCCTGGATCCACTGGCCTCTGGATCCACCCACAGGCATCTCTCCTAGTACCTGCTAGTGCACATTGGCCCATTCTTGCAGGAGCTCTGGGGTACAAAATCTCTTTTCTGTGAGCAGCCTCAGATCTTCCCCAGCTTATGTTGATATTTAACCCTGTGTATGAATCGGGTAGAAGGAGAAGAGGAGGGAGCAGTTTCTGAGGAAGACAAGCATCGTCTCGTAAGGCACCAACTTTATTTGAACTCTTTGCATATTCCTAAAGTAAGAGAGGGTGCCATATCTTCCAATAAGGGAATGAGATATTTCTGCAGCCCAAGGGAGTTCAGAGAAATCTGGGTGTTCAAAGTTCTCAACTGCATTTATCTAGAAATCTTTACACCAAGACTGAGTCCCACTCATTCCCTATCATGAGCCAGTCTTTGCTACAGGAGATTTGGTTAGACTGAATGAATCTTCTTTGAAATTCTGTTACTTTTACAGTTCAATTCTGAGTCTTCTCTTCACTTTGTCAGCCCTTTGACTGCAGGGAGTGTCTCTTTAATTGCTGCCAAAGAAGCTTTCTGACTCTCATACCTTTAAGTAGAGCTGAGCGTGTCATTTTCTCTCCTCAACAATGTTGGGGCACTTAGCAAACATTGACTGAATTCCACAGTCCTTATAGTTACTGTTTTCCTTGAACCTTTCAAATACTGGTGCAAAGAGGAGAAAATCTTAACAACTGCATTCACTCCATCATCTCATTGCTCTGGGGTCTATCAGTACCTCCGCTGATGCAGTTCTCTCTGACATCTGCCAGCAAGTGACCCACCTCCAGATTGTCTGCTTTTAGAACCACTTCCAAGAGACTTGGATTGGGCTCCCTAGGAGCGGAGCCTGAGACAGGGATTCCTGTGGAAGTGACATATGGTAGAAATGCTGTCTGGGAAAAGGGAGGAAGGCAAGCAGGATAAGCCAAGGGCAGAGAGCTAACCCGGGATATGGTTTCAGCCACATCCCATAGGACCTCCATAGAGGTGATCTTGTGATGAAACCAGTGGAATGGCTTTTTGTATCTCTCTGTCAGGCAGTCTGCCTCGGGCTGTGGGGATTTTTTGGGGAGGGGTAGAGTATAAATTTGCATGAGGTGGTTTCTGTTCAGCCTACTGTGATTCCCTGAAGGGGAGGTTGTAAGCATTTTTAGAAGACAATTCTCACAGTAGCAGGGGGGTGGGTGTTAGAGTGTGAGTGTGGGGCAGAGAAGCATCAACAGCTCCCAATTCCATGACATGTTCCAAAAAGTCACCTAAGAGAAGACAGAACTTTTTGATATTTAGGGAGAGAAAAGTCTAATACACAAACGGATTTGGCTTAAGCAACTGGACAGAAGATCCCAACATCAAGGAAATGTCAAAGCTATAGATAAATTGTGTGTTTGCATGTATAGGGTTAGATCCCTGGTTAATTCTCATTAAATTATAAGTTTTTGTTGTCCTCAGGACTGCTGCTAACATCCCATTCTCAAAAAGTGAACAGGAGGCAAAAATAAAAGTTAAAGAAAAAAGCTTTATCCCCTTTACCCTAATTCTGGAAAAGAGCATCCAAGTATTTATGTAATGGTGAAGAAGAGAAAACAAATTTAAAATCTGGTCATTTCTCTAAGAATGGTATTTAGTGTTAACCATATGAAAGAAATTGCCAGTAAATCTAGGGAAAAAGGGTATATGTATGTATGTATGGGTGATTTTGTGGAAAACTGTTCAAAACAGTTTTGAACCGTGCAGGTTCATGGCCTTCAGAACAATAAAAAATAAATTCAGGAGAAAAAGTTGCAAACAAATTGTTTTACCAAGACCACATGGTCCAGGCATACTGGAAATAATGACCAAGAGATGAAGAATTATCCCTCATACAAATATCTATCTGGTTAGGCCAAAGAGAGAACAACATCAAAAACAGCTGTGATAACACTGTGAAGATTTCAAAATATCTCACAAATTTAAAGTATTCTACTGGTTATTGTTTCTGTGTTAAACCCAATGTGTATACCCAATCTAAATACCCTGAGCCCAAGATAACAGCAATGCATGACTAAAGGAATGTGTAGCATATGGTTCACTAAAGACCACCAAACATCTCGACCTCCCAACCAGATTAACTGAACCCCTCAGACTTCAAGCTCAACCGAAGAAGAGGTTTGTTCATGTCCAGATTTTAAGTGTTTTTCTTAAATAACTGTTTTCACAATTATCCTTGTTTATCTGGCCAGACAGTCTGCAGAGCTTCCCTGTCAATCATAGTTGCTTTAAATCTGCTCACCAATAGTTACAATGTCTGGATCAGCTCTGCATTGAGTTCTGTTGTTTTTTTCTCTTGAGAATGAATTGTTTCCTTGTCTCAAATTTTTTTAAAAAAGGCTGTAAATTGTATGTAGAACAGCTGAAAAACAATCCATTTTCAAGAGTAAAAAACAATGGAACTCAATGCAGAGCTGATCCAGACATTGGAATGATCGGTGAGTAGCTTTAACACAACTATGATTGACAAGGAAGCTCTGCAGACTGCCAGGCCAGTTAAACAAGCATAATTGGTGAAAAAAAGCATTTAAGAAAAGCACTTCAAGTCTCTGGAAATTGTACTGAGAGCATACAGCAAACAAAGAAAACATTTACTTAAGAAAATCTATCAAAGCTTGGTCAGAAGAGTGAGAGTCTATGATATTTGAACTACAACCCACTACCTTCCTCCCACCTCCCAGCTCATTACGATAGGAAATCCACTCCAGGCACGTGCAGCCAAGAGCACTGGGCTTCTTTACTATCAGCTCCCAGTCAAGGGCTCTGGTATCTTCCCAGAAGGGGTAGGTAGCCAAGCATTGCTCATCCCTCTCTTTTCCATGTACACATTGCAGAAATTAATTTCCAGGAGAGGAAAGACGAGAGGTCAGAGACTTCCTGCTATTACCCAGTCCTCACTCATAGGGCAGGGGACCTGGCTCGAGAGAAGCATGCTGAGGATGCTAGGATCCCACTCATCCTCACTCACAGAGTAGAAGCTCTACACCAGAAAAGGCAAAGCAGGAAGTGCAAAGCTGCTACCCCTGTCTGCCACCCTGAAACTAAAGCAGAGTTGTCACTTAGTGAGAGCTGCACCACCATCCTCACCCCCAGCTCAAGAGCTATGGCTCAGATATTTTGCTCAGGGGAAGAGCCAGGCCATAAAACAGAAAGCTCTGAAAGAATTCACTTTGTTTGAAAGAGAGGGTAGGAAAGTTCAAGTCCAACGAAACTCTCAAAAACAATGAAGGTTTTAGTGGAAGGCAAAGAAGAAGGCTGATACATTCATGAGAGGTAAGAAATAAATTATAGACCAGATAGATTAACTGGGAGACCCTGAGAAAGAGAGAGCTAAGAAATCTGACCTCAAAGCCACTGCTATAAAGGAATCCAAACTTAATTGTATCAGACTATGGAACAATTTACAACCCAGGCATTATCAAAAATAATAGGACCATCAGCTGGCAATTAGTGGAGCCTAACAATTGTGTGTGATCAGTGTGACAGTCAAAGAATCCCTATTAAAATCACTATTACTTCAGGATCTGCATACATAACCAAGACTGCACCCTCTAAGAGCAATGCTAGAGAGTACACACAGCCAGGGAAATAGTCATGTATCACTTAATGGCGGGAATACATTTTGAGAAATGCATTGTTTAGTGATTTTGTCATTGTATGAAAATCATGAAATGTACTTCAACAAACCTAGATGGTACAGGCTAGATGGTATAGCCTAGTGCTCTTAGGCTACAAACCTGTACAGCATATTACTATACTGAATACTCTAGGCAATTGTGACAGTGGCAAGCATTTCTGTATCTCAACATAGAAAATATATGTTAAAAATACAGTATAAAAGATAAAAAATAGTACACTTACCATAAACAGAGCGTGCAGGACTAGAAGCTGTTCTGGGTGAGTCAGTGAGAAATGATAGGTAAATGTGTTGACCTGGGGCATTGCTGTACACTGCCTGCTGTAGACTTCATAAACACTGTGCACTTAAACAACACTACAGTTTCTTTCTGAAATAATAAATAAACCTCAGCATATTGTAACTTTTTTACTCTATAAACTTTTTTTAACTTTTGGACTCTTTTATAATAACACTTAGCTTAAAACACAAACACATTTTACAGCTGTACAAAAATACTTTCTTTCTTTAGATCCTTATTTTATAAGCTTTTTTCTATTCTTAATTTATTTTTTACTTTTTAAACTTAAAAAAGAAAAACGAAGACACAAACACACACATTAGCCTAGGCCTACAAATGGTCATGATCATCAGTGTCACTGTCTTCTACCTCCACATCTTGTCCCAATGGAAAGTAGTCAGTGGCAATAAAAAGCATAGAGCTGTCATTTCCTATGATAACAGTGCCTTCTTCTGGCATAACCTCTTGAAGGATCTGTCTGGGACTGTTTTATAGTTAACACCTTTTTTGTAAGTAGAATGAGTATATTTTAAAATAATGATAAAAAGCATAGTATAGTAAATACATAAATTAGTAAAATTAGTATTATTGCCAAGTATTATGTACTGTGCTATACTTCTAACTCTATGTGCTATACTTTTATACAACCACAGCATGGTATGCTTGTTTGTTTATACCAACATCACCACAAACACATGAGAAACGTGATGTGCTATGATGTTACAACAGCTACCATGTCATTAGGTGATAGGAGTTGTTCAGCTCCATTATAATCTTATAGAACCACCATCTTACATGCAGTCCATCATTGACTGATATATTGTTATATAGTGCATGACTATAAACAAATTGATAACCAAATTACAATAATAATCCCCTGGAAGTGAGATAACAGTATCCATAGTGATACAATATAATATCTAAAATGTGTAGTTTTCAACAAAAAATTACAAGATATGCAAAGAAACAGGAAAGTGTGACTCATACACAGGAGGAAAAGCTAACAATAGAAACTGTATGTGAGAGGGACCAGATGGCATATTTAACATTTAAATTCAAAGTAGACATTATAAATATGTTCAGAGAATTAAAGGAAATGATTTTATTTAAAAAGTAAAGAAAAGTATGATGATAATGTTTCTCTGAGTAGAGAATATCAACAAAAATATCAAAATGATAAAAATGGCCACATGGAGATTCTAGAGTCTGAAAGTACAATAAGTAAAAAATTAACCAGAGGAGCACAACTGTATTTTGTAACTAATGGAAGAAATAATGATTAAACTTCAAGATAGGTCAATAGAAATCACGCAATCCAAAGATCAGAGACAAAAAAGAAATACAGAAAAATGAAAAAGTGTCAGAGAAATATGGGATACCACTAAGTGTACCAATATACATGTAATGGAAGTACCAGAAGGATAGGAGAGATACAGAAGAACGTAAAAAATATTTGAAGAAATCATGGTTGAAAACTTCTCAAATTCGATGAAAAATATTAATCTACTCACCCACAAAGGTCAATAGACTTCTAGTAGAATAAACACAAAGAGATCTACAGTAGACAAATAATAGTAAAATCTCTGAGAAACAAGGAAAAAAATCTTCAAAGCAACAAGAGAAAGTGTCTTCTCACATCTAATGGAACATCTCACATCTAATGGAATCAGTAAGATTAACAGCTGACTTCTCATCAGAAACAGTTGAGACCAGAAGGGAACAGGATGACATATTCCAAGTGGTGAAAGAAAAAACAAGGTCAACCACAAATCCTATAGCTGGCAAAATTATCTTTCAAAAATTAAGGCAGAAGAAAGAAATTCTGAGATAAACTAAATGAGAGAATTTGTTGCTAGCAGACCAAACTTACAAGAAATACTAAAGGAATTTCTGCAGACTAAAAGCAAGTGACATCAGACAGTGTTTATAATCCACATAAATAAAATAAAAAGCATTGATAAAAGTAAGTTTTTATGGTAAGTAATTATAAGGAATATATAGTAAGTAATTATAAAAGAAAGCATAAATGCATGTTTATTCTCTTCTTTTAACTAGTTTAAAAAAACAGTTACATAAGACAATAAGTATATACCTTATTTGTGAATGGAAAACATAAAGAAATGTAATAGATTTACCAAAAATAGCACAAAAGAGTTAGCTAGGAGCAGAACAGTTTTGGAGTAATGAAATGAGATCAGATGTAAATGTGAATCTGAGAAACAAATGAAGATAACCAGAAAAAATAAATAAGGTTAACATTACAAATGCTAGAAATATGCAAACGTTCTCCTTTCTTCTCCCATCTCCTTTAAAATTATAAGTAACAATTATAACAATATATTGTTAAGTTTGTAAGTAGGTGAACTATGTATTACAACAATAACAGAACAAAAGGAGGAAAAAGAGAATAGAGCTATATAGGAGTAATGCTCCTATATCTCACTGGCATTGTTAGTATAAATCTGAAGCCAATCTGATAAGATATATATGTTAAGCTCTAGAGCATTCATTTAAAATACAATTTAAAAATCAACAAAGGATTTAAAATGTTATACAGTGATCCCTCAGTATCTGTGGGTGCTTGGTTTCAAACCAAGGTTCCAAAAGAGGAACCCCACAGATACAAAAATTCACAGATGCTCAAGTTCTTTATATAAAATTGTATACTATTTGCATATAACCTACATACATCATCCTGTATACATTAAATCATTTTAGATTACTTATAATACCTAATACAAGGTAAATAGTTGTTATTCTATATTGTTTAGGAAATCATGATTTTTAAAAAGCATGTACATGTTCAGTACATACACAACCAACCTTTTTTTCCCAAATATTTTTTATCTGCAGTTGGTTGAATCCAAGATGAAGAATCCATGGATATGAAGGGTTGACTGCCATAGAAAAAATATTCACTTAATGCAAACATAATATGTGTAATGAAAACGTTAAATGATGTTGTTGAAAAGGTGGACAACATGCATAAACAAGAAAAGGTTTCTGATAGACAGCTTAAAACTATAAGAAAGAATATAATGGAAATGTTATAAATAAAACCACGATATGGGAGATGAGGAATTATTTTCACAGGTTCATTGGTAGATTCAACATAGCTGAAGAAAGAATTAACAAACTTAAAAATAGGCCACAGTGTATGCATAGTACAAGTTTCCTAGGTTTCCTACTGCTATGGTTTGCACGTCCCTTTCAAAACTCATGTTGAACTTTGGTGGCCATTGTAATAGTGTTGAGAGGTGGAACTTTTAAGAGGTAATTAGGTTATGAGGGTTATGCTCTCAGGGATAAATTAATGTCATTATTGGGGGAGTGGATTCATTTTCATGAGCATGAATAAATTCGTGTGAGGGCAAGAGAGTTCAGCCTCTCTTGCTCTCTCTCCCTCTTGCATTTCTGCCTTCCACCATGGAATGACACAGCATGCAGGCCCTTGGCAATGCCAGCACCATGCCTTTGAACTTCTCAGCCTCTGAAATCATGAGCCAAATAAACTTCTTTTCTTTATAAATTACTTAGCCTGTGCTAGTCTAACAACAAAAAACAGATTAAGATAGAAAATGTGCACCAAGAGTGGGGCTTTTGCTATAACAAATACCTGAATATGTGGAAGTGGCTTTTAGCTGGGTAATGAGCAGAGGTTGGAGGAATTTAGAAGAGCAGGCTAGAAGAATCCTAGACTACCATAAATTGAACACTAAGGGAAATTCTGGTAAGAACTCAGAAGAAAAGAAGAAATGTAGAAAAATCTGAAACTTTTAAAAGATTACTTAGGTGGTCGTGATAAGAATATTGATAGAAATATGAAAAGTAATGGCCATTTTGATGAAAGCTGAGACAGAAAAGAGGAATGTCCATCCTTTTTTTAAAGTAAAGGCCATTCTTTTTATGAGGTGGCAAGGAACTTAACTGAATTGTGCCTGTGTTAGTCTGTTCTCACATTACTATAAAGAAATACCTGAGACTGGGACATTTATCAAAAAAAAAGAGGTTTAATTGGCTCATGATTCTATAGGCTGTACAAGAAGCATAGTGGCTTCTGCTTTTCAGGAGGCCTCTAGAAGCTTCTAATCATGGCTGAAGGCAAAGGAGATGCAGGCTTCTTACATGGCAGGGGCAGGAGCAAGAGAGAGAAGGGAGGTGCTACACACTTTTTAAATGGCCATGTCTCATGAGAACTCATTCACGATCTATCTCAAGGACAGTGCCAAGGGGAATGGTTCTAAACCATTCATGAGAAATTTGCACCCATGGTTCAATCACTTCCCACCAGGCCCCACCTCCAATACTGGGGATTACAATTAGACATAAGGTTTGGGCAGGGACACAGATTAAAATTACATCTGTGTCCATGCCCATGGGTTTTATGGAAGGTAGAATTTAAGAGTGATGAATAAGACTATCTGGTGGAAGAAATTTCTAAGCAAAATATTGAAGGATCTGCAAGGCTACTTTTAACCATATGCAGTAAAATGTAAGAGAAAAGAAATAAAGATGAAATCTATAACCAAAAAAAAAAAGCAGAATGAAAAGATTTTGAAAATTTTCAGCCTGCCCACATAAAGAATGAAAATGTGTGTTTAAGAGAACAGACCAAGGGTGTGACCAAGTGACCATTTGCTAATGAGATTAGTATAAATAGAAGGGCTCATCAAGACAATGGGCATTTCAGAGATCTTTGAGGCTGCTCATCCCATTACAGGCCTAGAGATCTAGGAGGGCAGAATAGCTTTGGGGAATGGGCACAGGGTACGCTTCACAGGCCACCTGGAGTTGCTGCTCCCTGCATTCCTGGACAGTGTTCTTTGGCTGCTCATGGTGTGGTTCAAGTAACCCCAGGTGTGGCTTGACCTACCACTCTGGAAGGAAGGTACAAATGGTAGACTTTGGTGGCATCCATTTGGTGTTAATTCTACAGGCATGCACAGTGGAAGAGCTACAGAGGCATGACTTCCTCTACCTAGATTTCAAAGGATGCCATGTGAAGCCTGTGGGCTCAGGCAGAAACTTGCTGCAGGAGCAGAGTCACCACAGAAAGTCTTCACCAGGGGATGCCTAGTGAAGCCATGGGAGCAGAAATGCCCCTGACACTCAAGAACTGCAGAGCTACTAGTGTGCAATGCCAGCCTGGGAGAACTGCAGGCACTAGACTCTAACCTGTGAGAGCTGCTGAGAGGACTGACCACAGCAAAGGCTTGAGGGCTCAACCCCAACCCCAGCATGCCCAGGATGTGGGACATGGAGTCAAAGGAGATTATTTTCCAGCTTAAAGACTTAATGTTGTTTTCCCTATTGGGTTTTAGACTTACTTGGGACCAGTCAACTCTTTTTTCTTGCCTATTTCTTTCTTTTGGAATGGAAATGTCTATTCTATGCCTGTCTTACATCATATTTTAGAAAGATGTAACATTAATTCACAAGCTCACAGATGAAGAGAAATTTTCCTTGGGGTAAATCGTGCCTTGAGTCTCACCCATATCTGACTTAGATGAGACACTTGTCTTTGGACTTTTTTTTTTTTTTTTTTTTTTTTTTGAGACGGAGTCTCGCTCTGTCGCCCAGGCTGGAGTGCAGTGGCGCGATCTCGGCTCACTGCAAGCTCCGCCTCCCGGGTTCACGCCATTCTCCTGCCTCAGCCTCCCGAGTAGCTGGGACTACAGGCGCCCGCTACCACGCCCGGCTAATTTTTTTTTGTATTTTTAGTAGAGACGGGGTTTCACCGTGTTAGCCAGGATGGTCTCGATCTGCTGACCTCGTGATCCGCCCGCCTCGGCCTCCCAAAGTGCTGGGATTACAGGCGTGAGCCACCGCGCCCGGCCGTCTTTGGACTTTTGAGTTGATGCTGGAATCAGTTAAGACATTTAGCAGCTATGGGGAAGGGATGAATGTATTTTGTATGTGAGAAGGACACTACTTTTGGAGAATGAGGGGTGAAGTGCTATGACATGAACGTCCCCTCCAAAACTCATGTTGAAATTTAATTACCATTGTGACATTGTTGAGAGGTAAGACCTTTAAGAGGCGATTAAGTCATGAGGGATATCCCCTCATGAATGAATTAGTGTTGTTTTCACAGGAGTGAGTTTGTTATTCTGAGAGTGGATTTGTTATGAAAATGAGTTTGGCCCTCTCTTGCCCTCTCACTCTGGCCCTCTCTTGCCCTTCCACCTTCTGCCATAGGATGACACAGCACCAAGGCCCTTGTCAGATGCCGGTGTTATGCTCTTGAATCATAAGCCAAATAAATTTTCAGTGTCCAGAATCATAAGCCAAGTATGTTTATTTTCTTTGCAAATAATCCAGGCTGGTATTATTTATATTCTGTTATAGCAATGCAAAATGGACTACCACTATCTTATTATGACTATACTAGAACCTAATTATAGACATCTACTATCTAATTATTTGGATCTTATATCTTATATTTCTACCAGAAGTTGGTTTTTTAAAAACCCTATTCGCCAGCATTCAGATCAATACTTAGTATTCTCAGAGTTTTATGTTTTTCCAATCTGATGGATGTGATACAGTGGATGGCTAAGTAAACTTTGGCAAGTTATTTAAATTCTCTGAGCTTCTATTGTCTCATCTCTTAAAGGATACTTCTCTGGATTAATGAATTAGAAAAAAGGTATTCTTTCTGGTCAGAACAGATCCTCATTTACTGGGCTTGGAAACCATGGGCACCTTTGTTTAAGCAAAAGTCTCCCCTTTCTCCAGCCAATGCAGTGCCACCAGAGTCCATTGGTTGGCTTGCAGAGCATGGGCTGGCTGAATTTAAAGCTCATTCCCCACCTTGTCTGGTACTTTAATGCAATGCAAACTACCCAAACATACATGACGGTTATCACTCCTCACAGGACAAGACAACCTGGCATCCTCACACAGTACTCTTCAAAATTCTCAGTAGCCTCATCATCCCACTGCTGAACAGCTCAATTTTCTCACTTACTTTAGGGCTGGTAGAATCTGCTGATTGTTGTTGTTTAGGTAAACTTCTTCCTTATAAGGACTTCTTCCAATATTATGTGAAATTCCAACAGTTACACTACCAAACAGCCAATCCCTATAATTTCTAGAAAGCCGGGAGTCAAAAGAATGGCCTCTTATTTTTAAAAAATTCTGCCCACAGAGAAGATACACATGATGGTACTGAGACTGTTGGATTTGAGAGACGGAGAATCAAAAGACATTATAAAGTTTGAAGTCTAGATCTGGATACAGTCTGAACAGACATAGTTGTGTTTAACAGCCATAAAATACAGGATGCTCTCTAGAATTAGTCATTTAGTTCTTATTTGCCCCTGTCCCTATACTCACCACAAAGAAGGGCAGTGAAAGGAATATGCTGAAGCTTAACAAAAATAAATTTTCCTCCATTTTTATCCTCAAATATTTTTATCTTCTTTACACCACAAATATCTCCTGAATGAGAAGCATTCCAATCCTCATATCGCCATTCTAGACTGGTTCTGTGACAAAACGTAAACAGTGTTACACTTCCTTTCCAGTATCAATGGGGCAGAGAGAAAGAGCTTTAGGATATCTAAAATGCATATGGCCATCTTGCCAAAAAATTGCACAAAAATATAGGGAAGAACTTAGCAACAGGTGATGAAGGACCAAAGTGAGCATCTCTACCTTTCTACTCTGATTAGGACACCTTTCTCAGTACACCTCCCTCCACACTTCCTCCCTTCCCCAGAAAATACATTTTCAGAGATGGACTATGAGGAAATGAGTTGGGCTAATAGAATTCTTACAAAAATGTCTGCATTTCCTTTCTCTAGTCCCCCCCAAATCACAAGAATATGTTCAACAGTGGAAACAGGCAGGAACTAAGGCTATGAGAGTCTCCTGGACAGACAATGGATTTCATTATTACCAGCCTAATCTACTTCCATGGTGTGATGGCGAATTGTACACACTCTTTGACTTTTGTAATGAGAGGATAAGAGAAAAGAGGAGTTAGAATTTTCTAGGTGACTTAATAATTAACCCTGAGGCTTGGACCACCTAAAACTGACTTACAGAACAGCTAATCTTTCAGGAGTTGACAGCAGCGTTTCATCCCATCTCGGAGGGCCTCTTTGACTTTGTCATTCCGAAGAGTAAAGATGAAAGGATTCAGGAAGGGGGTTAACACAGAAACCAACAGGGAAACTATCTTATTGTACTCAACTCCCTGTGTTTGCTTGGGTTTCACGTAGAGAAACAAGCAGCTGCCATAGCCAATCACAACACAGGTGAAGTGGGAGGCAAAAGTGGAGAAGGCTTTCCTCCGGCCAGAGGCTGACGGGATCTTGAGGATGGTGGAGATAATGTAGGTGTAGGAGACAATCGTAGGGATCAAAGAACCAATGAGAATAAAAACAGCCATTAAGAAAAGGATAAACTCTGTGAGAAGAGTGTTATCGCAGGACAGTTTGAGCAATTGCCCTCGGTCACAGTAAAAATGGTCTAATGAATTTGATTTGCGGAAGGTAAACTGAAATGTGGCATAGATGGGCCAGATTTCAGAAAGAAATCCAAACACCCATGACACTATTACCACCCAAATACAGGTACTGCTGTTCATAATGATGTTGTACCTCAAAGGGTTACACACAGCCACATAACGGTCCACAGCCATCACTCCAAGTAATGCAAACTCCATGGTCCCACAGGAAAAGTTGAGCGATACATGTAGAGAAAGATACTGTCTGCATCCCAGGAAGAGCAATCCCCAAAGCATCATGGGGACAATTATGGTTGTGACCAGGATCTCCAGGGTAGAGAGGTGGCTGAGGAAGAAATACATGGGGGACTGCAGACGTTTATCCACACAGACAATCACAATGATGACCGTGTTTCCCATTAATGTCACTAAATAGAAGAAAAAGAATATAGCAAAAAGAATGTGGTGTAGTCCTTGGGACCCAGGGAAGCCTAGAAGGTGGAATTCAGTGGCACTAGAGTGGTTGTCCATCATTTAGTCCTTGATTCTGCTTGTTTTGAAGCCCAGAGATTAAAAGAGAGGTGGCATTGCTCCACATGGTCCTGCTCTCAAGAGAGAAGGAAGAAAAATTAGGTTAAGAAACTATTTCCAACCTGAGAATCAGGTGACATGTCCCTGCTACTGTGGTCGGCACATACATAGCTTGAGGTACATGTTGTCATCCCAAGTCTACAAGTGAGGCTCTCACTTCCCTGTGTAACCAGCCCCCTAGAATGGGTGAAGACATCTTCTTCTACTGGTGGTGAAATACCTTCCTTGCCTTTTTCCCCATTAAATATACCTTCTCTCGGGGGCAGAGGCTAAGACCTTTTAAATAGGCCAGTTTTAAAGGTGAGTCAATCAGGTCCCTCCGGTCCTGGAGTTACTTTCTCTTAGGTTAACTGTGCAAGATGACACAAAGGCATTTTATATGATGTTCAAAGGACAGAATTTTAAACCCCAGCTCTCATCTGTAATGGTAATGCATAGACCCACCTTTGGGGCCAGCAGAAAGGAGGCAGAGGATGTAAGACTAACATCTCTGCTGTTCCAGATTTTAAAATCTCCATTTTACAGAACAGCAAGATCTCTAAATGAGAACTCTAGAGCTTGGGATAATTTCCCAGAACAGATCCATTCTTCTCTAATTCCATTTTCCTTCCAAAGTTGTGGGAGGAAGGAAAGATGGCACCTGGCACAGAAAAGGAATAGATCTGGGACCGCCAGCTGTTAAGGATGCCTGGCTCTCTGCCTGTCGCTTCATTCCATTATTCAAATGTCACCCTTTCCAAAGACTCTTTCCAATCACTCTGCCCAAAACAGAAAAGACACACTTATTATTGGACTTCCATTTTTTTAATAACAGTTGTTATTACCTTGTATTATGTCTAATTATTTACTTCATTCCTTTATTTAACAATAAACAAATGTAGTCATGAACAGAACAAAGAAAATTCCATGCCCTGTGGAGCTTATATTCAAGGAAGAGGTGGGGGCTAGACCACACACAAGACACCTAAGTAAAATATGCAATAGTTTAGTTTGCTTATCATGTCACAGGGAAAAAAATAAGCAAGAAAGAAGGAGAGGAAATTTAAGTGTATTTATTATTTATCAACGGCATTAGAATATAAACTCCATGAGGGCTAGGACATGTCTTCACTGTTGTATTCTGAGGCTGGCACATAAAATGTACATACATAAATTAAGTAGTTATATATTTTATATATATATATCATATATCTTTTATATAGATATAGACAGATACATTATGTGAAATGAATATATCATAGATATATCTTATATATTAAATTATGTATTAATTTATCACAAGGTAACCGAACTAATAGCTGTGTGAGTCAAGATTTGAACCTAGGTCTGTCAGATTTCATCACTCACACAGCTAACTACCACACCTTATATTATATTATTATCTTATATTATTTATCTTATTTATATAAGATATATGAAATAAGATATATGAAATATATCTTATATTATATAAAATATACATATATTTTTTATTTATAAGATATTTAAATACATAAGATATATGTATCATATACATAAAATAAGTAGTGCTGACAAATTTTGCTAGATGAGGTATGGATGGATGGATGGATAATATATGATTAAATAATACTTGTTCTGGCCAGGGCCTGGGCCACATTCCCTCAATCCTATTCTGGTTGGTTTTCCTTCCTGCCTCACATTACCATTTTCCCTCCTGCCCTTCCCTTGCTTAGGTAACCCCTTCCCTGTCTACGTCACTGTTTTACTAATGGTTTAAAAAGCTTCAGGGACAGAATTGATGGGAAAGCTCAGTGTTCTGGTTTTCCACAACCTCTGCATAACCAGCACGAGATGAAGAAACATGAGCGAGAAGGACACCGACTGTCAGGGAGCCGTGACTGTGTTAGCATTGGGTCCAAGAGGAGCCGGAAGTGCTCTCTGCTATGCAGGAAGGGTCTGGAGATGAGCCTATACACTCTACTGCTCCCCTAGCCCACACTTCAATATCTGGGTGACTTTGTTCTAGAAGATAGGCAGGCCCAGGATGTCCCATCCTAAAATGCTTTTACCCTCTTCTTCATAGAGGAGACCCCTTGGAAAGACACTCACCTTTACAGAGGGGCTTCGCCGCCTCTTCTGATGTTCTCTAGGGCTCCGCTGAGGCTACCTCCTGTCCTGCTAGTGCTGAGCCATGCACAGGGGCCAGAACAAGTTGCTGCAATCCCCACTCATGGCGAAGAAGGGAAATGTCCTCCCAGAGGAGCTTAGGAAAAAGCCCAGAAATGAGTGTTGGGCAAAGTTGAGGGTCCTCTCTCTCTCCCCTCTCCTCCCTCTTCCCTTCTTCCCAAGGGTACTTAATCACCGAGTTACTACTTCTTAATTAGCCCACGTTCAGGGAGTCCCCAGGCAATCAGTCTAGTGGGAGCAGAACAAACTTTAAGTTATTCCCATTTTTTGACCAATTAAGTTTTAGAACTTTTGAAAGTTTTTGTTTGACGGGAAAACCTGAAATCTTACCAATCAGGGACTTCTTAATACTGGGGCTGCCTTCCTGAAAACCTCAGGTCTAGGTTTCCAGATGTCTCAGATTCTAAACAGTCAACTACCTCTGTCGTTTATCTTAGGCTTTTCTCAAGTTTCTCTAGTTATTCGGAGCCTAAATCAACCCTTTTCCCCCAGTAGGAGACACCACAATTGGCCTCTAAAACATGCACCAATATCCCAAAAAAGTCTGCATATTGGTCTTGGTCAAAGCCTTAACTTCACCAAATATCTTCTAAAAAGCCTGATGACTCCTTCATTCATTTTAAAAAGGCTCCTGCGTTTAGTCCTGTGGACCCTACAGAATACTGTAAGAGGTCCCTCCCCTAAATCGAACTCTATTCTGTTCTATTGTCTCAGGTTTTCACTCCTCTTGATATATGTGCATCTGTATGCATTCCAGCAAGATTCTTCCAGACTTTTTTTTTTCCTATGGCATGTCCCTGATTACCAGCTGGACCACTGCAAAGTAGAGAGAGCATAAGGACAGCTTATGTACACAGTTCTGTTTGCAACCTGGAGGAACTGACAAAATGTAAGTTGGAAATCTGTCTAATGCTGGAGTAAGACAGAAAAAGTAGGAATTACAAAACATTTGTCTGCATTTTTGTTTTCATTTTAAGTATTTTAAGTACACCTGTTAAATCTGAGAATTTCAATTGGTGCCTAAGGGTATAAATTGGGATTAATCTTTCTTCCAATTCCTTAAATTGCCCAAGCCCAAATACTTGCCATATAATTTTAGAGAAATTTTCCAAGCATGTATCTCCATATTCTTTTTCGTAAAGGCTGTGAAAATCTGTTTGCAACCTTTTCTTTCTCATTTAACAACATATAAAATATATCTTTCCATGTCAGCACATATTACTCTACCTCTTTTTTTTTTAACATAGGATTCCATTATGTGGATGTCCTATTCTTTATTAGATAGACATTTATTAATTAATTTTCATTGTTGTTTCCATTTTTAATTATGAAAAAATGATGCTATAAATATTCTTAGATATTTGTAAGTACATAAACATGTACTTGTAAGTAAAGTAAGTACGTATACATGTAAGTACATAAACAATTATATTTCTGAAAAAGAAAAAAAAGATTCCCTAGAGTTGGAATGTCTGGGTCAAATGCAGATGTATTGAAGCTATTACTTTTTATTGGCACCAAATTACACTCCAAACATTTTGTATTGATTCACACAATTACTAAGACTGTGTAATAGAAGGGGTCTTGTTTTCCTGACCTGTTATAAGCCAAAGGCATAATTAAAATTTTAATTTTAAGTTGAAGAGAATAAAAACAAGACACCTTAAAAGGGAAATCAATTAACAAGCCTGATGAAATGGAAAATTTTTGAAAGATAAAAATGACCAAAACCAACTCAAAAACAAATATGGATATAGAATCAACTTGAGTATCCATCAATGGATGAGTGAACACAGAAAATGTGGTGTATATATACAATGGAATAGAATTCAGCCATTAAAAGGAATGAAATCTTGTCATTTGTGGCAAAATGGAGAAAACTGGAGGGCATTCCATTAAGTGAAATAAGCCAGGCACATAAAGACAAATACCACATGTTCTCACTCATATGTGGAAACTAAAACAGTTGATCTCATAGAAGTACAGAATAAAATAATGGTTAACAGAAGCTAGAAAGGATATAGGGGAGGGGAAGACAGGAAGAGTTTGGTTAGTGGTTACAAAATTTCAGTTAAATAGAAGAAATAAGTTCCAGTGTTCTGTGGCATAGTAGGGTGACAAGTTTAATGACTATCTATTGTGTATTTCAAAATAGCTAGAAGAGAGGAATTTGAATTTCCCCAACACAAAGAAATGATGAACGTTTGAGGTTATAGATATCCCACTTACCCTGATTTGGTCACTACATGTTGTATACATATATCAAAATATCACATGTACCCCCAACATGTGTACAATTATTATGTACCATTAAAACTTTAAAAGTAAAATAAATGGCCACAGATGTTGTACAAAATTTAATCTTAATAGAGTTGAAAATATTTTGTAAAAAATAAATCCAAACAAGGGGCCAAGATGGCTGAATAAGAAAAGCTCTGGTCTGCAGCTCCCAGTAAGACCAACACAGAAGGCAGGTGGTTTCTGCATTTCCAACTGAGGAACACAGTTCATCTCATTGGGACTGGTTAGGCAGTGGGTGCAGTCCACGGAAGGTGAGCAGAAGCAGGGTGGGGCATTGCCTCAGCTGGGAAGTGCAAGGTGCCAGGGGACCTCCCTCCTTGCAGCCAAGGGAAGCCATGAGGGACTGTGCTACCCAGCTGGATTACTACGCTTTCCCCACAGTTTTTACAATCTGCAGATCAGGTGCCTACGCCACCAGGGCCCTGGGTTTCAAGCACAAAACTGGGTGGCTGTTTGGGCAGACACCAAGCTAGCTGCAGGAGTCTTTTTCGTATCCCAGTGGTGCCTGGAACCCCAGCAATACAGAACCATTCGCTCTCCTGGAAAGGGGACTGAAGCCAGGGAGCCAAGTGGTCTCACTCAGTGTGTCCCACTCTCACAGAGCCCAGCAAGCTAAGAACCGCTGGTTTGAAATTCTCACTGCCAGCACAGCAGCCTGAAGTTGACCTGGGATGATCCAGCTTGGTTGGGGTAGGGGCGTTCACAATTACTGAGGCTTTACTAGGCAGTTTTCCCCCGACAGTGCTAAGGCAGCAGGGAGGTCTGGACTGGATAGAACTCACCACAGTGTGGCAAAGTGGCTGTGGACAGACTGCTTCTCTAGATTCCTCCTTACTGGGCAGGGCATCTCTGAAAGAAAGGTAACAGCCCCAGTCAGGGGCTTGCAGACAAAACTCCCATCTCCCTGGGACAGAGCACCTGGGGGAAGGGGAGGCTGTGGGCACAGCTTCAGCGGATTTAATCTTTCCTGCCAGCTGGCTCTGAAGAGAGCAGCTGATCCTAACAAGAGGAATTCTCCCAGCACAGCACACCAGTTCTGCTAAGGGACAGACTACCTCCTCAAGTAACTCCCTGACCCCGTGCCTCCTGACTGGGAGAGACCTCCCAACAGGGGTCGACAGACAGCTCATACAGGTGAGCTCTGGCTGGCATCAGGCCGGTGCTCCTCTGGGATGAAGCTTCCAGAGGAAGGAGCAGGTAGCAATCTTTGCTGTTCTGCAGCCTCCACTGGTGATACCCAGGTGAACAGGGTCTGGAGTGTACCTCCAGCAAACTGCAGCAGACCTGCAGAAGAGAGGCTTATTAGAAGAAAAACTAACAAACAGCAACAACATCAACATCAACATAAAGGACCCCCACACAGAAACCTCATCCAAAGGTCATCAACCTCAAAGATGAAAGGCAGATAAATCCACAAAGATGAGGAAAAACCAGCACAAAAATGCTGAAAATTCTAAAAACCAGAATGCCTCTTCTCCTCCAAATGATCACAACTCCTCTCCAGCAAGGGCACAAAACTGGACAGAGAATGAAATGGATGAATTGACAGAAATAGACTTCAGAAGGTGGGCAATAACAAACTCCTGTGAGCAAAAGGAGCATGTCCTAATCCAATGCAAGGAAGCTAAGAACCTTGACAAAAGGTTACAGGAACTGCTAACTAGAATAACCAATTTAGAGAACATAAATAACCTGATGGAGCTGAAAAACACAGCACGAGAACTTCTTGAAGCATACACAGGTATCAATAATAGCCAAATCTGTCAAGCAGAAGAAAGTATATCAGAGATTGAAGATCAACTTACTGAAATAAGGTGTGACAAGATTACAGAAAAAAAATGAAAATGAATGAGCAAAGCCCCCAAGAAATATGGTACTATATGAAAAGACCAAACCTATGATTGATTGGTATACCTGAAAGTGACGGGGAGAATGGAACCAAGTTGGAAAACACACTTCAGGATATTATCGAGGAGAACTTCCCCAACCTAGCAAGACAGGCCAACATTCAAATTCAGGAGATACAGAGAATATCACTAAGATACTCCTCAAGAAGAGCAACCCTAAGACACATAATTGTCAAATTCTCCAAGGTTTAAATGTAGGAAAAAATGTTAAGGGCAGCCAAAGAGAAAGGGCAGGTTACCTACAAAAGAAAGCCCATCAGACTAACCGGATCTCTCTGCAGAAACCCTACAAGCCAGAAGAGAGTAGGAGGCCAATATTCAGCATTCTTAAAGAAACAAAATTTCAACCCAGAATTTTATGTCCAGCCAAACTAAGCTTCATAAGTGAAGGAGAAATAAAATCCTTTACAGACAAGCAAATTCTCAGGGATTTTCTCACTACCAGGCCTGCCTTTACAAAAGCCCTTGAAGGAAGCACTAAATATAGAAAGGCAAAACCAGTAACAGCCACTGCAAAAACACACCAAAATATAAAGACCAATGACACTCTGAAGAAACTGCATCAACTAATCTGCAAAATAACCAGCTAGCATCATGATAACAGGATCAAATTCACACATAACAATATTAACCTTAAATGTAAATTGGCTAAATGCCCCAATTAAAAGACACAGACTGGCAAACTGGATAAAGAGTCGAGGCCCATTGGTGTGCTGTATTCAGGAGATCCATCTCACGTGCAAAGACACACATGGGCTCAAAATAAAGGGATGGAGGAATATTTACCAAATAAATGGAAAGCAAAAAAAAGCAGGGGTTGCAAACTTAGTCTCTGATAAAACAGACTTTAAACCAACAAAGATCAAGAAAGACAAAGAAGGGCATTGCATAATGGTAAAGGGATCAATGCAACAAGAAGAGCTAACTATCCTAAATGTATATGCACCCAATACAGGAGCACCCAGATTCATAAAGCAAGTTCTTAAGAGACCTACAAAGAGACTTAGACTCCCACACAATGACAGTGGGAGACTTTAACAGCCCACTGTCAACATCAGACAGATCAATGAGACAGAAAATTAACAAGGATATTCAAGAATTGAACTCAGCTCTGGACCAAGTGGACTTAATAGACATCTACAGAACTCTCCACCCCAAATCAACAGAATATACATTCTTCTCAGTGCCACATAGCACTTATTCTAAAATCAACCACATAATTGGAAGTACAACACTCTTCAGCAAATGCAAAAGGATGGAAATCATAACAAACTGTCTCTCAAACCACAGTGCAATCAAATTATAAGTCAGGATTAAGAATCTCACTCAAAACCGCACAACTACATGGAAACTGAACAACCTGCTCCTGAATGACTACTGGGTAAATAACAAAATTAAGGCAGAAATAAAGAAGTTATTTGAAATCAGTGAGAGCAAAGACACAACATACTAGAATCTCTGGGACACAGACAAAGCAGCGTTAAGAGGGAAATTTATAGCACTAAGTGCCCTCTCTCATTACTCCTATTGGATGTTCTGGCTAGGGCAATCAGGCAAGAGAAAGAAATAGAGGGCATTCAAATAGGAAGAGAGGAAGTAAAATTGTCTCTGTTTGCAGATAAGATGATTGTATATTTGGAAAACCCCACTGTCTCAGCCCAAAAACTCCTTAAGCTGATAAGCAACTTCAGCAAAGTCTCAGGATACAAAATCAATGTGCAAAAATCACAAGCATTCCTATACACCACCAGTAGTCAAGCAGAGGGCCAAATCATGAGTGAACTCCCATTCACAATTGCTACAAAGAGAATAAATACCTAGGAATACAACTTACAAGGGATGTGAAGGACCTCTTCAAGTAGAACTACAAACCACTGCTCAAGGAAGTAAGAGAGGACACAAACAAATGGAAAAAAATTTCATACTCATGGATAGGAAGAATCAATATTGTGAAAATGGCCATACTGCCCAAAGTAATTTATAGAATTCAATGCCATTACCATCAAGCTACCACTGACTTTTTTTGCAGAATTTGAAAAAAACTACTTTAAATTTCGTATGGAAACAAAAAAGAGCCCATAGAGCCAAGATAATCCTAAGCAAAAAGAACAAAGCTGGAGGCATCACGCTACCTTACTTCAAATTATACCACAAGTCTACAGTAACCAAAACAGCATGGTACTGATATCAAAACATATTTCTGAAATACACCACGCATCTATAGCTATCTGATCTTTGACAAACCTGACAAAAACAAGCAATAGGGAAAGGATTCCCTATTTAATAAACGATTTTGGGAAAACTGGCTAGCCATATGCAGAAAACAGAAACTGGACCCCCTCCTTACACCTTATACAAAAATTAACTCAAGATGGATTAAACACTTAAATGTAAAACCCCAAGCCATAAAAACCCTAGAAGAAAACCAAGGCAATACCATTCAGGACATAGGCATGGGCAAAGCCTTTATGACTAAAATACCAAAAGCAATGACAACAAAAGCCAAAATTGACGAATGGGATCTAATCAAACTAAACAGCTTCTGCACATCAAAAGAAACTATCATCAGAGTGAACAGGCAACCTACAGAATGGGAGAAAATTTTTGCAATCTATCCATCTGTCAAAGGTCTAATATCCAGAATCTACTAGGAACTTAAACAAATTTACAAGAAAAAAACAACCACATCAAAAAGTGGGCAAAGAATATGAACAGACATTTCTCAAAAGGAGACATTTATGCGGCCAACAAACGTGGAAAAAAAGCTCATCATCACTGGTCATTAGAGAAATGCAAATCAAAACCACAATGAGATACCATCTCATACCAGTTAGGATGGCAATTATTAAAAAGTCAGGAAACAACAGATGCTGGAGAGGATGTGGAGAAATAGGAACGCTTTTACACTGTTGATGGGAATGTAAATTAGTTCAACTATTGTGGAAGACAGTGTGGTGATTCCTCAAGGACCTAGAACCAGAATTACGATTTGACCCAGCAATCCCATTACTGGGTATATACCCAAAGGATTATAAATCATTCTACTATAAAGACACATGAACTTGTATGTTTATTGCAGCACTATTTACAATAACAAAGACTTGGAACCAGCCCAAATGCCCATCAATGATAGACTGGATAAAGAAAATGTGGCACATATACACCATGGAATACTATGCAGCCATAAAAAAGAATGAGTCCATGTCATTTGCAGGGACATGGATGAAGCTGGAAACTCTCATTCTCAGCAAACTAACAGAGGAACAGAAAACCAAACACTGCATGTTCTCACTCATAAGTGGGAGTTGAACAATGAGAATACATGGACACAGGGAGGGGAACATCACACACGGGGGCCTGTTGGGGGTTGAGGGGCAAGAGGAGGGAGAGAATTAGGACAAATACCTAATGCATGTGGGGCCTAAAACCTAGATGATAGGTTGATAGGTGCAGTAAACCACCGTGGCACATGTATACCCATGTAACAAACCTGCACGTTCTGCACATGTATCCCAGAAATTAAAGTAAAATTAAAAAATAAAATAAAATAAAAAGAAATCCAAAATATATAACAGAGGATGGGGCTTGTTATTGGGGGCCTGATGAGGACACAAATGAGGTAAAGGCAGGTGAAGGATAAAGATAGCATTGGAGTGAGTCAGAAAGCAATTAGAATAAGTAGGCAAAGTGAGTTAAATAGATTATGGCTTTTGGGTGGAGGTAGAGATGAGGATGGGAGAGCAAATGAGGAATCATGAAGAGAAAATGGCTTATCTAGCCCTAATAGATGTCTGAGTGTGGCAAGGAGCTTTCAGACCCTTCCCCAAACAGATGTCTCTTTGGCTAAGTTCTATCAAAACATTTCTAAGCAACGTTCTGCAAACACCTCTTAGGGGAATAGAACATTTTCTTTGTAAAAACGAAGACAGATATTTTCTGTCAGTAGAGCCCATAACATTGAGAGCACAATTTAAAAGTGTACATCTTTGGTGAAAGTGGAAAAATTTCAAAATAGCGTAAGATCATGAATAAAACATTGAAATTGGAATCAGGAAACCTGAGTGCTGATTCCTTCTCATACTTATTAGCTCTGTGATACTTGGTGTGAATTTTCAGCCCTCTAGGTTTGAAATATCAGACCCCTCATCTGAAATATCAGGGCATTGATGGGCATGATGTGTAATTTTTCTTCCACTTTTACCTTGTGAAAGTCAAGGGGCCGAAATGGAGCTAGTTTTTTTTTTGTTTTTTTTTTTGAGACGGAGTCTCGCTCTTTCGCCCAGGCCGGACTGCAGTGGCATTGTCTTGGCTCACTGCAAGCTCCACCTCCCGGGTTCATGCCATTCTCCTGCCTCAGCCTCCTGAGTAGCTGGGATTGCAGGTGCCCACCACCGCGCCCGGCTAATTTTTTGTATTTTTAGTAGAGACGGGGTTTCACCGTGTTAGCCAAGATGGTCTCGATCTCCTGACCTTGTGATCCGCCCGCCTCGGCCTCCCAAAGTGCTGGGATTATAGGCGTGAGCCACCGCGCCCAGCCATGGAGCTAGTTTTCAAGCTTTCTTCTTAATGGTGACCTGAGCCTCTCAGTCCAACATGAGGACTCTCCACTCATGACTCTTTGGATGGAACTCCTCCACAAAGCTAACATTTTTGTCTGAATCAGTTCTCTCTAGATAACATCATGGGCCATTACAGTCCACACCAGATCTAGTACATAAACTTATCCTAGATTAATGATTTTACAAGTGAGTAGAAGTGTTTGCTGAATATCCTTAAGCTCAAGGCCATTCCATGTCTATGTTTGACTTTCCCACATAAGTATACTCGGACACAGGTAAGAGAAGTCATCATGGCCCAGAGAAAGAAAAGGACATTCTGGCAAACTAGTAGAACAGATAGGGTTATTACCTATCCACTATATAGGGTTGCATTAATAATGTATGTTATTAGAGATAGGATTATTACCCCAGTGGCAGAGACATTACCCACAAAACAGGAAATGAGAAGGAACAAACCTTACTGACCTGCCACAAAACTTCCTAACTGACCTTCACATCTACCCTCGCTTCCCTCTGTCTACTCTGTTCTCCCCATAGCAGCCTGCGTGATCCTTTAAAACACAGACTAGATCAGGTCTCTCCCCGGATTAAAACCTTTCTCTCTGCCATTTGGTTAAAGTCCTGAGACCTGTGAGGCTCTGCATGATTTCTAGAAATACCTTTCTCTAATGTCATCTTGTGTCACTCCTCTGCTCAGTGACACTGACATCCTTTGTGCTCCTGTAATGGCACGCTGCTCCATCTCTCAGAGTGCTCATTGTGATTCCCACCATGCTGTGCCTAGTTAGCACCAGATACCAGTTAATGATTACTCCTATAGATGCTTCCCATAACCTCACAGACATATCCATGTTCAGGTTCCCTGCCAGGGGCTTTCCAGATATTACAGTAAATGCTGCAGTGCGCTGCCCGGACTCCCATTCAGAACCAAGATGCTAATTACCCCCAAATTGCTCCCAATCAAAGAGAAACACCTTCCCCAAGATTATAGCCCTTCCTCTAAGGTAGCCTGCATCCAATGGCCTATGGATGCAGAAGTATAATGCCCAGGCCCCAAGTTTCTGTTCAGGACAACTCTGGGCACAATTCAGGACAACTCTGGAAAGCCGTCCTAGCTCAGAGCTCCCCGTAGGATTTAAGCCTCTGTTGTGACCTCATCACAGGTCTGTCCAAACATCTTCTCCCTCATCACTCCCAGATCTAAGACAACCACGTAGTTTCTTGCTCAAAACAACTCACTATTTTGTAAGTGTGTGTGTGTGTGTGTGTGTGTGTGTGTGTGTTTACCTGGTTTTATAGCGTATGGTAACATCGGTCTTCATCAAATATGCTCCATAGTGGGGAGACCATGTCCACTCTGTTTACTGCTGTATCTTCAGTACATTGTCTAAAAAATAACAGTTATTCAAAAACAATTCTTATTAAAGTTTGTTTTTTTAATTTACAGTGAGATTGAGTTCTTTTCATGTTTAAAAAATCATTTGCAGTTTTCTTTAATGAATGTACAGGTTTGTAAGAGAACATTTTGCATAAATCAAACAAATCTTTATTTCATGTTTCTGTTTTTATGTTTTGTTTCTATCTTGCATAAATATTTCATCCTTAGGCAGTTACACTTAACAGTCTTTTAGACTCCCGGGATCCGTGTTTTCCTTTGAAAAGCCTATGTTCATACTCCAAGGAAATTAAAAACAAACCAAAAAATCCCATTTTTTACTTTTTACATTTAAGTCTGTTTGAGCCATCGGGAATTTATTATTTTTTGGAAGCATAAGGTATAGATCCAGGGTTTTGGTTTTTCCAGATATTCTGTGAATGTAATACATATTTCTAGGACAAAGGGAAGGTGGTGACAAGGAAGGGAGAAGAGAGAGAGAGCCCCCAAAAAACAAACTTAGAGGCCTGCCATGGCAAAAAAAAAATACCTCCTCCTCTATCTGGGTTGGGACACAGAGGGCATCCATATTTGGATGTGGAGAAACAAGAGATTAGAATGACTATGATATTAATAAGGGCCAAAGAATATCAGCAATGGAAAGATAATGTTTTCCAACACTTCGTTTTACATATTGTAAGCCTGAAACTCAGAAATCGAGTGACTTGTTAAGGTCATGCTGCAGTTTACTAGCTGAGTTGACATGAGTGACCGGGAACTCCTAGACCACCCTTCTACAGGAGGCAGTCAGCTGTTGTCAGCAGGGAATGAAGCACCAGTAGGTTGAGTGGAGTGACCTTCAAGAATCCTGGCAACCCTGAGATTCTGAGACTCACAAATGTGCTTTTGAAGATCAGCAGTCTTATAATCAAAGACAGATGCTTTAAGGTGAATAAGTTACATACTGGAACACAGTAAAAGCTCAATAAATACCTCAGCAATGAGTGTGGCATGTCCTTATCAATAATGATAAGTAAATGTGCCTCTGGACATGATGAAGAGGATCCATGAGCGTAAGTGTGCAGTTTATGACAACGTCAGTGTCTGGGATGGTTGCTGGAGTGCCAGGGAGACACAGCCCCTTGGGACTGAGCAGTGGAGAAAGGGGGAAGGGGACCTCACAGCTGGGGATCCTGAAGCTTCAGACTCTCCTCCATCCTGTAACACTGGGATAGTGAGGCCAGACAGCAGGAAAGGGCTGGAGAAGAGCATTGCTAAACAAACTTAGCTTGCTCTTGTCAGCTTACTAACATCTACCATGCTCTTCTATACCCCAAGACGACCTGTACTAGTGTGTTACATAACATGTTTTATTTAATTCTGAAATTAACCTTATGAGGGAGGCATTACTATCCCCATAATATTGGGGATTTTTTATTGAATAAAATTCCAGATTTTTATCTGCGTTACATTTACTTAATGAATGCTTAGTCAACAACTACTATGTAAATGTTACATTTCAAACCCAGGTCGAACTCCAAAGCCCCCCACCACACACACACACACACACACACACACACAACTGAGGTGCTGGACCCAGTCCTCATCTGCCTCTTGTTGCTGTCTGACTGTACCCATTGTTAGTTTAAGCATCAGCGTTGTACAACCCAAAGGACTCCTGGCTTTCCCTTGTTCCCACAAGGAGCACCCTGCTGGAGTCTAAAGTTTCCCATTTGGCCCAGCTCATTTCTTAAAATCAGCAAGACCCAAAGGTTTCAAAACAGAGTGGGTGAACAGCACCATCATCCCTGGGAGCAAAGAACAGCAAGAGAATCATTCTCATTGGATTTCCCTGCCACCTCCATGCTATCTCCAGCCTGACATCAGTCATGGATACTGCTGCCCTGGGCTGTATAGGGAGAAACAGTAAGTCTCTTCATCACAGACTCAATGAAAGTTGCTGACAGATTCTAACTTGTGGAGTCACTTGCAAAGCAGGGCCAGGGTTGCTTGCCCCATTCCCAAGGGGCTTATGTCTCCGTGTCAAAATCTGGGTACCACAGTCAGGAAGCCGCCGAAGTAAATGACCTAATAAGAAAAGCTCGCCATGCTGGACTTATGAATTAAGATGCATTGGCTGGGTCTGGAGAATGAATGAGTTATAAGGATTCGGTTTCGGTTAGTCAAGATGAGTTTAGACTTGGCATTAAGATTAGTGAGAGGGTTGCATGCTTACTGCTTAGGGAGATAGATCCACTTCTGTGATTAGATGTCATTGCTGATGGCCAGGATACAGTTCTAGGAAATACCTGTGGTTCCAGAGAGACAGCTAACATGTGTCTTCTCAGGGCTTCATTTGTGTGCTCTCATTTCTGATTTTATTTACTACTTATGGATCTCTAAAGGTATTCATTCAGTTAACTATAATTAAAGTGTGCAGCCAGCACACTGCTGGACCCATACATAGATGCATCAACACACACACACACACACACACACACACGCACACACACAAACCCATCACCTTCACGTTAAAGAAGTGTGGTTGGCGGTTGGGTTAGAAGGGGAGATGATGAGAATGAAGTTTCCATGCCAATAACAACAGCGGAAACTGCTGTTATTGAACTCTTCCTATGTGGCAGCCATAATCCAATTTGATGCTCACGCTAGCTCTACTATTTTTTATCTTACATCTGGGGAAAATTCCACTCCAAGAGGATTAGTATCAGCCCAAGGTCATACAACTGGCAATTCACAGGGCCAGGATATAAACCTAGACGGTCCAAGGTCTGTGCCGTCAGCCCCCATACAAGAGTGAGTCATGTCAGGGAAGGGTGGTCCACTAGGATAGTCACAGCATTTTAAGAAGCAGAGCTAGAAGTCCAGTGCAATCCACATACCACACACATCTTTCAGGGACTGTCAGAGCAGCAGCATCCAATGGGTCTTGCCTGGATTCCAGAGCTTGAATCTAAATATCTTGATTCCCTTTCTGCCTTCAGCCATTGTAAACATGTAGCAGATGGTCACCCCAAAGGGATCTTATTGTCTCTCTGTTCTGGCTCCCCTTGCTTCCTGAATTGAATGGCTTTGCTGCTGCTGCTGAAAGCTGGAAATATGTGGCTGAGTGAGAGTTCTCAGCAGAGGGGCATCTAGAAAGCCTCACAGGGGTGCTTTAGACTGGCTTCTGTGCTCAGCCTCTGGCCATGCTCAGTCCCGTGTCCTGCCTGCCTTTCCTCCCTCCTTCTGCTCACAATTTCTGCTTTTCTTTGTCACTTCTGCTGCTTCTCTTGGGTTACCTTTTATTCCTTCTAGCTTTCTGTCTGCATTCCTGGGCCTCCTGTGTCTCTCTGTCTCTCACTTTCTCTCCATTACTGCTTTTCTAACACCTCGCCTCTCTGGTTTTGTGTTTCTCGCATCCACACTGGCTCTCTCCTGTGAACCTTGGCCTTTCTTTATCTCTGACCACAAAGGTACATAGGGCTTAACACAGAAACGATGAAAGGAAACTTAAGGGATTAGAATGTAACACTAACAACATCTGCTACAGCAAGGTCACGCTGAAGTCACCAATAACTCAAATCTTTCAACGGCTTTTAACAACTATGTTTGTTTCTCACTCATGCCATGCGCCCATCACTAGCCAGGAAGTAGACTCTGCTCATTATTATACTGTAGGGACTGGAGCAGTAGAAAGCTCCCTTTAAACACATTCTTCCATGATCTCAGATGTGGAGAAAAAGGGAATGTGACTCAAATGCCAACCCTTAAAGCTCTTGCTATGAAGTGACTCTCATTACTTCTACCCATATCTCACTGGCTGAAGAAAATCACTCGACCACTCCTGAATTAATGGAGCAAAAATATGTGATATTCCCACTGGGAGGGTCACCTCCAGGAAGGACAACAAATATGAGTGAACAATTATTTGTCCATTATAAACGTCTGGGTTTCTGTTTGTTTGTTTGTTTTACTTATTCTCTTCCTCATGAATTTTGGGTTTAGCTTATCAAATAATGTAAGTAATTTCAGTTTCACAGTTTCTGTCACTGCTGAGCTACAGAATATCTGAAACAGTCATAGCATTACTATTCTTGGCATGATATAGAGGGAAAGGACAGTGTGTGAAGTGGGTGAAATCAGAGCTTCGGTCTCAGGCCCCAACATGTGATGACTGAGAAACACTGACATTTACTTAAGCTCTGTGAGATTCTACATTGTTATCTAAAAACTGAATATAATAATTCTCCCTCACAGGTTAACTCCAGAATAAATCTGTAGTCATTACATGTGATTTTTTTCTCCTATGTCTCTCATATTCTTCTCATTCAATCAGCAAGATATCTTTTATATAATCAATATAAATCAATAAGCAATGTAATGATATACAAGTTTGGATTATGTTTAGGTTGGTGAGACAAAATGACATAAAAATTAAGAGCAGAGTCTTTGGGATCAGATCTGATTCAAATTCAAACTCTACCATGCAGTAGCTGGTGTTAGTAGCTACTATCAATGTTTTTGTTTGTTTGTTTTGTTTCTTTTCTTTTGAGACAGGGTCTACCTCTGTCACACAGGCTGGAGTGCAGTGGTGCAATCATAGCTCACTGCAGAACTCCCAGGCCCAAGTGATCCTCCCACTTCAGCCTCCTGAATAGCTGGGGCTACAAGCACGCACCACCACACCCATCTAATTTTTGTATTTTTTGTAGAAATGGAGTCTCACTATGTTGCCCAGGCTGGTCTCGAACTCCTGGGCTCAAGCAATCCTCCTGCTTCAGCCTCCCAAAGTGGTGGGATTACAGTCATGAGCCACCATGCAGCCACTATTGTCAATATGATTAAGGATTGAAAGCCATTCCAGCCAGGTGCAGGAGACATCCCTATTTGTCATTTGTCTACCATTGCAGCCCATATCATTCACGATTTATTTGCCTTGCTCCACCCCTTCCTTACTCTGAAAAATTAGAATATTAATAGAAAACAGGTTTTAGGATCAGTTTTTATATCACACAAACATTTACTAATGCTTTGAGCTCAGATATGTAGGAATATTTATGTAAAGAAAAACATAAGTTGTATAACCCTTACCAAATTTTCCAAGAGTCATGGATTCTTTTACCAAGAAAAACCTCACAGATAAAGAAACTTTTTAAAAAGTCTTGCTTTTTTTGTTAAAATAAATTTTTCTCTAATTTTTGAGAGCTAAATGGTTAACTGAAAAATAAGCATTCATTAACAGAATGTGTTACACAAAAATTTATCACACATTTTAAGAGACGTATTACGATATATGCAAAAATCAAGACTGTGCTGTGTGGTTTTTAAGCTTAGTGACAAGTAGATCAAATAAGGTCTATGAATCGTATTTGTGTTTGACATCTAAGCAAACTGTCTGGGATCAGTTGTGGGAGTAAAGCAAGATGTTTTTGAGGCCTCGCGATGTGCATGTGTGATAGACAGAGTAATATTTTGTTGTTTTTATGTTTCAGAGATGCTTGCAGCTTGGGTGATATAAAACTCCCAGTGGGGCAATGTGTCTGCCTTCCTCATAAATGGACAAAAAGGAAGAAATACAGTGTAGTATCAGAACAAGCTTGACTTCAGATACTGCAGCCTCCTGTTCTCTGAGAAGGGGAGTGAAAAGAGAGTGGGGTGAGTTAGTGTCTTTCTTTCCATTCAGGATCAGATATCTGACAGAGTAGTCTAAGCCTTAGAAAAAGAAAATTTTGTTGACTTATCCATGACAGGTTTTTTAAAGGGCCACAAATTTTTTGGCACTCCTCCCATTAAGATATGGCTCTGGCTGGGTGCGGTGGCTCACACCTGTAATCCCAGCACTTTGGGAGGCTGAGGCAGGCGGATCACGAGGTCAGGAGATCGACACCATCCCGGCCAACATGGTAAAACCCTGTTTCTACTAAAAATACAAAAATTACCTGGGTATGTTGGTGCATGCCTGTAATCCCAGATATTCAGGAGGCTGAGGCAGGAGAATCACTTGAACCTGGGAGGCGGAGGTTGCAGTGAGCTGAGATCACACCACTGCATTCCAGCCTGGTGACAGAGTGAGACTCTGTCTCAAAAAAAAAAAAAAAAAAAAGATATGGCTCTATGCCCCTGCCTCTTGAATCTTGTGTTGCTTGGACTCATAAAAGTATGGCAAAAGTGACCATATGTGACATCTGTGACAATCTTATTTGACAAGTAGATCAAATAAAGCCTATGATTTGTATTTGTTTTAGACATCTAAGCAAACTGTCTGGGATCAGTTGGGAGGATAAAGCAAGACATTTTGGCACAAGTACTGTGTATCATCTTTGTGCATAAAATGGGTGCCCCTTTCCATCAGGTAGATGCAGCTCCTTCAGCCCCCATGTGCCCCTTCAGTCTCTCCATCACCACCTTTGTACAGTCTACAAGCCACACAATTTTACTCAGGGGCCCTAATTCAGCTCCTATCTCCATCCACCACCAGGCAAGTGCCCTCTTGCTAGACTCTTCAATTCTCCAGGTGACCCACATCAATTCTCAAGAAAACTATTTTCTGTCTGATTCCAGCCTACAGGTATTATCATGTGAGATAATTTCTTCCTCCAATCTGTCTGAAAATCTAGCAGTTACATATTTCTGTGCATTAATAGGGAGCTACCCCATCCCCTGATTTGTTAGTAAGTCAGAATTGAGGGAGGAAACTCCCACTCTCAACTCTGCCAGCAGTGAAAATCTGCAGAGATGTCATAGAAGACAGCTGGAGATTGGGGCAGAAAAGCCCCCAGTCAGAGGATATCTGGCTTTGGGAGGCAGAGCACATCATGAAAACAAAGGATTCCTGTAGCATATAAAGAAAAAATTCAGGCATCTAGAGTGAGCCATTCAATCCTTCCTTACCTCCTTCCTTTACCATGAACAAAACGAGATGAGTTAAATAGTTGCCAAAAATTTGATCATAAATTTTCTTCTGTCCCTACCACCAAACATGTTCAAACATTCCATCCACCCCTTTCTAAACATATTGTCCTCGTGCCACTCCAAGTTGGCTTTATGCCAAAATGTAGAGAAAAAGAGTTGCTTTGTAGTAGCAATGGGCCAAGATTAGATATGGCACATCCAAGAAAAAGAGTACACCAGGGAGTAATCTGTGTCTCACCTAATGGCCAGGCACAGCTTTATGAGATTGAGTCTAATAATGCAAGTCAAAATGTCAACATATCCCAGGAAACAGTAGGGCAGATCTGAGCAGAGGTGCTGACATTTTTATTGTAGTCCCTGGACTCTCTTCCTCTTCTGGAAATGCACATTCAGAGATGATTACAGTGCAATCTAACGCCCCCAGGAACATATACAGCTCCTTTCTCAAGCTCTTCCCCGACTTCAGGCATTTTCTTCTTCAGATTTTCAAAAACAAAACAATAATTTTATTACAAAACAACTGAAACAAGAAGTAGCTCAGATTATCAGTTACTGATAAGCAGGTTGGTTTTTATGTTTGTGTATTTTGCCCACTTCCAAGGGCCTGAGTGTGATAATTACATATGGTTTGATGATGAAAATAAAGATGCTTTAGCTTAGATATTTGTTAGTATTTTCCAGATTACCTTAGAATCCATGAGGACTGGCCCACCTAAAACTGATTTAGGTCAGTAAATCTGACCTGTAAGAAGGTTCAGAAAGGGGGTCAACAGGAAAATAAACAGGAAAACTACCTTGTTTTATTCTGCTGCCCAAATTTGCTTGGGTTTCACGTAGAGAAACAAGCAGCTGTCATAGTCAATCACCACACAGGTGAAATGGGAGGCATGAGTGGAGAAGGATTATTTTTTGGCCAGAGGCTGAGGGGATACTGGAGTAGGAATCAATCTGGATCAAAGAAGCAATAACAATGGAAATGTCCATTAATAGACTGTGTGAAAAGATGAAGAGTTGACTGAGGAAGAAATCCCCGGGAGACTGAAGACTTCATCAATTCAACCATGTAAATGACTGCATTTCCCATTAATCTCATCAAGTGAAAGAAGAAGTTAACCAAAAGGAAATGGGGCAGTTCCTCAAAGCCTGGGAAGCCCAGGAGACAGAATTGAGTGGCACTAGAGTAGTTCCCCTCGCTGTTTCAATCCTAGCTCTTTCTCTCTGGGAAGGCTAGAAAGGAAACAAGAATTAACATTGCTCCACATGCCTTTAATCCCAAAGGAAATAAGGACAGATTTAGGATTATGCTCCTGGATTATGGAGCCTGCTCTATGTTATGATCATTTAACCGAGTTGACGCTACATATTTATTAAGGAATGAACACAATTGTGTAAAGATGAATGGATCTGGTCAAATAAGTGGTTCACCAGGCACCAAAGCTGCATGGTAGTCATTGCGATAGGCAGAGGAATGCCCCCTCAACGATGTCCAAGCCCTAATCCTTGGAATTTGTGAAATGTTGCTTTACATAGGAAAGGGGACTTTGCAGGTGTGATTGGGTTGAAGACCTTGAGATGAGGGGATTAGCCTGGGCGATCCAGGTGGGCTGAATCTAATCTTAGGGGTGATCCAGATGGGCTGAATCTAATCTTAGGGATTTGTAAAAGTGGAGAAACTTCTCCTCTGAGTTCAGTCAGAGGGCTAAGTGATGACAGAAGACGGTTCTGAGAGACACATGTGACTGGCTTTGAAGATGGACGAGGGAACAATAAGCCAAGGAATGTGGGCAGCTTCTAGAAGGTGGAAAAGCAAGGAGACTCCAGAAAGGAAGGCAGCCCTGATGACGCCTTGATTTTAGCTCATTGAGGCCTGGTCAAGTTACTGACCTGGAGAATTTGTCAGGTAATAAATTTGTGTTGTTTAAGCTACAAAATTTGTGGTAATTGGCTACAGAAGCAATAGAAAATGAATAGTCATGAAGGCCCATGTAGCCCCGACCTATGCTCCTGCCTTTCAATTCCCAAGCCCCTGCCTCCAGCCCTGCTCTGCCCAGGACCTGTCTTCCTACCTGAGCTCCCTGCTAGCAACTGGCTCCTTTCTTCTTCCTCCTCCATTTCTAGCCTTGTGACCTACATTTTTCTTTACTTTCTTTCTTTTTGTTTTTGTTTTTGTTTTGAGACGAAGTCTTGCTTTGCCACCCAGGCCGGAGTGCAGTGGCACGATATTGGCTCACTGCAACCTCTGCCTCATGGGCTCAAGCAATTCTCCTGCCTCAGCCTCCTGGGTAAATGGGATTACAGGCTAATTTTTTGTATTTTTAGTACAGACAGGGTTTCACCATGTTAGCCAGGCTGGTCTGGAACTCCTGACCTCAAGTGATACACCCACCTTGGCCTCTCAGAGTGCTAGGATTATAGGCATGAGCCACCGTTCCCAGCCTCTTCTTTGCTTTCAATGGGTCAGCTCCAAATCTCAGTTCCAAGCTCAAGTCCTACAGAAAGATTGCCTGGTCAACCCCTCCAGCCCTGGTTATTCTTAACCTCAGGGCCCATCTGTACTACCTTCATTGCACAGCTTTTCCTTGAAATCTTTGAGTCATTATTTCTGTCTCAGTGTGGGTGGGGTTGCACTGGGTATCATGCATAAGGTTTAAATGTCTCTGAGATGAAAGACTGTGACTCAGAGTTTACTAGGGAGCTGGAAGCTTGGAGTGGCCTCCCCATATTCCCTTTACCTTTGTCCCCAGGGTGTGTATCTTCTCACAGGAGCCAGATCCCAAGATGTGTCCACCAAGGGCCCTGCCTCTGGAGGCAGATATCTGTTTGATTCCCAGACTTCTCCAAATGATACTTTCTTTGGAGAATTTTAACAAGAGGCTGCTATGGTCCAGGGCCTCCATTCCCTGCCTCCCTAGATCCCTAAACCCTGGATCCACTTGGAGATTTTGTCTGCAAATGGAAACTCTGGATCCAGCCCTGGCTAGGTACCCAGGCTGTCATAATTTTAGTCCAGCTGGGAAAATTCCTTTGTGTTTTTTCCATGATCTCATATTTTTTCCATGGTCCTGGGAGGAGGGGAAGGGCCAGGAGACAGGCACTGCCGAGGTGCTGATCCTAAGCCGTCAGCTGCTTGGGTGTATCTGGGTCTTTATCCATTTCTTTATTCAGATCTTTTTCTCAAATGTTACTTCCTCAAAACAGAGGACATCTCATTATTCTAAGGAGCAACGTCAGTGCCTCAGAAGTCCCCAGAGGGCTCCTTGGCTTCCTGTCATTCCCACAGAAAACACTCTGCTGGAGTCTAAGTTTCCCATCCAGCATAAGCTGAACTGTAAACATCATCAAGACACGAAGGACTTGGAGATGTGGATGAGAGAAAGAGCTGAAAACACTCATCCTTGAGAGAGAATGGACAGAATCAGCACCTTTCCCCTCTGGTCTCCTGAGGGACTTATTTCCCATCTCCCAGCCCCACATCAATGCTGCTGCCCCTGGCTTTGTAGTGACACAGGGTAGGTGCTGAATTAGAAAATCAGCATAAGGACTGGCAGAGTTTTAGCTCACCCAGCAGTGCCACCTCTTCCAAGCTGTGCACAAAGCCCCTTTCCACCCTTTCCAGCCGCAAGACACAACCCAAGGGAAAGAGACTGCATCTCTGATGTCATTCATGTTATAGAGTGAGGCCAGTAGGCAGGTGTCTCCAGGTATGAATGCCTAAGTGAGAGCAGCTTACAAAGAAGACAACAGGCTTGGAGGCTAAGGTGAGGGGGGGAAGTCTGTATGTCAGTCAGGTTCTCATGCAACACAAACATAAGGACTGGGTTTGAATTTAGTCAGTGCTGGGGTAGATTTTAGGATTTTAGACCTACCGTTAAGGCTTGCCAGTGGCATGGGTGCAAGGCTTTATTTATTTATTTATTTATTTATTTATTTATTTATTTATTTTTTATTGTTTTTGAGATGGAGTCTAGCTTTGTCATCCAGGCTGGAGTGTATTGGCATGATCTCAGCTCACTGCAATCCCACATCCCAGGTTCAAGTGATTCTCCTACCTCAGCCTCCCAAGTAGCTGGGATTACAAGTGCCCGCCACCATGCCCAGCTAATTTTTGTATTTTTAGTAGAGACGGGGTTTCACTGTGTTGGCCAGGCTGGTCTTGAACTCCTGACCTCGTGATCCGCCCACCTCAGCCTGCCAAACAGCTGGGATTACAAGCGTGAGCTACCGCGCCTGGCCGGGTGCAAGGCTTTTTAAAATTAGAATGTCATTGCTGTGTGGCCAGGACACAACCCCAAATGAAGCATTTATGGGGCTGGAGAAAGGGCCAGAGTATATCTACACACAGCTTCACTCCTTCCACTCCTGACAGTTTGTGTTGTAAATACTTTGTTTGTGTTTGAAATGTTTTAAAGTACCCTTTTAGTGAACTGAAATTCCAAGAAACAGTGTAAAGCTGTAAAGATCTTCACACACACACATGCTGGCAATGAGAAGAAGTGTAGAGAGATGATGGGCAAAAAAAATTTGAGTTCTATTGACGGTCTAACAATAAGAACAGTGATAACAATAACAACAACGATTTGTTGGCTAGTATGTGCTAGTCACTGCACTAAGTAGTTTACTTATTTAATTTTATAATCACCATAGAGGCTAAGTACCAGTAATACCATTATTTTACAGCTGAATAAACGGGCTCAGAGAGAGTAAGTAACAAAGAAGAGCAGATTTACGGCCCGTGACAAGCAAGTCTAGAGCCAGAATTCAAACACAGGCAAGCCAACTCCATAGCTTACACTTTGCACCACGGCGGGAGGGGAAGTGCAATGGAGACGGCAAAGCAGCACCCTTGGGTAGACAGATTATGCCGTTGGGAAGCCTGATGACTGTGTGTGTCCTGGGAGAGCAGCCACTTGGATTTCCAGGCTCGCTCCCTGACCTGCTGCACCCTTTCTGCTCTCCATCTTTGCAAACACGAAGCAGAGGTCTCCTCTAAAGGAAGTTAATTTCTGGACTCAAAACTCTGACTTTCACTAATTTCATGATCATAGCCGGAGAAATGTGCACAAGCGAGGGTCCTCAGAGAGGCAGCTCAGAAAGGTTTGCAGGGACCCTTTAAAAAGGGTCTTGGGGCACAACCTCTGGGTGTGACATAGACGGATTAGCCTACATTTGGGGGCTTCTGGGTCACATGCACTAATGCTCTCTCTCCCTCTCTTTTTCTGTGTTCCTCCCCTTCCTGTATTTCTCTATTTGAATTTTTTCTGTTCTTTCTCTGGTCCTCTGTTGTTTCCTTCTTGTTTTCTCCCTAAATGTCAATGTCTGTTGCCATGTGGTCTTCCTTAATCTTTTCCTCTGTTTTTCTTTCTTCCCCCCCTTTTTTTTTTTCTTTTTTGAGATGGAGTCTCACTCTGTCACCCAGGCTGGAGTGCAGTGGCACGATTTCGGCTCACTGCAACCTCCACCTCCCAGGTTCAAGCGATTCTCATGCCTCAGTTTTGCAGGTAGCTGAGATTACAGTTGCCTGCACCTGGCTTATTTTTGTATTTTTAGTAGAGACAGGGTTTCACCATGTTGGCCAGGCTGGTCTTGAACTCCTGACCTCAAGTGTTCCCCCTGCCTCGGCCTCCCAAAGTGCTGGGATTACAGGCATGAACCACCATCCCCAGCCTTCTCTCTTCTTAATAATGGCTTTCTATGTCTTTCACTTCTCTCATACCCTCACTCTGTTTCTCCTTGACTCTCCCATTCCTGTTTTGTTATCTTTCTTTATTGCCGTTTCTTTCTGCTTTTCTGTTTATCACTCGCTGGCTACTTGCCTTTCTCTCTCTATTCTCTGTCTCTGTCCCTGTTTCTTCTGTTTCAAGTTCAATGGTTCTCTGTCTCTATCTCTCTGTTTCTGCCTCTCCGTCTGTCTTTTGTTTCTCTTGCATGCAGGGCCCCATACTGTGGATCATGGCAAATCTGAGCCAGCCCTCCGAATTTGTCCTCTTGGGCTTCTCCTCCTTTGGTGAGCTGCAGGCCCTTCTGTATGGCCCCTTCCTCATGCTTTATCTTCTCGCCTTCATGGGAAACACCATCATCATAGTTATGGTCATAGCTGACACCCACCTACATACACCCATGTACTTCTTCCTGGGCAATTTTTCCCTGCTGGAGATCTTGGTAACCATGACTGCAGTGCCCAGGATGCTCTCAGACCTGTTGGTCCCCCACAAAGTCATTACCTTCACTGGCTGCATGGTCCAGTTCTACTTCCACTTTTCCCTGGGGTCCACCTCCTTCCTCATCCTGACAGACATGGCCCTTGATCGCTTTGTGGCCATCTGCCACCCACTGCGCTATGGCACTCTGATGAGCCGGGCTATGTGTGTCCAGCTGGCTGGGGCTGCCTGGGCAGCTCCTTTCCTAGCCATGGTACCCACTGTCCTCTCCCGAGCTCATCTTGATTACTGCCATGGCGACGTCATCAACCACTTCTTCTGTGACAATGAACCTCTCCTGCAGTTGTCATGCTCTGACACTCGCCTGTTGGAATTCTGGGACTTTCTGATGGCCTTGACCTTTGTCCTCAGCTCCTTCCTGGTGACCCTCATCTCCTATGGCTACATAGTGACCACTGTGCTGCGGATCCCCTCTGCCAGCAGCTGCCAGAAGGCTTTCTCCACTTGCGGGTCTCACCTCACACTGGTCTTCATCGGCTACAGTAGTACCATCTTTCTGTATGTCAGGCCTGGCAAAGCTCACTCTGTGCAAGTCAGGAAGGTCGTGGCCTTGGTGACTTCAGTTCTCACCCCCTTTCTCAATCCCTTTATCCTTACCTTCTGCAATCAGACAGTTAAAACAGTGCTACAGGGGCAGATGCAGAGGCTGAAAGGCCTTTGCAAGGCACAATGATGAGCCCAGGGCCCAGGGGAACCTGGCCTGCCTCCATTGAGCAGTTCTGTGGGGAGGGAGACCTCCAGCAAGTGGGAAGAACACTGCTGAGTTTCTTTAGTTTTTTTCCCTCTGAGCAATAACTACAGTGAGCCCTGAGTGCTGCACTGTCTGGCCCAAAGCTCTTATGGACCACCATGGAAGAGTTCCCTACATCCCCTGGCAGCCGTAAGAACTCTGAGAGTAGCCCAGAGCTTTCAGTAAAGGGAAGTGCATGTGCTTTGCATTTAAGGAAGAGCAGCCAAGAAGTGCTCTATGATCAAGAGGTAGTGTCCAATCCCAGTATGTGTGCATGGGTGTGTATGTGTGTACATATGTGTGTATGCGTGTGCATGTTCCGGGTGTGCTTCTCTATCACAGTATGCACTGCTGCTGAGTGTATGCACCATAAGTGCTTGGGCTACATGGGATCAAGAGAAGAAGCAAAACTTACCAAAAACAAACTGATTGTTTTTCAATGTGTGTGTGAGTGTTGGGAGGAGGACTGGGTCCTTGTATAATTATTCATCCATTTATTCATTCATTTCTTCAACATTGAGTAGGCTGTGTGTGTCAGGCACTGTAACAGGTAGAGGGTAGAAAGGTAAAAAAGGCATAAATGGTTCTTAACCTGACAAAGCTCTTGGCCTAAGGAAGGAAAAAGTGATAAATAGCTGTTTCCAGCACAGTGGGGAACGTGCAACAGTGGATTCACAGACGGTATTATGAGCACACAGGGGAGCAACACTGAGACCAGGAGGAGGCTCAGCGACGGCTTCCTGACAAGATGACACCTGAGTAGCACATTGACTATAAGGTGGACACTGTGAGAGTGCAATTCATCAGGTACCTTTGCATCAGAGAAAGATGAAACAGAGAGAAATTAAAACAAGATAAATCTCCGCTAGTGAGGAATTATGTGGTTTCCAGAGAGGAAATATTCAGAGTTTTAGAAAGACAAAATAAACTTTGCTCCTGTATGATTAGAAACATTCATTTGCCTAAAGGCAAGGGATTGTAATAAACCTAGTAAGTTCACTTATTCAGTGATTATATATCCTATTTTACACACATACATATTATATTGTACATTACATAAAATATGAACATTATATTACATTCACATACGTGTGGGTATAAAATTCTTGAAAATCTATTATGTCCCATGCTGCCTTTGGAGTTAAACATCAGCTCCACTGTCCTCCCTCCTCCAACTATAGCCTGAAATTTTTAAAATCTTCCAGTTACTTTGACCTCAGGATCATGGTGTTCCCTTAGCTTTTGCCCATGCAGAATTTTCTAAAGTAGCCCCAATTTAAGTTGTTTTGACACACTGTTTCTGTAAGTACACTTTAATTTACCAAACTCCATATCCCAATTTGTGATATATAAACTACAACCAGGAGTTTATTCGTAGCTACACTTACTTGAAAACAATAAAACTACTAATTTATCACAAATGTCAAGCATTTAAAAAATCCACTATGTGGAAATGAATGAGGTAAGCTCATTTGGAGCTTGAGAGATGCAGCTTGCTTACCAACCCATTGGTTCTCCTTGTGACCTCCTCTTACCCCAAGCTAACTCCTTCCTAAACGAGGCATCCCTTTCTCTGGCTTTCTGAAAGTGTCTTTCTTTCTTGCTGAGATACCCCTTAGCCAAGTCGGAGGGTCTTTTCACATTCCCAGTTTCAGTTTCTGGACCAAAATTTTGCTTGTTCTTTAATTACATAACAGAGCAATGATTCTGTTGTTTGCAGTTGCTATTGAATGAATTGATGTTTTTTTCCTCTGTTTATTCTCTGCTTGCTACCTAGAAAAGTATTTGTAGAGTAAATGAAAGAAGGATGAGTAAATTAAGAATAATTCTACTAACAATATCTTACTTTTGTATACTTTTCATACTTTATGAACCACTTTTACATATATTTTCCATTTGGTTTTACCCTCATAGTAATTCAGTTAAATAAATATTCACTGATCACCCATCATGAGCAAAACACTCCACTCAGCAGTGGCTGTTAAAGATGAAAGAAATGAGGAGTCTGACCTCAAGGGGTTCCATGTACTGAGAGAAATTTAAAAGTGTGGTTAATTTCAATAAGGTGTTTTCCTATAGAGTATGAGAGCTCGGAAGGAAAATTTCTGATTCTGAAACTGCAGCAAGCGGTGTTCCCGACCCGCTTTAGCGGGTAAGGGAAACATGGCTGAGAGGAAGAATGAGTTGGTCAAAGAAATTGCAGAACCGACAGCAGGATCTGGTTCTTCAAACCTTTTTTTCCATCTCCCCATCTTTGGAATTTTCTTCTTCCATCTGAATTAAAAGTTGGGTTAATTCAAAGTTGGAACCTCCAGGATCTGAAGCTGCTCAGTTTTGCCTCCTCTAGACCCTTACTGAGCACATATCTATCAAGATTCTACAAGTTTGTAGATTTGTAATGGCAACAATTCTAGTAACCCCTTCCTCACAGTAATTGCACATTTAGTATCCATCACTTGAAAGAAACACATATTGGCAGAAAGCAAGTATAGATTCAATGTTACTTTTAAAGATTTGTGTTTCAATATCAAAGGCATAGAAGCAACCTAGATGCCCATCAATGGTGGACTGGATAAAGAAAATGTGGTACATATACACTATGGAATACTATGCAGCCATAAAAAAGAGTGAGGGCATGTCCTTTGCAGCAACTCAGATGGAGCTGGAAGCCATTTTCCTAAGCAAATTAAGACAGAAACAAAAAACCAAATACCACATCTTCTCTTATAAATGGGAGCTAAATATTGAGTATACATGGACACAAAGAAGGGTATAATAGACACTGGAACCTACTTTAGGATGGAGGGAGGGAGGAGGGTGAGGATTGAAAAACTATCAGGTATTATGCTGATTACTTGGGTGACAAAGCTATCTGTACACCAAACCTCAGCAACATGCAATTTACCCAGGTAACAAACTTGCACATGTACCCCTTGAACCCAGAATAAAAGTTGGAAAGAAGGAAAAAAAGATTTGTATTTTATTTATCACCACTGTTTCCACAAACATTTGAAATAGAGCAAATAATACCTACACATGTAAGATATTTTTATTTTGAATAAATATTTTGATTCTGTTCATATACAATGTTAATTATACAGTGGATTCACAGTCCCTTTGCTATGACATCATTTTCCCTGGGAGGTGAGAACAGTTGATGTGGTTGTTTGTCTATGTAAGGTTGTTGGATGTAGATGCACAGATGGCAACAGCCTTTCCACTTCATAGAAGTGGCTTACACTGGAACCTAATTTCAGGGTGGTAGGAGGGCAAGGTTGCTTTCAATACCCAGAACTAATTTAAGTGTGGGCGAAATCATGACAGGATTTCGTGAAACTAAAATGTTTTCCCTGGCCCCAAATATCCTCCCACACACCCTTCATTTGTCTGGCATCCTAGTTCTAAATGGCTAACCCAAGAATCCATTCTCACACATGTATATCCCAGTGGGAAGCCAAAAAAATGGATTTATTTCTTCCAGTTGGGAGGATTAGAGAGCAAGAAATTGAAGGTATGAAAGTTTTTGAAGAAGGAAGACAAAGGCATATAATCACTTTTCAAAGGAAAGTCAGGCCTGGGTCTTGCGGTGGTTGGTAGCAACATCAAGACCCTGCACAGATGGGATTTTAGGAGTGGTGAGGTGTAAAACCCTCTGGGTCAAACTAAGAAAATGTCAGTGTTGCCTACAGTGGACTAGATTCATATCAATCTAATTCACTAATTCTTTCAGCACTAGGTTTTCTGATGTACATATGTTTTTTCAACAATGCCTGACGGGTACTGAGGAATGGTGGTCGTGGCTCAGTGGTCTGATAGTAAATGTTTAGCCACCTCTCTCCATTTGCTGACTTCTAGCATTTGCCAACTTCCTGGTGTCAATATTTTCACCATGTCCAGTTTTAAGCTACCGAGATGACATCTGAAGTTGGAGTTACGGAAAGATGCCCCACCATGCAGCCCCATATAGTATTTCCACCACACTGAGACAGGTGGCCTAAATAACCTCAATCTCATGGACAAAAGTAAAATATAGCAAAGTAATTAGGAGTTTTGAATATGAATCACCTTTGTTTTTAGCATAACTTATTTGATTTTGAGTTTCTGTTATCTAATTTTTTTTATCATGCCTGTATTTAATTCCTGCCAATTTAACGGTCGATTTCCAGACATTTCCATACGTCCTCTGAAATCTAGGCAGAGGTTCCCAAAGCTCAACTCTTGTCTTCTGCCACATCACGTGGAAGCTGCCAATGCTTGGGGTTTGCACCCTCTGAAGCAATGAACTGAGCTGTACCTTCTTTCCTTTTAGCCATGACTGGAGCTGGAGTGGCTGGGATGCAGGGCACCAAGTCCTGACGCTGTGCAGAGCAGCAGGGCCCTGGGCCTGGCCCATTAACTATTTTTCCCTCCTAGGCCTCTGGGCTGTGATGAAAGAGGCTGCTGTGAAGGTCTCTGACGTGTTCTGTAAACATTTTCCCTATTGCCTTGGCTACTAACATTTGGGTCCTCATCTCCATCTGAGACCACCTCAGCCTGGACTTCATTGTCCATATCACTATCAGCATTTTGGTCAAAATCATTCAACAAGTCTCTAGGAACTTCCAAACTTTCCCATACCTTCCCATCTTCTTCTGAGCCCTCCAAACTGTTCCAGCCTCTGCCAGTTAGCCAGTTCCAAAGTCCCTTCCACATTCTCAGGAGTCTTGTAGCAATGCCCCAGTATGGGTTCTCCAGGAGGCTCCAGAACATCACTAGCATCCTACCTCTGGGTTTCCCTTAGATCCTGCTCCCCAGTCAATGCTGCATTGCTGTCATTCTCCTTCCCTTGAGTTAGACACCTGCCAAGTCCTATGGAGGTAAAGCTCATGGAATTGCCCTTATAAGGGAACTTATGAATTATTTTATCTGATAGACACAGGATCCTCCATATATGAGGGGACTTGGCTTCTTCACTAGCAGCTGGGCAGCTCACCACTCACACTTGTGTTTCTGCCACTTCCCTCACTCAGTGGACAATTCACCCAGAAGTTCTTGGGTTACCCAGCCCTGGGGGTGAGTCCAAAGGACTGTATATGAGGCCCTTGTCCTTGTCATGGAGGAAGTTGGCTGTGATCTAAGGAGAGGGGACATCACAGATTTCCTTCCCTCTCCTCCACAGACACAGAAGGCAGATCCCCCATTCTCTGCCTCATCCCCATGCCTCCCTTTTGTTGGAGGACCCGACCAAACCAGCCTTAAAGGGGTATAACATGTGACTAATTCAGCTGCTGGCAGAGAGGGAAATCAAGCATTTCAGAAAAGCTAAGCTCTCTGAACTTACTTAGGTTTTTGCAAAATTAAAGGCAATACAGTTTCAGTGCTGAAGATAAATAGCACCTTTGGTGACTACAATATGATTGCCCTAGGCAAGCAGAGATTTCTACACTGATGTACACACTGAAGTTTGTTGTTATCAAATATGCCCTGTTATTTCAGTGAGTACAGCATCTTGCAGAGGACACTTACGGGTCCCCTGGGGGGCTTGGGTCTGATTAGTGATGATACCCATGGCCAGTCTCCAGAAATCCACTCATTAATCTCGTCTCTTTAGGCTTTGGTTGTCTACACAATATACCATTTTATGCCTATGTTATTTTACACACTCAGTTGCCTCTCTCAGGAATTCACTTTTCCTCTTCTCAGCCTATAAAACTGTTCTTTGGACCTCAAAAAGTCATTTCAGCTTAACTTTCAACTTAATCAAAAGAAATGGGGCATTCCCCAAGAGCTTTGCCTTCAGGAACTCAGAGGAAGTCACACTGAGGTTTGATATAAGGATTTCTTCTTAAGATTTGAACCATGCAGTGAAGAAAGGGGCTTCCTCCCACAGCTGGGAATGGTCCATCTCTGGACTTGGTTCAATGTAGTTTTGTCTATGTGTGGATTCTGAGCTCCTTATGTTAGGTGTCGTGCCTTATAGATCTTTGTTTTTCCTGTACCTAGAATATAGTAGGTGTTCAATAAATGCTAGCTGTCATTAATCATGAGGTTTATGTGAATTTGGAACATGAGTTAGCACGATAACCTAAACATGGAATGCCATCTTAGTTGATGGTAAGAAATGCAGTCAACAGAGCAAGAGGAAAGGTTTCCCACTGCACTACATCTCAGTTAGTTGTCCACACTAGTACGTCAGTCAGTTCCAAGATGCACCTAACAGGAACCAAACAAAGCAATGCAGAAGGCAAGAGTTCTAGAAACGGTTTGATGCAACCTCCTATTTGTAAACCTGAATATTTTGGAGGGGAATGCATAGATATCTTTGCTTACCTGCTAGTCTGCCTGCATAACTGAAAAAGGCAGAACTGGGACAATGGGTGAAGGTTAGAGGACGTCACATTGAGGTTTGACATAAGGATTTCTTCTTAAAATTTAGAACCATGCAGTGAAGAAAGGGGCTGCCTCCCACCGCTGGGCATGCTCCATCCCTGGACTTGGTTCAAGCAGAGTCCCTAAGCCAGTCTGATCAGTGTGTTGCAGTGGGGATGCCTGCACTGAGACAGAGGGAGGCAGGCCTGCATGACCTACAAACTCCCTTGCAGTTCCATGAAGCTGTGGTTTACTTACATCATGTCTTAAACCTGAGGAGCCTTTTATAACAGCTACTTTGATTTGGAACTGGAATCCCAAGATTCCTCCCAGCAAGTTGCAAGATTTTTAAAAAATTATTTTTTCGTTTCTATCTATCCAGGAGTCTCATTTGCCATTGTGCACATTGACATCCCTGCCACATTAAGACAAATGTCTGGAACCAATATATCTAGACATCTCTAGGTGACATCCACATAGAATTCTAACAGTGAGTCAGAGGCTGGGCCATTGATTGAAGTCACTCAAGAAGCTTAAAGTCAGACTAGGATGAGAGTCTTCAGGGTCTTCATCCTGGTTACTACTGTCTCCGGAAATGGGACCTGGGATAAAGGTCACTAAGGAATGATGGATCCAACAATAGCAAATGTGTCCCCAAATTCCCTCTTCCAATGCCCTTCACGTTGTTGAGATTGGAACAAGGCCTTTCTTATACAATTTATTGTTTGAAAACTCTACCAGCAAATTGTCTAGCTCAGCGTTACTCAGATATTAACGTGCATAGGAATCACCCGGGGATCTGCAAAAATGCAGATTCTGATTTAGGAGGTCTCAGGTGGGGCCTGAGATTCTGCATCTCCAATAAGCTCCCAGGAGATGCCAGTGCTGTTTCAAGCATCACACTTTGAAGAGCAAAGAACCACAGGCAAGGCTGTGGGGCAGGTCAGGCTGCATGATGCTGGATTCCATGGGGTGATTGCTATGAAGGCCCAAAGCTAGTCAGACCGTCCCCAAAACTGACCAGAGACCCCACTTCCAAGGAAATCCTATGAAAAACAGGAGATAGCCCGCTATAGGCTATTGATTATTTTTAGTTTTTTAAGAGGGGGAATGTGCAGAGAAGAGCGAGTAGCAGGAAGGAGTCCCTGGGGAGGACACTGAGTGACTCCTGTGCTGATTATTTTAGGAGGAGAAGCTGAGGAAAAGTATCTGCATCTCAGAAGGAGATAATTACTTTCCACTTAGCTCTTCAGTTTTTCAGGAAGTTTGCAAGGAGGGCAAGTAATTAGTCTCTTGGGAGGTGAAAGAGACAAGTTCTCAGGATGAAAAACTTTTCCCTGCTGGTCTTTACAGCAGAATCAGAAGTATCTGCCCACTTTTGGCAAGGCCCACAAATGCAAAAATGTACTGTGGGGGTTGAAAAAGAAAAAGAGCTATGTTAGAGATCAAGCTAAATGGCAGAGACAGTAAGACAGTGGTGCCTCCAAGCTCTGTGTCCTGGAAGGCTTCCCCTGAAACCATTCTTCATAGTCTTGGCCCTGTGGGGTGGCTCCCACACTGTGACACCACACTGCAAGTTATGAGCAGGGCCTCTCCTCTAGGGATCCTGTGGACAGAACCAGCTTCAGAAATGAGAGGAAGTTTGCATCTACTCTTTGCCCCGCTTTGCTAATCCTAGCCCAGCCCAGCTGAGACTCAGTCTAGTAAAAGAAACCAGACCCGGATCTCTTCCTGCCCCTACCATCTTCCCATGACTTCTCACGCCATCCAGATTTCCGAGGAATGCCTCTCTTATCAGCCCTCCCACCACGTTACCTACAACACCAGTCCCACTCCGTTTACTCCTTCTCATCTGATTTCTACCACCTTTGCTTCTACCATCCAGGGGCCCTGGTAATCTGGCCAGGCTGCTCTCAGGAAACCCAGCCTCAGAAGGCCTGGGCAACTGGTCCTTCTTCTGGAACTTGGATCTAAGATTCTGCAGTAGAAGGGAAGTAGTGGCCCCACGGGAAGGGGAAGGCAGCAAGTCTGAGAGTGCAGACGCAGCTCAGCTTTCCCCCACTCTCAAGTGCATGAAAAAGGTAAGGTCTTCATGACTTTCTATAAGAGGGTTGGAGGAGTGGCTCCCAGAGAGCCATTTCTGTGGAAAGGCAAGAGGCTTTGGGGCCAGATGGAAGAAGTGGGCAGCCTGGGTGTGAGGGGTGCTTCCATCCAGGAGCGGTCAGGCCGAGAGAGGGGAGCCAACAGAAGCACATGGCTCCTCCTGTGTTGGGGTGCCAGGCCTCTCTGCTCTTCTTAGAGCACCTCCCATTTTCAGAACTCTATCATAGACCTTGAAGCCAGGTCCTGAAAAGGAAACACATCCAAAATAAAGGAAACTTAAAAGAATGCAAGCAAAACCACAGAGCTAAGAAAGAAAGGTTTTAATAGGACATTTTAATAATAGCTACATTTACTGAGCTCTTACTTAATGTGCCAGACCCTGCACTAAGAGCCTTATTTGTTTGGATTATCTCTTTTAATTAAGACCGTCCCATTGTACTCACTCTGCATTCCCTATCCATTCCTTAACTATCCCAGGTGCACAGAAACTTGCCTTTGAGACATTCTACCAATGTGTGTCCATTAGTTCTCTGCAGTGCAGGAGAAGAAACTTGCATGAAGATGAGGGACCAGGAGAAAATGAGAAAAAAGAGAGTGAGGAGCTCCAGCTTAGGCATGTGGGTGCCCACCTGCAGCAAGTCTACTCCTCGTGACTTGTCAGGTGCTCTCTAGCCCTGTCAAGGGCTCACCCTCTCACCTACAGGCTGCTGGGTCTCCAAGGAAGATCCTTTTAGTCACATCCTCAATGACCTCCTTGACCTTCTCATTCCGGAAGGTGAAGATGAAGGGGTTGAGGAAAGGGGTTACCATTGCAGTCACCATGGCCACCGCCTTGTTGAGGTATGTGGAGTGGCCCTTGCCTGGCCTCACGTAGATGAAGATGGCACTGCCATAGCCCAGAACCACCACTGTGAGGTGAGAGGCACAGGTGGAGAAGGCCTTCTGGCATCCAGAGGAGGAAGGGATGTGCAGCACTGCAGCCACAATGAGGATGTAGGAGAGGATGATAAGCAGCATGGTGGTCAGCACAAAGAGCAGGGACAGGAAGAGGTCCATGCGCTCAATGTGGCGGGTGTCAGAGCAGGCAAGCTTGAGCAGCGGGGCAGAGTCACAGAAGTAGTGGCCGATGATGTTAGGGCCACAGAACCAGAGTCGTGTTTTCTGCAGTGTGGGAGAGACAATGGAGAGGAAACCAACCACCCAACAGGCCACCACCAGCTTCACACACACTGGACCATTCGTGATGGTTGGGTAGCGCAGGGGGTGGCAGATGGCCACGTAGCGATCAAAGGCCATGACCATGAGTATCAGGAAGTTGGCAGAGCCCAGGGAGAAGTAAAAGAAAGACTGGGTTAGGCATTTGGCCAGGGACATGGTCTTGTGAGTGGATAGCAGGTCTGCCAGCATCCTATGTACCACAGTGGAGGTGACCACCATCTCCATGAGGGAGAAGTTGCAGAGGAAGAAGTACATGGGTGAGTGAAGGCGGGAATCAAGGCAAATGAAGCTGATGATGGCCAGGTTGCCCAGCAGCATCAGCACATATATCAACAGGATCAGAGCAAACAGCAGAACCTGGAACTCATGGAGATAAGAAAATCCAAGGAGCTCCTCTGCCTAGGAAAACCAGAGACCTTTGTTCACTTGTTTATCTGCTGACCTTCCCTCCACTATTGTCCTATGACCCTGCCAAATCCCCCTCCACGAGAAACACCCAAGAATGATCAATTAAAAAAAAAAAAAAAAAAGAAAATCCCAGGAGCACAAACTCCCTGACAATGCTGTAGTTACCCATTGCACTTGATGCCCATTCTATGTGACACCTGTGAGAGGTTGAGAACTGTTAGCAGGAGATTGCCATCAACCTCTCTCTCAATCAGGTCCCCATAGTGCTGGCCTGGCTCCCCATGCACACTAGCCTGTGTGCACAGTTGACCCCAGGAGACACATTCCCAAAAGGCAGGAGTTTCCCTGGGGCGAGGAATGGATTACTGGCTGGGATGAGCAGATTTATGACTTGGCCACCTCTACATTATCACCATTCTTAAGCTCTTCCTCTTCTGTCTTCTACTCATTGATTATATTGTACAACACACTTAATAAGCTCCAACTCTGTGCAAGACATTTGGCTGGGTCTGAGGATGAAGGGGTAAACACTTCCTAACTGCCAAATGTAATGGTCTGTTGTTCAAATAATAGCTGATATTTACTGTTCTTTCCCTGTGCCAGAAGATGCGCTAGATACCTTACACATTATTTCCTTCCATCTTTTTTGCTGAATCTTCATCCTCTTTTCTTCTCTATAACATTTTCTTCTCTATAACATTTCAGGCTACAAATAACCCGTTTTTGAAGTGACTTCCACCCTTGACTGCAAGGACCCTGCACTCTTGAATTTCTCCTACCATCCTGGGTTCCCTCGTCTGTCTCCTTCTCTAGCTCCCTGTCTTTCTGCCATTTTCTAAACATGGATGACCCCACATTTCTTTTCTTATCTTTGTTTAAAAAAATTCTCTATTTTCTCCTTCAGAAATCTCACCTTCTTTAACCAAAGCAATCTTTAAAATGTAAATGAATTTCAAATCTGGATTTTGTCCTCCTCTGAGTCCCGGCCCACATCTCTAACCACCAGATTGACCACCACCACACATTCAACACATCTAAAGATACACACCTAGTCCTCCCCTCCCGCAAAGGCCATGTTTATGGCTCCCAATTCCCCAGTCATCTGGGCTGGAAACTGGAAGCATCTAGCCCTCCTTTGTTTATCCATATCCACCACCCTAGTTCAAGGATCTGTTTCCTCTTAACCATTGCAACAACACTCTTAATTTTTTTTTTATTGGTAGATTGCTCAATCACCAACCTATCCAGGCACCATGCTGCTATTATATTTTATTTTCTTAAGTTATTGTGTCAATCAACTGTTTTTAATAATCTGTAACAAGGCCGGGCATGGTGGCTCACGCCTGTAATCCCAGCACTTTGGGAGGCTGAGGGCGGGTGGATCATCTGAGGTCGGGAGTTCGAGACCATCGTGGCCAACATGGAGAAACCCCATCTCTACTAAAAATACAAAATTAGCCGAGTGTGGTGGTGTGTGCCTGTAATCCCAGCTACCCAGGAGGCTGAGGCAGAAGAATCGCTTGAATCTAGGAGGTGGAGGTTGCAGTGAGCTGAGATCATGCCATTGCACTCCAGCCTGGGCAACAAGAGCAACACTCTATCTCAAAAATAAATAAATAAATAAAAATAACCTGTAACAATGAGATTTCATTTATAATTACTTTCAAAATCAATCAAACTAGCTAGCCATCTATCTTCATCCAGAAAAAGAGTAAAAGGATGCATTTTAAAATATTAACAATGGCTATATCTGGGTGTGGGTTATAGGAGTTTACTTTTAAAAATCTTGTATTGAAATTATACATATTTAAACTGTTGTATTAGTCTGTTCTCACGCTGCTATAAGGACACACCCAAGACTGGGTAATTTATAAAGAAAAGAGGTTTAATTGACTGACAGTTTGGCATGGCTGGGGAGGCTTCAGGAAACCTATGATCATGGCCGAAGGGGGAGCAAACACGTCCTTCTTCACATGGCAGCAGCAAGGAGAAGTGCAGAGCACAGGAGTGAAAAAGCCCCTTATAAAACTATCAGATCTCGTGAGAACTTACTCTCTATCACGAGAACAGCATGGAGGTAACCACCCCCATGAGTCAATTACCTCCCACTGGGTCCCTCCCACAACATGTGGGGATTATGGGAACTACAATTCAAGATGAGATTTGCGTGGGGACACAGCCAAACCATATGAAATGTATATCATGAGGTTTGGATAGAAATATACATAGTAAACTTATTACGACAGTCAAGCTAATTAATATATCCATCTCTTCATATAGTTACCATTTTTCACATGTAGTGAGATGACCTAAGATCTACCCTCTTAGCAAATGTCAAGTATACAATACAGTATCATTACCTGTAATCCCCATGCTGAACATTAGTTCGCTAGAACTTATTCTTCCTGCCCAACTGAAACCTTGTACCCTCTGTTCTTCTATATGTCCACATTCATTTCCAAATTCTCTTCATTTAAATTTGAATTCTCTTCATATATTATTTTAGTGATAAAAAAATTAACAACAATAATCTCTTCCTTTTTCAGTCAAATCAAGCACAGATTCTCCCTGGCAACTCCTGCCCTACATGACTCTCCCCATTCACCACCCCCCATAGCTTCACCCCCACCTCCTTGTCACACACTTTGTGATACCACTGAACTGAACCCTTGATATTCTCCATAAGTTAATTCCACTTTGCCTTCACACACTTCCCTTTTTATTCCTGTGCTTAGAATACTTTGTTCTGCCATCTTTGCCTGGCAAATTCTTAATCACCCACCAGGGACTATCTCAAATGTCCCCTCCTTTATGAAGCTTCATCCTCATCCAGATGTGAAGTCATCCTGCCTGGAGTTCCCAATCAGGAAAGTTAACAAGATCTGCCTTGCATTATAATTGTGTACAGTCAGATTCCAAATCCTGGATTCCTAGTTTCTCAGTGTCAGGGCTCTTTTTTCATCTTTATAACCTTCAGAATACCAAGCAACATGTCTTACACAGTGTAACTACTCATTACATTTTGGTTAAACAGGCCAGGTGCAATGTCTCACACCTGTAATCCCAGCACTTTGGGAGGCAGATGTGGGAGGACTGCCTGAGGCCAGGAGTTCGAGACCCAGACTGGGCAACATAGAGAGACCCTATCACTACAAAAAATAAAAAAGTTAGCCTGGTGTGGTGCCGAATGCCTGTAGTCTGAGCTACTTGGGAGGCTGAAGTGGGAGGATCACTTGGGCCCAGGAGGTGGAGGCTGCAGTAAACTGTGATTACAACACTGCACTACAGCCTGGGCCACAGAGGAAGATGCTCTCTCAAAATAATAACAATTTTGGTTAAACCAATGAGCACACATGTTGGGTTTTCATTTCTAGTCCTGAGAAGGAAAGTTTTGCCAAATGGAAACTCACATTTTCTTTAATGATGATGTGTATGTGTAATGTGGACTTTAACAAAATGTAATGGGGCAATCACGACCCCACAATTTCTTATCAGAAAGCTAAAATGAGACCAATACCAGCAAGGCAGCATCCTGGAATCAAGCACACTATTATTTCTGTAGCAAAGTACACAAATATTCACACTCAATGAAATAAAGGCAGAAATGGCCTCATGTTTAGTTCAAAACAAGTTAAGCCGTCTAAGTGCTTTGACTCAACATTTAAGAAAGAACTTTCAGCATTCAAAGCATTTTGATTATAGAATTGTGGATAAAGGGTTGGGAATGGCTAGACCCCATCCACTGAGGGCCCACCATGCACTGGCTCCCGTGCCACAATGATGCTGTGAAATCGTTACCAACTTCATATCATAGATGATAAAAACTGAGGCTTGGAACGTTTAAGGATCTTAATCCTTATGGTCAATAAATGTTGAGTTAGGTCAATAAATGTTGAGTTAGGATTTGAATCTAGAGTTTTCTAACTCCAATATCTATTTGTTTGTAGTAATCAAAACTTCAAGTATGTGAAATCTGCAGTGTTGAATCAAGCACAGTGCCATATCAATCTCTGAACACAGGACTCAAAGCTTATTGCTTATATCTATGAATAAAAATGCTTATATCTACAAAAAAACTATTTAATGCATGGCAAATGAATGAATGCATTAAAGTCCCACTATCAGCTATGGACTATCAGTGATAGGTAGGAGATGGGGAGGGTGTCCCTTTCCCAGCAGAAAGATCTAACTTGAGTCTCAAATGCTATTGCAAGACTGGTTAGCGGTGCTCCAAACAGGGTCAGTCCTCAGCCCTCCATCTCTTATTGGGAATCCATGACAATCCAGAAATCCAGGAAGCTGCTGTTCCTCCAATTACCACTTCCCAGACTGTGACCTCACCCTTTTCAGCCCCCATATTGATGTCCTTCATATTCTTCAGGTGTCATAAATTCCTAAGCCAGAATGAGAAATTCAACCCATGGGCCTATTTTGTGTTTCATTTGCCACCTGCCACTCAGAAAGCAACATCTTTCTACCAGGTTTCAGAGACATCATGTTTTGAGGCTCTCCAATCTAAAACATCTCAAGTCTTGGAATCAGAGGTCAAATGGGGATTCTAAGATAAACTTTGAGTCAGGAGTACCCCAGTTCATGCGGCAGGCTTAGCTTCATACCACATCGCTGGCATCCTTTTCAAACTGGCCTCCACCACAGCCCCCATTTTTGTGCCCTTGCCCTTCACCCCTCATCCCAAACCCTCTTGCATTTATCTTCCCAACCTCTGTCCAGACACTTAAACTTTTAACACTTAGTTTGTTTTTTCCCTGTTCAAGATCTCACCTCTCCTCTCAGGTTTGATGACTGATGCTCCTTTCTTCATACAAAATTCATGCCAGTCACTTCTTCATGAGGCTTCAAGACTCTGAGTCACAATACGCCCCCCGACCCCTTCCAATTCAGCAAGCCTGCAACTCAGGGCAAGTCCCTGGAGTATGTCTTAGGACTTTTCGTGCTTGTTCAATAATTTTACATTCCAAGTTTTTATTTTAGAAAACTGATTGTTAGTTACAAGTGAAGTTAACATAAGCAAAGTGTAACTTGAATGTCGAATAGACTTTTTTCTGCATCAGAGTCTTTGATAGAATATGTTTCCCTCAGTGCAGCCTCTCTTTGCTATAGAACAGATCTCTCTCAGGCCCAGGAGTCCTGCATTCCTGAGATTCAGGCAAACTCAACTTGTCCAACCAGTAGACCATCCAGTGCTCAATCAAAACAGGCCAAGCACAGCCTGTTGACAGTGGCCTAGTCAAGGCTGTGTTTAGCTATTTAGCATATGCTTTGGACAGCATCCCACGTTAACTGTACTTGCAGCCTGGACTCCCCAGAGTGCCCTCAGCTCCCCTCACTCATTCCTGTTAAGGATCCTTGCTGAGAAGAGATCCTGTTTATCTTTCTAAGTCCTTCATGCTGCAGGTTTTGCAGTTCACAGCTCTGTTAAAATGCCAACTAGCGGAGAGCTTCCACATCCCCATATAATATAATAATCCTCCAGAGACTTGGAGGATTTGAATGTTCTCTCCTGATGGTGTATCTTTCTCCCTCTCCATATTAACTCTCTCAATCCTCCTAACTGAATTATCCTTGTGCATTTTGACTCTTGAAACAATGTTTCTGCTCCAGAAAAATGACTGTTTTTCACCCACCGGGAATGCAGAGGGGGTAGCAGTACTGTCACCCTGGTTCTTTGTGGCAGTAATTTCCATCATCAGTGTCCTGGGGGCATGCTGAGCTCTTTACTGAGGGAAAGAGCAGGGTGAGGAATGAGAAAGAGGAGAGAGCAAGGAAAGTACCTGAACACCCCTCACTTTTGGCAGGTCTTTGCAAGGGGCAGGTGGCCAGGGGAGGACATAGAGGTGAACAGCACCCTGGGGCTAGCAGGCCAGCTAACAGCAAGAATTAAAAGCAATGAATGATGCAAAAGCACCATGCACTAAGCAGAGAAAGGTCTAGGGAGGCTCAAATAGAAAAAGAGACACCGCAGGACTAGACCTAGGCTGAGCTTTCCCAGCCCCAGCCTCAGGAAGGGACAAAAGAAGTGGGTGGGACAGAGATCCTTGGCTTCTTCCCCAGGGGGAGGACAAAATGGGACCAATGCAGAGGATGCAGTCCTGTCATGATGAAATGTAATGCTGCACCTGATGTCAGCAGTAGCACAGTGAACAGGAGGAAATAGCAACTGAATCATTCGTTCACTTACTCACTCATTCATTCAGAAAGTCATGGACAATACCAAATACTGCTGGTGTTCTAGGAATCCAGTGCTAAAAACAGTCCTGGGTTTTGCCATCCAATTGCAAAAAAAGACAGCAAGTAAGTTTAAAACAACAAACTGTGATAGGTGCAATGAAAGGGGCATGACAGAAAGGGAAGGAAGGGGAGGGGGACTCACCAGTGCCAGGTCACATCCTGCCACCCAGGTCCAAATGCAGGACCTGGAGCTCAGACCCTGTGGACAACAGGGCCAGTGCAACGGGTTGAATGGGGCAAAGAGGTTCCTCTCAGACTCCCTGCAGGCACAGTCCCAAATCTGGGTCCTCTGGGGCAGCCCACAGGAAAGAGCAACAACGCGACCCCAGAATGGAGATGCTCCACTCTGCCTGGTGTGCTCTCTTTACCTCTTTCCTCCCGCTATTCAGGAACTCCCAGTGGGAGACCTGGAACTGAAAGGGATTCAGAAAGATCGAAGTTTCCCACCCTCTTCAGTGCTGATGGTGTGCCCCAGCAGGGTCTGGAATAGGAACATGATGGTTGTTCCCAGTGAGCAGTTGCTTCTACTAGGGACTTGGCCACATCCCAGGACCATCCTCAGTTTGGGGAATGTGAGCTCCTGGGAGCAGGCAGCAACTGTGAGTCCACAGGGGCCTCCTAGGAACTGTGACTGCTCTGTCTCACACTCTCCTGTCTCCTGTGGGCACAAAGCTCAGTGCAGCCCTGGCAGCCCTGGGATTTGCAAGCTGGAGTGAGGAGAAGAGGGAGAAGAAACAGGGAGTTGGGCACCGACTGTTTTAGACGCAGGCAATTCAGGAACAAAGAAAATGAGCAAAGAATTGTTACCTCTGGCCACCCAGGAGGGAAAAAAAAATAGGTCCACTGTCTTGTTGTTTTCTCATAAATGAAAAATAAGAGGAATACCAAAGTAGAAAAACACATCTATTTTTAGAAAAACGAAATGGCCAGGGCCTCAGCATTAAGATACTGGGTGAACCAAAATGAGAAATCAGGGATCTGTTTACAATTATAAAATGGAAAATATACATATATATACACACACACACACACACACACATATATGTATATATATGCACATACATAAAGGGAATATGTGTGTGTATAAATGACAAAAATATTTGTTGTCAATTTGTAATTCTGTATATCAGCTATGAAAAATTTTTAATATGACATTGGGACACTTCAATAAACATAGAATTTTGTATCTCTCTCTCTCTCTCTTTTTTTTTTTTTTTTGAGACGGAGTCTCGCTCTGTCGCCCAGGCTGGAGCACAGTGGTGCGATCTCGGCTCACTGCAAGCTCTGCCTCCCGGGTTCATGCCATTCTCTTGCCTCAGCCTCCCGAGTAGCTGGGACTATAGGCGCCCACCACCACGCCTGGCTAATTTTTTGTATTTTTTAGTAGAGACGGGGTTTCACCGTGTTGGCCAGGATGGTCTCCATCTCCTGAACTCGTGATCTGCCCACCTCTGCCTCCCAAAGTGCTGGGATTACAGGTGTGAGCCACCGTGCCTGGCCCGGAATCTTGTATCTCTTTGTCACCAAGACCAGCTTCCCTGACTTCTCCACCCACCCAAGGATGTGCATCACCTCTAGTGCCAAGGACTCAAGAAATGACATAGTCCTTTTCCTTTGTCCCTTGCTGTACTTCATGGCAATAACAGCTATATCACGTGTTCCTGCAGACATTGTCTCATTTGATCTTCTCAACAACCCTGTGAAGCAGCCGTTATGGGTGTCTTCATTCCACCACTGACGGTACAAAGGAAGCCTTGCTCCAGGGCATGCACCTAGTAAGTGGTGTCTGGGTTTGAACTCCAAGGAGCAGAGTACAGGTGATCTTCAGCTTGGGCACTTTAGACTTTTACACATGACCTTGCATACCCCCTACACTGACATTTTCTCATTCGCCTTTCACATTTTCATATATTTGCTGATCAAGGAGCATTTCAAATATCACATATAGCATCTCCTGCCCTAATGGTTCAAGTTTGTCTGTTCAATTGTCTAACAATTTTAACTGAAAACACTAACAAGTGAAAATGAAAACTTGTCTTGTTGAACTTCTATTTGCATAATGCATTTTCATGGGGATGTTGTCAAAACAATAACAAACAAACAAGCAAACAAACACAGTACATCTGTCTCAAAGATTGAGCCCAGGCTAGAGTTTCATGATCGTGCACCTAAGCTTCAGAAGAAGGGGTCTGAGGCAGAATTGAAAGGAAATACAACAGTCGTGCTTCTGTGAGATATGTCTTTTTTTCTAGACTTCTCATCCTTTCCCCAAATATATGGGAAATATGTTTGCCCCGCTGGAGCTTCAAATCTCTGCTCGGGTTCACATTAAATTTGGTGGTGGGCACAACCATCACCACCTTAATGTTTAAATGGCCAAATATAGCAACAATGGAGAGGGGCTTTGAACCCCCAAATCATTTTAAGTAGTTTTGTAACATATTTTATATGTATCTAGAAGCTGTGAGTGACCCATCTGAGACAAAAAAAAAAAAAAGTGGAGATAGAGACTGAGGTAAGATGGAGGAAGCAGGGTCGTGGGGATTGTTTAAAGAAAGTGAGTTTAGGCAGGGCACACTGGCTCACGCCTATAATCCCAACACTTAGGGAGGCCAAGGTGGGTGGATCACAAGGTCAGGAGTTCGAGACCAGTCTGGCCAATATGATGAAACCCTGTCTGTACTAAAAATACCAAAAAATAAATAAATAATTAATTAAAATTAGCCTGGTGTGGTGGCAGGAACCTGTAGTTCCAGCTACTCAGGAGGCTGAGGCAGGAGAATTGCTTGAACTCGGAGGGTGGAGTTGCAGTGAACTGGCGATGCTGGCTCTTTTTTGGTTCCATATGAACTTTAAAGTAGTTTTTTCCAATTCTGTGAAGAAAGTCATTGGTAGCTGATGGGGATGGCATTGAATCTATAAATTACCTTGGGCAGTATGGCCAAGAAAAAAACAAACAACCCCATCAAAAAATGAGTGAAGGATATGAACAGACACTTCTCAAAAGAAGACATTTATGCAGCCAAAAGACACATGAGAAAATGCTCATCATCACTGGCCATCAGAAAAATGCAAATCAAAACCACAATGAGATACCATCTCACACCAGTTAGAATGGCGATCATTAAAAAGTCAGGAAACAACAGGTGCTGGATAGGATGTGGAGAAATAGGAACACTTTTACACTGTTGGTGGAACTGTAAACTAGTTCAACCATTGTGGAAGTCAGTGTGGCGATTCCTCAGGGATCTAGAACTAGAAATACCATTTGACCCAGCAATCCCATTACTGGGTATACACCCAAAGGATTATAAATCATGCTGCTATAAAGACACATGCACATGTATGTTTATTGCAGCACTATTCACAATAGCAAAGACTTGGAACAAATCCAAATGTCCAACAATGATAGACTGGATTAAGAAAATGTGGCACATATACACCATGGAATACTATGCAGCCATAAAAAATGATGAGTTCGTGTCCTTTGTAGGGACATGGATGAAGCTGGAAACCATCATTCTCAGAAAACTATCGCAAGGACAAAAAACCAAACACTGCATGTTCTCACTCATAGGTGGGAATTGAACAATGAGAACACATGGACACAGGAAGGGGAACATCACACACCGGGGACTGTTGTGGGGTGGGGGGAGTGGGGAGGGATAGCATTAGGAGACATACCTAATGTTAAATGACAAGTTACTGGGTGCAGCACACCAACATGGCACATGTATACATATGTAACTAACCTGCACGTTGTGCACATGTACCCTAAAACTTAAAGTATAATTAAAAAAAAAGAAATTGACAAAGAAGTAAACAGCCAATAAACAAGAAAAAATACAAACAGTTAGTAATCAATGAAATGCAAATGAAAACAGCAATGATATACTATTATTTATCTATTATATTAGTTTCTGTAAAAGGTATTTGTCAAAGTTCTGGAAAACAAGCAATTTTGTGATCTTCGTTGGAGCCCTATTATACAGTCATTCACTACATTTCAGTCAACAATAGACTGACTGTGATCCTATGAGATTACAATGGAGCTGAAAAATTCCTATTACCTAGTGATGTCACAGTGCAATGAATTACTCTCATGCTTGTGGTGATGCTGGTGTAAGCAAACCTACTGCACTGCCAGTTGTATAAAAATATAGCACAGACAAGTATGTACAGTACGCAATACTTGATAATGATAATAAACGACTGTTATTGGTTTAAAAAAAAACAGAAGAGGAGAATTTTGTGATAAGGGTTTTTAGTAAATATGTTAAATAAGAAATTACTGGGGAAAATTACTCACCACTTTCAGATCCAATTCTGGAAAGGTTGTATTATGTTCATTAACCCTTTTCTGGGTGTATGAGAAAACAGAAAGTTCAAAAACTCAGGTCCATTTGATCTTTAAGAATGTATTCAATTAAGAAATATCTATTCAGCAATTGCTATGGACTGGGAACTATACTAGGTACTAGTAAAAAAAAATATAAATGACATATAACCTCTGTCCTCAAGGAGCTCAAAATCTAGTAAAGAAGACAAGTAAACAGAAAATTACATTTAATGTGTAAAGAAATAAAGAAAGATATGGAGCAAAATCCTGTGAAAGTAAAGAATGTGCAAAGAGTGGGTTGTCCTTTGTTCTGGGGAAGCCAGGTGGGAGTGACATGCATACTGTTCTTTTAAAAGGAGTAGGTGTTTGAGTGACAGAGAGGAGAATAAAGTGCATTTGAGGCAGGCTTAATGATATGAGAGAAAACAGCATCTTCAAGGAGCTTTGACTTCCTCACTTATGGTTCTAAATCAGAGTTTCCATTAGAGTTCTGATTGAAATGTAATCTGGGAAAAGACTTCAGAAAGGTCAGGAATCAAGGTGTCTTGGGACTGGCCGTCTTCCTCTCTGTGCTCCCCTACTCCCACCCCCATCACTCTTTTGTTTCTCCGGCTACTCTTTTGTCCTCTTCCCTCTTTTGACCAATCTCCTCTGAGTCCCTATTACGTGATACATCTGCATAGCCATAGACTCATCACGACTACCTTGTCCCAACTCATTCTAAACTTTCAGGTCAAATATCCACCAATGCCTTTGAGTTTCCCTTCAAATTCCTGAGGGAGAAATCTAATTGGTCCACCTTATAGTTTTCAGACATGTCCACGGAACATCATAAAGTTTCACATGGTAACCCTAACATATCATATCAACAAAGGAGACATAATGACCATTGAAAAAGTCACTATTTCACTTTTAATATCTAGGTATCTAGTTGAGTATTCTAGATTCATATTTTCAGAATGAGATGATCCACAATTTCAGTGTTTTGCAACCCTGGATGCACATTACAACCACTCCTGGGAGTTTTTGAACACCCAGACAACATGCCCAGAAATTCTGATATAATTAATTGGTCTGGGGTGAGACTTCCCAGGTGACTGTAATGTGCAGACACATCAAGAACCATGAAGACTATCTCTTAGTGTGTAACCTAAGAAGCGATGATCAGCTTCCCTGACACCAGTGACTAATGAAGTCCTTCCAGCTTTGGTCAACAGCATTCGCCATATAGCCAGAGAGTCTCTGACATCATACTCAGCTGATCCCCCTATACCTTAGGTATATTTTGCCGGAAACAAATGGGAGCTTTTTTGAAGGAAAAATGTGTATTCCCTCCCTTCAGAAATGCAGGCATTCCAGTTTATAAAATAGGGGATGAACAAATGGAGAAGGTGGGATGCTGAATGATGGGCTAACTTCTCACTGGAATCTCTGAATTCTATTAACTGGTGGTGACAGTAGCTACATGGCTTATGGAGTGATTCTGGTGTAGCTGACCTTGACAGATAGTATTCTCCTTCCCAGTGACCCCTACTGGGATTTCTATCTCTTTGGTTCAGAGCCAGTTCATTCAATGCTCAGTGAGGGGCATCTTTTCACTTTATTTTGTTTTAGCTCCTAATGTGGTCAGAAGACTAGAGGGGCAGGTAGTCACCTCTTCATCTAGATCATCTGCCTGGCTGGAAAATTACTAGGAATGGGGGGTTATGTTTCACAGTGTGCCCCCTTCAAGAGTGAGGGTAGCCCAGTCCTGCCCAGGCTATTCCAGGACTAGCAATCACAAGGTTAACTTTCTGTCCCAAAGATCCATGTCCCTGAATCATCCAAAAACAACACTGTGAAACTAGCCCAATGTCATCAGTTATTTATCCCAAGATTTATTGGCATGGACCTGCAGCCGGATATTTATCCTCGGCTAGGACTTCTAAGGACAAGGTATGAGAATAAAGCAAAGCAGCAGACAAGCAGCTCTCAGAAGGCTCACATTCTGAGTACCCATATCTCAGAACTCCCAGATCCATGTGCAGAAAGACACTATCTTATATTAGAAACACCAATACACAGACATATACTCATGTATATCAGACTGTGGTCACCATTACCCAGCTTACATGTGAGTTCACACACACTTGTATACACACATAATTCCCCATCCCCTTCCCAATAGCTCATTATCAATACTAACACGTATTTGTGTCAGAGCGGAAATAAATTCCCACTGCCTGAATCTGTGTTCACTTTCATGATGAACAACTAGACCTTTCTACTTCTCCTCTTCTTTCATTACCTTAGACATCACTCTAGAGATGACACACCAGGGATAAGGCACTTTTGCCCATGGAGAAGGAACTGTGCTTCTTTTGGAGGATGAGCTGGCCCTATGGCTTTTCTGTCTGCCTAGTGGGAAGCGGGTGCTCCCCATCTGAAGTAGAAGAGCCCAGAGGTGAATCTGCACAGTGAAGGCAGGAAGCAGGGCACAGACATTTTGACAATGAAGAAGCTTTTTCTCAAATTCTCATCCCTGCTACTATAGAAACATTAGCTAGCCTGGAGGGCTGAGAATGGTTAGCCATTCCTTCTCACTCTTCTCTTTCATATTGCTCTACCTTCCAGAGGTCATCTCATCTCAGAGGTTGTGCCTCTGCCTCCAAGAACTGGTGGTCACCACAGTGATGGCATGCACACTCTCCTGTTCTCTCACCCCTCTCTAAGGCCATGTATCATCAGTCATATGCCAATGCCTGGAGGCTACAGCTGGACCATTTCCAGGTTAATTCCAATGTGAGGTTCTGTAGGACTTGAAAAATAACTTGAAATAACCTTCTGTTTTCCCCAGAGCCTACATAAGTTGTATAGTTTGGGTCAGGCCATGTCTCCTATTTTCTGTCTTCTACAACTGGTTACCTATAGTTTGTCCAGAGGTCTCAGCTAGAGGGAGAGAGAAAACATCCCATGCTCATAAATTGGGATAATTAATATCATTAAAATAACCATATTGCCCAAAGCAATTTAAGGACCTAATGTAATCCTTATCAAAATACCAACATCATTTTTCACAGAATTAGAAAAAAATCTTAAAATTCATGGAAAAAAATGAGCCCAAATCACCAAAGCAATCCTAAACATGAAGAACAAAGCTGGAGGTATGACATTTCCTGACCTCAAATTATATGACAAGGGAGTAAAAAATGTTGGGTAGGAGGAAGGACTAAATTGCAGCTCCCACTTGGATGGACAAAACAGCATGTGGAGACTCATACTGTGGACTTTTGCTCCAAGAACTACTGTAGGAATATATCAGGAAGGCCAAGAGAATACACAGACCCTTTGAAGGGAACAAATTGATCCTGCAGGACCCAGGAGACAGCCCAGATTCTGTGAGTGTCCAAACTGTGAAAGTGGGAAAGGGGGATTGTCCACCCCAAACACATAACCTCACTGGGGAACCTGAAGGTCCCAATCATGGGAGAAGGATTAGACCTTACCTGGATCTGAGACAATTTACAGAACTGAGTGAAATACAGGGATGGATGAAACAGCAGGAAAAGCCCTGTGGGCTCTCTGGGTCCCCAGGGAAGTCATTTCTGACTTGTTTCAAGTGGTCCTTGGGGAGGGCTGCCAGAGGAACTGGGAAAAGACCACAGGGAGAAAGAAACCTCCAGGTGAACTTTTTAACAATTCCAACTGAATGCAAAGTTTCCTGGCCAGACCTCGAGGAAGGGTGTGAATCTGGTATGCAGACTTAACAGGCAGGGAGGCATGAAAGCCCTACTTGCTTTCTCAGCCAGGAGGCTGGTAGCTTAGGGCAAGTTCTCAGCCCTACTCGCCCACTGACTGGAAACAAATTTGGCACTGTTGAGGGGGCATGGTGGGAGTGAGACTGGCCTTTTGGGTTGCATGAGAGCTGGGTGAGGCCTGTAACTGCCGCCTTTCCCCCACTTCCTGATAACCTGCATGACACAGCAGAGGCAGCCATAATCCTCCTGGAAACAACTCCATTGACCTGGGAAGCACATCCCATCCCCCACAGCAGCCAGAGCAAGCCCTGCCCAAGGTGAGTCTGAGCTCAGAAACGCCTAATGCTGCTCCCACCTGATGGTCCTTCCCTACCCATCTTATTGGCTGAAGACAAAGTTTATATTCTCTTGGGAGTTCTAGGGCCCTGCCCACCACCTGATCCTCCTCTATACTACCACAGCTGATGCTCTCTTGAAAGCATCACCTCCTGGCAGGAGGCACAAAACTAGTGCATTAAATAACTACAACTAAGGATCCTTACAGATCCTGTCCATTTCACTCTCCTGCCACCTCCATTGGAGCAGGTGCTGGTATCCATGGCTGAGAGACCTAAAGATGGTTCACACCAGAGAATTCTGTGCAGACACTCCCCACACCACCACCACCCAGTATTAGCCTGGAGACTGTCAGCCCTGCTGGGTGGCTAGATCTAGAAGAGAAATAACAATCACTGCAGTTTGGCTCTCCAGAAACCATATCCCTAGGAAAAGGGAGAGAGTACTACATCAAGAGATCACCCCGTTGAACAAAATAATCTGAACAGCAGCCTTGACCCCCAGATCTTCCCTCTGACATAGCCTACTCAAATGAGAAGAAACCAGAAAGACAATTCTGGTAATATGACAAAACAAGATTCTTTAACATGCCCAAAAAAAATCACACTAGCTCACCAGCAATGGATTCAACCCAAGAAGAAATCCCTGAATTGCCAGAAAAAGAATTTAGAAGGTCAATTATTAAGTTAATCAAGGAGGCACCAGAGAAAGGTGAAGTCCAACTTTAGGAAATTAAAAAAAATGATACTAGACATGAGGGAGAAATCTTCAGTGAAACAGATTGCATAAATTAAAAACAATCACAACTTCAGGAAATAAAGGACACACTTAGAGAAATGCAAAATGTACTGGAAAGTCTCAGCAATAGAATCAAACAAGCATAAGAAAGAACCTCAGAGCTCAGAGACAAGGTTTTTGAAATAACTCAATCCAACAAAGACAAAGAAAAAAGAATTTTAAAAAATACACAAAACCTCTAAGAAGTCTGGGATTATGTTAAATGACAAAATGACCAAACCTAAGGATAATTGGCATTCCTGAGGAATAAGAGAAGTCTAAAAGTTTGGAAAACATATTTGGGGGAATAATAAAGGAAAACTTCCCCAGCCTTGCAAGAGATCTAGACATCTAAATACAAGAAGCTCAAAGAACACCTGGAAAATTTATCACAAAAAGATCATCACCTAGGCACATAGTCATCAGGTTATATAAAGTCAAGACAAAGGAAATAATCTTAAAAGCTATGAGGCAAAAGCATCAGGTAACCTATAAAGGAAAACCTATCAAATTAACAGCAGATTTCTCAGAAGAAACCCTACAAGTTAAAAGGGATTAGGGCTCTATCTTCAGCCTCCTTAAACAAAACAATCATCAGTCAAGAATTTTGTATCCAGTGAAACTAAGCTTCATTAATGAAGGAAAGATACAGTCTTTTTGAGACAAACAAAAAGACTGAGAGAATTTGCCCCTACCATGCCAGCACCACAAGAACAGCTAAAGGAGCTCTAAATCTTGAAACAACTCCTGGAAACAAATCAAAACGGAACCCGTTTAAAGTATGAATCTCACATGACCTATAAAAAATAAGCAATTAAAAAAAAGGTATTCAGGAAACAAATAGCAAAATGAATGGAATAGTACCTCACATCTCAATACTAACATTGAATGTAAATGGCCTAAATGTTCCACTTAAAATATACAGAATTGCAAAATGGATAAGAATTCAACAACCATCTGCTGCCTTCAAGAGACTCACCTAACACGTAAGGTCTCACATAAACTTAAGGTAAAAGGATGGAAAAAGACATTTCATGCAAATAGACACCAAAAGTGAGCAGGAGTAGCTATTCTTATATCAGACAAAACAAATTTTAAAGCAACAGCAGTTAAAAAAGATAAGGAGGGACATTACACAATGATAAAAGGCCTTGTCCAACCAGAAAATATCACAATCCTAAATATGTATGTGCCTAACACTGGAGCTCCCATATTTATAAAACAATTACTACTAGACCTAAGAAATTAGAGAAAGCAACACAGTAATAGTGAGGAACTTCAATACTCCACTGACAGCACTAGACAAGCATCAAGACAGAGAGTAAACAAAAAAAAACAGTGGATTTAAACCATACCCTGGAACAAATGGACTTAACAGATATTTACAGAACATTCTACCCAACAACCACAGATTGTACATTCTACTCATCAGTGCATGGAACTTTCTCCAAGATACACCCTATGATAGGCCACAAAACAAGTCTCAATAAATTTAAGAAAACTGAAATTATATCAAGTCCTTTCTCAGACTACAGTGGAAAGAAATTGGAAATTAACTCCAAAAGGAACCTTCAAAACCATGCAAATACATGGAAATTAAATAACCTGCTCCTGGCTGGCCACAGTGGCTCATGCCTATAATCCCAGCACTTTGGGAGGCCTAGGTGGATGGATCACCTGAGGTCTGGAGTTCAAGACCAGTCTGGCCAACATGCCAAAACCCCATCTCTACTAAAAATACAAAAATCAGCCAGGCATGGTGGCACATGCCTGTAATCCCAGCTATTTGGGAGGCTGAGGCAGGAGAATTGCTTGAACCTGGGAGGCAGAGGTTGCAGTGAGCCGAGATCACACCACTGCACTCCAGCATGGGTGACAGAATGAGACTCAGCCTCCAAAATAAATATGTAAATAAATGAATAAATAAATAACCTGCTCCTGAATGACCATTGGATCAATAATCAAATCAAGATGGAAATTAAAACATTCTTTGAACTGAATGATAATAGTGACACAACCTATCAAAACCTCTGAGATACAGCAAAAGTAGTGCTAAGAGGAAAGTTCATAGCCTTAAATGCCTACATCAAAAATTCTGAAGGAGCACAAATAGACAATCTAAGGTCACACCTCAAGGAACTAGAGAAACAATGACAAACCAAACCCAAACCCAGCAGATGAAATGAAATAACAAAGATCAGAGCAGAACTAAATGAAATGGAAACAAACAAACAAACAAACAAAAGATAAATGAAACAAAAAGCTGGTTCTTTGAAAAGATAAATAAAATTAATAGATCATTAGCAAGATTAACCAAAAAAAGAAGAGAGAAAATCCAAATAATCTCATTAAGACATGAAATTACAAGTAGCACCACAGAAATACAAAAAAAAATAATTAAGGCTAATATGAACACATTTACACACATAAACTAGAAAACCTAGAGGAGATGGACAAATTCCTGGAAAGATACAACCCTCCTACCTTGAATCAGGAAGAATTGGAAACCCTGAAAAGACCAATAACAAGCAATGAGATTGAAATGGTAATAAAAAAAATTACCAACAAAAAAATGTCAAGGACCAGACAAATTCACAGCTGAATTCTATCACACATTCAAAGAAGAATTGGTACCAATCCTATTGACACTATTCCACAAGACAGAGAAAGAGGGAATTCCCCCTAAATCATTTGATGAAGCCAGTATCATCCTAATACCAGAACCAGGAAAGGACACAACAAATAAAGAGAACTACAGACCAATTTCCCTGATGAAGATAGATGCTAAAATCCTTAACAAAATACTAGCTAACTGAATCCAATAGCATATCAAAAAGATAATTCACCATGATCAAGTGGGTTTTATACCAGGAATGCAGGGAAGGTTTAACATATGCAAGTCAATAAATGTGATACACCACATAAACAGAATTAAAAACAAAAAATCATGTGATCATCTCAATAGATGCAGAAAAAGCATTTGACAAAATCTAGCATCTCGTTGTAATTAAAACCCTTAGCAAAATTGGCATACAAGTGACATACTGCAATATAATAAAAGCTATCTATGACAAACCCATAGCCAACATAATAATACTGAACGGGGAAAAGTTGAAAGCATTCTCTCTGAGAACTGGAACAAGAAAAGGATGCCCACTCTCACCACTTCTATTCAACATGGTACTAGAAGTCCTAGCCAGAGCAATCAGACAGGGGAAAGAAATAAAGAGCATCCAAATCAGTAAAGAGGAAGTCAAACTGTCACTGTTTGCTGATTATATGATTGTATACCTAGAAAACCCTAAACACTCTTCCAAAAAGCTCCTAGAATTCAGCAAGGTTTCAGGATACAAAATTAATGTACACAAATCAGTAGCTCTGCTATACACCAGCAGTGACCAAACTGAGAATCAAATCAAGAACTCAACCCCTTTTACAATACCTGAAAAAAAATAAAGTAAAATACTTAGGAATATACCTAACCAAGGAGGTGAAAGAACTCTACAATGAAAACTTCAAAACACTGCTGAAAGAAATCAGAGATGACACAAACAAAAGGAAACACATCCCATGCTCATGGATGGATAGAATCAGTATTGGGAAAATGACCATACTGCCAAAAGCGATCTACAAATTCATGCAATCCCCATCATAATACCACCGTCATTCTTCACAGAACTAGAAAAAACATTTTTAAAATTCATATGGAAACAAAAAAGAGCCCACATAGCCAAAGCAAGACTAAGCAAAACGAACAAATCTGGAGGCACCACATTACCTAACTTCAAACTATAAGGCCATAGTGACTGAAACAGCATGGTACTGGTACAAAAATGGGCATATAGACCAGTGGAACAGAATAGAGAACCCAGAAATAAACCCAAATACTTACAGCCAACTGATCTTTGACAAAGCAAACAAAAACATAAAGTGAGAAAGGACACCTTACTCAAAAAATGGTGCTGGGATAATTGGCTAGCCACATGTAGGAGAATGAAACTGGATCCTCTTCTCTCACCTTATACAAAAATCAACTCAAGGTGGATCAAGGACTTAAATCTAAGACTGAAACTATAAAAATTCTAGAAGATAACATTAGAAAAACCCTTGTAGACATTGGCTTAGGCAAGGGTTTCATGACCAAGAACCCAAAAGCAAATGCAACATAAACAGAGATAAATAGGTAGGACTTAATTAAACTAAAGAGTTTCATGTTTATAGCAGCACAATTCGCACAATTCGCAATTGCAAAAGTATGGAACCGGTCCAAATGCCTATCAATCAATGAGTGGATAAAGAAATTGTGGTGTATATATATATATATATATATATATATATATATATATATATGTGTGTGTGTGTGTGTATATATAATTGTGGTATATATATATAATATGTATATAATTGTGGTATATATATATATATATATATATATATATATATATATAAATACTATTCAGCCATAAAAGGAATGAATTAATGGCATTGCAGCAACCTGGATGGAAGTGAAGACTATTATTCTAAGTGAAGTAATTTAGGAATGGAAAACCAAACATCATATGTTCTCCTAAGTGGGAGCTAAGCTGAGGATGCAAAGGCTTAAGAATGATACAGTGAATAAAATTTTTATGATAATGATGATATAGTCGCTGACTACTCTTTTAATTAAAATAGTAATAATCTGGAGAGAGATGAAGAGGACAAGTGGAGCCCAAGAGAGTCAGATCCACAGCTATTATAACATAAAGTGAATAGAAAACATCTATAATTGATAAATCAATTAACAGAAGTATAAGCTCTTCATTAAGAGGTGTGGAAATAATTATGAGGGAAGACAAAAGTGGTGTTCTCTGTGAAATAGGAACTATATATGTGAGACAGAGAAGGATGTGGGCTACTGTTTTTTAGTACAGGCCTTTCAGTACTGTTTGCTCACGGCAACCTCCACTTCCCAGGTTCAAGAGATTCTCCTGCCTCAGCCTCCTGAGTAGCTGGGATTACAGGCGCATGCCACCTAGCCCAGCTAATTTTTGTATTTTTAGTAGAGATGGGGTTTCACCATGTTGGTCAGATTGGTCTCAAATTCCTGACCTCAGGTGATCCGCCTGCCTCGGACTCCCAAAGTGCTGGGATTAGAGGTGTAAGCCACTGCACCCGGCCTATCAAGGGCATTTTAATAAGCATCAGTAACTGAGCTACCCATATTGAACTTGGGCAACTTATCCAATCTTTAGTTTCTAAGCACAGAGCCCGAGGTCAAGGAAAGGCAAGTACAGTAATTATATTTGACTCCTACAAACAATAGAGCTTAAAACAATAGTCCACAGTCAAATAACCACATCCAAAGACTGCCTGTTACTCACTTAGTATATTGGTCTGAGAAACCTGGTTTTACCTCATTTCAAACAGGAAACTGTTACAGAGCTCAGATGGAATGTCCAGCAGCACATCATGGTATTGATTGTTGCACTGTAAGTGATCTGGGCTTGAGCCCAAATTAACTTCTTACAATATGGCTCCAATTTACCCTCCCAACATTTATCTCCCAACATTTTCATTCAGAAATCCTTTGTTCTAGCTACCCTATCTTTTCACTATATTCTATTTGCACTCTCATTTCTCTGTTTTCACAATGCTTGATCACATCTTTAGCCATTTTCCCACCTAGATCTTTTCTGTTCTCTCCATTTTTCTGACTGCTGCCCATCTTTCAATACTGAACAAATCAGCTTCTTAGTGCATATCTGTGATATGCAAAACACTGTTAGGTGCTTCAAGAGTTAGTCTTCTAAGAGCTTTATGTTTTATTAGAACATGACACAAGTAGGCAAATAACTATAATGCAAGATAAAGTGAAAAAGATTCTATAAGAAAGGTTTACTCAAAATACTGAGGGTTCAAAATGTGTATTATAACATTAATTAGGAAGAATTAGAAAATAGTGCATGTAGAGAGAATTATATGAAATGCACCTCAAGGAAAGCATTTGCCTTTGACAGCTGGAAACACGCACTGTAGAAAGGCATTATTTGGGGTTGAAAGTATGAACAAAGCTCTATCAGCAGAGCATCTTTAAGCCTCAATGAAAAGCCCACTGTGGCTAGGAGGTATAGTACATAAATAGGAAAGCAATAGGAGATGAGTCTGTAATTTCAAGTTGTCATGGTAGAAGGCCCTGAATCCCAGGTTGAGGAATTTTTACTCACTTCAATAGGCAGGAGAAGAACATAAAGATTTTTTTTGAGGGAAGTGGTCCAATCAGAGTAACACTTTAGAAAGATTAATTTAACAGAAGTTTTTAAGATTATTTGAACTGAATGAAAGAAAAGGTACAAACTGCAGTTAGGAAGCTATTCTAGTAGTGTCAGTGACAAGTTTTGCAGGTGGCCAAGAAGGAAGTGAAAGAAAACTGAATAGGGAAGGAAGGAAGACTGCAAGGGACTTGGTGCTGATTGATCCGTGTCTCCATCTCTCTTGCACTATGCAAAGAAAAGGACTCTAGTTTGCATACCTAGTAGACTGGGGAAATGCTGGTAGCAAAAGAGAAGAGATTGAGTAGAATATGTTTTGAATACACTGAGTTAAAGTGTTAAAGAATGGTGCTAAGAGTAAAGTTCATAGCCCTAAATGCCTACACCAAAAAGACTGAAAGAGCACAAATTGATATTCTAAGGTCACACCTTGGCCAGGCATGGTGGCTCATGCCTGTAATCCCAGCACTTTGGGATGCCGAGGTGGGAGGATCATGAGGTCAGGGGATTGAGACCATCCTGGCTAATATGGTGAAACCCCATCTCTACTAAAAATACAAAAAATTAGCCAGGCATGGTGGCACACGCCTGTAGTCCCAGCTACTCGGGAGGCTAAGGCAGGAGAATTGCTTGAGCCCAGGAGGCAGAGGTTGCAGTGAGCCAAGATTGATTGCACTCCAGCCTGGGCAACAGAGCGAGACTCAATCTCAAAAAAAAAAAAAAAAAAAAAAAAGATAAGGTCACATCTCAAGGAACTAGAGAAAGAAGAAAAAACCAAACCCAAACCCTGCAGAAGAAAGGAAATAACCAAGAACAGAGAAGAAGTAAATGAAATTGAAACAAAAATACAATACAAAAAGTAAATGAAACAAAAAGCTGGTTCTTTGAAAAGATAAATAAAATTGATAGACCATTAGCAAGATTAACCAAGAAAAGAAGAAAGAAAATCCAAATAACCTCATTCAGAAACAAAACAGGAGATACTACAACAGACACCATTGAAATACAAAAGACCAACCAAGGCTACTATGAACACCTTTATGCACATAAACTAGTAAACCTTGAAGAAATTGATACATTCCTGGAAAAATACAACCCTCTGAGCTTAAATAAGGAAGAATTAGATATGCTGAACAGACCAATAACAAGCAGTGAGATTGAAATGCTAATTTTAAAATTACCAACAAAAAGTCTAGGACCAGATGGATTCACAGCAGAATTCTACCAAACATTCAAAGAAGAATTGTTACCAATCTTTTTGAAGCTATTTCACAAGACAGAGAACGAAGAAACCATCCCTAATTCATTCTATGAAGTTAGCATCACCCTAATACCAAAACTCATGAAAGGACATAAGCAAAAAAGAAAACTACAGACTGATATCCTTGATGAACATAGATGCTAAAATCCTTAACAAAATACTAGCTAACTGAATCTAACAGCATATCAAAAAGATAATCCACCATGATCAAGTGGGTTTCATACCTGGGATGCAGGGACAGTTTAACATATGCAAGTCAATAAATGTGGTACACCACATAAACATAATTAAAAACAAAAATCACATGATCATCTCAATAGATGAAAAAAAAAGCATTTGATGAAATCCAGCATCACTTTATGATTAAAACTCTCAGCAAAATCAGCATACAAGGGACATACTTCAATGTAATAAAAGCCACCTATGACAAACCCACAGGCAACATAATACTGAATAGGGAGAAGTTGAAAGCATTCCCTCTGAGAACTGAGACAAGACAAGGATGCCCATTCTCACCACTCCTTTTCAAGATAGTACTGGAAGTCCTAGCCAGAGCAATTAGACAAGAGAAAAAAAGAAAGGGCATCCAAATCGGTAAAGAGGAAGTCAAACTGTCACTGTTTGCTGACAATATAATCGTTTACCCTGAAAACCTTAAAGACTCTTCCAGAAAGCTCCTAGAACTGATAAAAAGAATTGAGCGAAGTTTCCAGATACAAGACTAATGTGCACAAATCAGTAGCTCTTCTATACAAAAACAGTGACAAAGCAGAGAATCAAATCAAGAACTCAACCCCTTTTACAGTAGCTGCAAAAAATAAAATAGTTAGGAATATACATAACCAAGGAGTTGAAAGAACTCTACAAGGAAAACTACTAAACACTGCTGAAAGAAATCACAGACAACACAAACAAATGGAAACACATCTCATGCTCATGCATCGGTAGAATCAATATTGTGAAAATGACCATACTGCCAAAAGCAATCTACAAATTCAATGCAATCCCCATCAAAATACCACCACCATTCTTTACAGAATTAGAAAAAACAATTCTAAAATTCATATAGAACCAAAAAAGAGCCCACATAGCCAAGACAAGACTAAGCATAAAGAACAAATCTGGAGGCATCACACTACCTGATTTCAAACTATACTATAAGGCCATAGTCACCAAAACAGTGTGGTACTGGTATAAAAATAGGCAAATAGGGCAATGGAACAGAATAGACAACCCAGAAATAAACCCAAATACTTACGCCCAACTGATCTTTGACAAAACAAACAAAAATATAACATAGAGAAAGGACACCCTTTTCAACAAATGGTGCTGGGATAATTGGCTAGCCATTTGTAGGAGAATGAAAATGGATCTTCCTCTCTCACCTTATACAAAAATCAACTCAAGATGGATCAAGGACTTAAATCTAAGAGCTGAAACTATAAAAATTCTAGAAGATAACATTGGAGAGAACCCTTCTAGACGTTGGCTTAGGCAAAGATTTCATGACCAAGAACCCAAAAGCAAACACAATAAAAATAAAGATAAATAATTGGGACTTAATTAAACTAAAGAGCTTTTGCACTGCAAAAGGAACAGTCAGCAGAATAAACAGACAACCCACAGAATGGAAGAAAATATTCACAATCTATACATCTGATAAATGACTAATATCCAGAATCTACAACAAACTCAAACAAATCAGTAAGAAAAAACCGAACAGTCCCATCCAAATGTGGGCTAAAGACATCAATAGACTGGTCTCAAAAGAAGATATACAAATGGCCAGCAAACATATGGAAAAATGCTCAACAACATTAATGATCAGGGAAATGCAAATGAAAACCACAATGTAATATGACCTCACTCCCACAAGAATGGCCATAATCAAAAAATCAAAAACAGGGGGGAGAGAAGCCAAGACGGCCGAATAGGAACAGCTCTGGTCTACAGCTCCCAGCATGAGCGACGCAGAAGACAGGTGATTTCTGCATTTCCAACTGAGGTACTGGGTTCATCTCACTGGGGAGTGCCAGACAGTAGGTGCAGGACAGTGGGTGCAGTGCACCGTGCACGAGCTGAAGCAGGGTGAGGCAGGCATTGCCTCACCTGGGAAGCGCAAGGGGTCAGGGAATTC